>NC_000019.10:41483298-41786328 GCF_000001405.40 Homo sapiens | reverse complement strand
GGCCGGCGGATCACTTGAGGTCAGGAGTTCAAGACCAGCCTGGCCAACATGGTGAAACCCTGTCTCTACTAAAATTACAAAAATTAGCCGTGCATGGTGGAATGCGCCTGTAATCCAAGCTACTTGGGTGGCTGAGGCAGGAGAATCGCTTAAACCCAGGAGGCGGAAGTTGCAGTGAGTGGAGATCGCGCCAAGATCGCGCCACCGCACTCCAGCCTGGGCGACAGAACGAGACTCCGTCTCCAGAAAAAAAAAAAAAAAAGAAAAGAAAAGAAAGGAAATACCCATTACAATGATTTTTAAGGTTACAAGGGCAGAACTTGGCTTGGAACTGTTTCTCACTGATCACATATTGTTATAAAAACTGTTTTTTGCAATGGGTCGTTGCTCTGTGATGCAGGCTGAGCTCTCTCTGACAGTTACTTCCAGTCTTTGTGGGCGGTTATGGTTCTCTTACCTCATCTGTGACTTGGACTTCACTTCCTACACCCTGCCCGCTCCAGCCCCATCCCCTCCACGACTGGCGAGACCGCTAAGAGTTAAGTGCATTTACTGATGATGGTCACAAGGTGGCAGCACTGCCTTTCGGGTGTTTTCTAAATCCTCTACCTGGATGTGGGCGAGTCTAAGACGCTGTTTTAAGAAAAGGTCACAAATGAGACGAAGGTAAATGTTATTTTCCTTCTTTCTCCTGTAAGGTGACGGAGTTCAGATGACTGTGAAATCATTGCATTTTAGAACTGGAAGACACTTCAGAAAACTGCTTCACAATCTTTAATGTGCTCACAGATCCCCCAAAGATCTTGTTTAAATACAGATTCTGATCCTTCTGATGGGGTCTGAGATTCTGCATTTCTAAGGAGCTTTTGGACATGTCGTTGCTTTTGGTTGGTGGGCCACACTTTGAGTAGCAAGGGTTGAGGGTCATTTAGACATTAATTCTCATTGCACCTGATTATAGATGAAGAGAGACTGAACTGCAGAGAAAGAATATAACTTGCTTCACCCTGCCATGCCCTTACTGCATGACTTTTTGTATTTAAACCCACAGCTTTAGCCTCTCCGACTAGTTCTTGCTCCATGCATCACGTAGTCCTGTCACTGTTGTTGGCGGCTTCTCTCTAGCTTAGGAATCCAGACTCCCCTTTTCACCACCTTCTTTGGTCTTGGCTCAAGGTTTCACTTTGGCTGGTTCTGCCCTCTCAAAACCTTCAGTGGCTTTTCTGTAATCAGATCAAATTTGAACGTCTGTCTAGTGTTCATTTCCCTGCAACATATTATCCCTGTTTAGCAAGCTTACCTAACTTCCCTGTTTTAAAATGGTTTCTTTCTGCTTCAGCTCTCCCTGCTCCTTCCTGTTCCCTACACATACCCTGTTCAGGTCTCTCGGTGGTAGTGGTGGTGGCATGGGTTCCGGTGTTAGACTCACTGAGGTTCTAATCCCACATCCACCAACAACCTTGGCAAGTTACTTCCCCTTTCTGAGGATCAGTATCCTCCTTGTGAAATATCCCCATATCGTGTGTGAGAAGAGTAAATAAAATAACATCTGCAAACCCACTCTTACTCCTGGGACCTTCTTCAAAACTAGCATCTCCGGTGGGGCCTGTGTGTGTCTTTGTGCATCCAGAGTGGTGCAAAGTGTGCATCTTTGCGTGCGTTGTGTATTTCTATCACATGATTCATAATTTCCTTCCCATCAGTGGCAATTAGGAGCTCATCTCAGGCTTAGGATAGTAAAATTATATGGCATGTGTTTTCACTACAATAAAGGTCCCTCTGAGGTCTGAGGAGGAAATTGGCCAGGAGGGCTGGATGCTTTACTTAGGTTCCCTTGGCTTCTGTTTCTCTTTGTGTCTGCTTTCCTAAGCCTGAGTCTTTCAGGGTCTAACCCAAATCCTTCCTGTTTTGTGAAATGTTCAACCGTTTTTGACCCAGTTGATGCCACCCTTCTGTAACTTATTTCATCCATGTATTGGCATTTAATTATGTGCCAGCCCTCCCAGTGAGACCCCCATAGAGAGGCTGGAAGGGTGTTGGCTGTGTGAGAATTGAGAATTGAAGGTTGAGTGAGTTCTTTTCTTACTACTCCCTGAGTGTTGGAGCTGCCTTCTATCTTTTTTTTTTTTTTTTTTTTGAGACAGGATCTCACTCTATTGCCCAGGCTGGAATGCAGTGGCATGATCTTGGCTCACTGCAAACTCCGCCTCCCAGGTTCAAGTGATTCTCCTGCCTCAGCCTCCCAAGTAGCTGGGATTACAGGCACCTGCCAACACGCCTGGCTAATTTTTGTATTTTTAGTAGAGATGGGGTTTCACCATGTTGACCAGGCTGGTCTTGAACTCCTGACCTCAGATGTTCTGCCGGCCTCAGCCTCCCAAAGTGCTGGGATTATAGGCGTGAGCCACTGCACTTGACCCTGCCTTCTCTTTTTTTCGAGCTATTGCCAGCAGCAGTTCCTCCTGTACCAGCAGCACCAGACCATGGCAGGCATGTGAATACCTTAGGGATTGCTCTTCTCAGGGTCCTTCCTGCCTCTGGGTTTTGGTTACAGTGGCATTTTTTTGCATGTTATCAGATGGCCCCTCTAAGGAGGGGACTGATGATATCTCTTTATAAAAACCTCAAGATAATAACTCTAACGAAGTTGAGCACAGTGTCCTCTTGCTTAAACAGCCGGGTGACAGGAGATGTGTACACTTTCCTATTTTGTGAAATTTATAACAGTCTTTATTCTCTTACTTCAAAAGAAATTAAGGACAAAAGACCAAGTGGGGAGAACAGGGTTGTTTAGGGGAGGTCATGTATCTCTGATGTGGATTTTGTGAATTTTTCATTCAGTTATACCCGGAAGTGTGCATCTTGGCATATGTGGTCATATATTTCCATGACATAATTCATAATTCCCTTCCCGTCAGTGGCAATCAGGAGCTCACGTCAGGCTTGTGATAGTAAAATTATATGGTGTGGGCCAGGCGCCATGGCTCACGCCTGTAATCCCAGCACTTAGGGAGGCCGAGGCACGCGGATCACGAGGTCGGGAGATCGAGACCACCCTGGCTAACACGGTGAAACCCCGTCTCTACTAAAAATACAAAAAATTGGCCAGGCGTGGTGGTGGGAGCCTGTAGTCCCAGCTACTCAGGAGGCTGAGGCAGGAGAATGGTGTGAACCCGGTAGGCAGAGCTTGCAGTGAGCCAAGATCGCACCACTGCACTCCAGCCTGGGCGACACGGCGAGACTCCGTCTTAAAAAAAAAAAAAAATTATATGGTGTGTGCTTTCACTACAATACAGGTTTCTCTGAGATCTGGAGAGAAAATAGTCCAGAAGGGCTGGACACTTTACTTGGTGTCCTGCGTCTCTCTCTCTTTTTTCTTTTTTTTTTTTTTGAGACAGGGTCTTTCTCTGTCACCCAGGCTGGAGCACAGTGGTGCAGTCTTGGCTCACTGCAGCCTCAACCTCCTGGGTTTGAGTGATCCTCCCACCCCAACCTCCCAAGTAAGTAACTGGGACTACAGCCATGTACTACCATGCTTGGCCAATTTTTTTTTTTTTTTGGGTAAAGATGGGGTTTCACCATGTTGCCCAGGCTGGTCTTGAACGTCTGAGCTCAAGTTATTTGCCTGCCTTGACCTCCCAAAGTGCTGGGATTACAGGCATGAGCCACCGCACCTGGTCCTGCCTTCTCTTTTTATTGGGTAGCATTCTACTCACCCATCATTTCTCAGTTAGGAGATTTTTTTGCCTTCCCATTTCCCTATCATGGGTCCATGCCAAATATTGTGTCTGGAACTGGATGTTAGGTCCAAGGAATGGCCTCCTAGCTGATTTCCAGGATTCTAATCTTCATGGTGTAAGCTGTAGATGCTGGTTAGAGTCACCTATATGGCATTTAAAACTTACCAGGGCCTGTGTCTTCCCCTAAGAGAGTCTGAGATGATTGGTTCATCATGTGGCCCAAGTATTGGTCACTTACAAATGCTTCCAAAGAAAATAGCCATTTTACAGTGGAGGAACTTTTAGCCCAGTGCTCAAAGTTAACGTCTCCAGTGATCAGAGATATCGACATCTTAGGACATCCTAATATGATGGATGGAGAAGGTGCAGCATCACCTCTGTGGTGTTCTTGTCTAACGTGTACAACCTAAGTTTAATCATGAGTAAAAAATAGAAGCCCAAACTGAGGGTCATTCTACAAAATAACTCCAATACTCTTCAAAAATGTTAAGGTCATGAAGGCAAAAGAAATTCTGAGGAACTGTACCAGTTTAAAGGAGACTGAGAGGACAAAAAATGAGATGCAGTGTGTGATCTTGGATTGGATCCTGGTCTAGAAAGAGGACATTAGTGGGGAGATAGAGGAGATTTCAATAAGGTCTGCAGATTCATTCATTGTACAATGTCAGTGATTAATGTATTTATTTTATTTTTTAAATTTAAATTAAATTAAATTTATTTTTTGAGACAAGAGTTTTGCTCTTGTTGCCCAGGCTGGAGTGTAATGGCATGATCTCGGCTCATTGCAACCTCTGCCCTCTGGGTTCAAGTGATTCTTCTGCCTCAACCTCCCAAGTAGCTGGGATTACAGGCATGCACCGCCACACCCGGCTAATTTTGTATTTTTAGTAAACGTGGTTTCTCCATGTTGGTCAGGCTGGTCTCGAACTCGCGACCTCAGGTGATCTTCCCACTTCGGCCTCCCAAAATGCCGGGATTACAGACGTGAGCCACTGCGCCCGGCCTATGTATTGATTTTAATGATTGCACTGTGGTTATCTAAAACAATATTTGGGAAAATTGAGTGAAAAGTATATGGGGACTCTATTTTTGGAACATTTTTGAAAGTGTGAAATTGTTTCAAAATGAAAAGTTTAGAAAAAGAGAAAAGCTTCTAGGTAATTCTATTAAGTTGTCAGAGTTCAGAACCACATCTCTAAGTTATCTTGCCTAACACTATTGTAACCAAGTACCCCTATTTTTCTAGAGGTAGCTTAATTTTTTTAATTGTTTTAACAGAAATAATTATTTCATTTCTCCTAACCCCACATTGTTGCTGACCAATGGTTAGCATCCTGATTTGGGTCAGAACCATCGTAGGAGCAAAAGCTGCTTATAACATTGGCCCTGCTTGCAGGGATAGGCATATCCCTCTGGTGTGGAGCTTCCTGATATTACAACCTGTTTATAAAAATACAAGGCACGCTTTCCCAGAGACCTTCTAGACCTCAGACCACAATGCTCCAACCAATATAATCTATAAGTCCGGGTACTCATAAATATTTCCAACTCCAGGTAGATCAGTTTCATTCTAATGCTCACTGACTATGCGCCCTTTCAGCAAAAAGTACTCAGAACAAATATGGCACCCAGATCCCATAAAGATAAAAATAAAGCTTGGCAGTGGAAAATGGTAACTGAGTACCCCCATTTTTCTAGAGGTGGTTTAATTATTTTTTCCTCCCTCTGTCTCCTGTCTCATTTCCCTGGCTACCCGTTTCCTACCCTTAGCCCTTCAGAAATGCATATATAACCTTCCACCTCCCCCATCACCAGACATTCCCTACAGGGCAAGTTCCTCTAGCTGTGTGCTCCGTGATGAATCTCTCAAGAGTTGACAGTTCATTAGCGGACCAAAGAATACCTGCCATGGAACTTTCACCTCCAGAGGGTTGCCTCAGAGCTTCCATCCTGGGTCACCTCAGAACTTACACCCACTAGGGGAACATGTCAGAAGCATGCCCACGTGGCCATTTTTACAACTTACTTCTGTCCAGGAAGGCACCATCTCAACTGCCCGGTAGATAATTGCCCAGTAGCAGGGGGACGCTTGTTCTTGCTCATTTTCTCTTTTACCTTCTAAAAAAATGCCTGCTTTCTGCTCCAAAGGTGGAGCAGCACATTTAAAGGCAGAATGCTTTGTGCCCCTTCCTCCAAGCTAGCTTTAGAATAAATTCACTTTTTTTTTTGTATCGGACCTCACTCATGTTGATGGGACTCTACATGCAGCATGCGACTAACCTGGTTTTCGTTACACTGGTTTTTGGTTACACTGTCAGAGTAATCTTCCTGGAAATGCTGTTTGTCATGTTACTGAGCTTCTCAAAGCTTTCCAGTGACTCCTATCATCCATAGAATGAAGTTTCAATTCCTTAGGCTGCCATTCAAAGGCCCCATAACACAGCCCCAGTCTACTCCCTTGGTTTGTGTAGAAAGACTTGATCCCCATTTTATGTTTTCATGTCTGAACTTATTCTAATTCTTTCACTCCTTTCCACAATACCTTTGACTGTCTTCTCAGCCTCCTGAGCTGTTCTTTGTCCTAAGGCTCATTTCAGACCCTGACTCTTCATTGAAGACTGTATGGTTATTTCTGTTAGAAGCAGTCATCCTGTCTTTCTTTGAGTTCGTGTAGGCTCAATCGCTCTGCAGTGAAACATGACCTTTAGATTCAGAAATATGTGAGTCGGAATCCTGGTTCCACCTTTGACCAATTCTGAGATAAAGGACAAGTTAATTGATGTCTTGGGATAGGGGGATAATAGTGCCTACTTAAAGCGTCATTTGGGGCATTAGATAAGGTGGACATATAAAGGTCCCCAGCACATAGCAGGTTCCTTCCCCATCACTTTTGTAGCTCAGTGCTCCCCAAAGCTACTGTGGGTTGTGCAGAGGCTCTTATCAAAATTTTCTGGAGAGCCTTTAAAAAATATTTATGCCTGGTCATCATTAAAATGAGAGACACTCTTGAACTGAATTGAATGCTTGGGGCTTTAAGGAGTTCAACTGAGATTTTTTTTTCCCCTGGAAAACAACTCAGTAAATATGTGATCTATGGACAGAGGAATGTAACCCAATAGGGGGAGAAGGAAGGGTCAATGGGTTTCTAAATAGGAAAAAGCTGTGATGCCTTCCACACCCATCCCTTTGACCTCAGTGGAACAGCATCGAGGAAGTATGGCTCTTTTTTTTTTTTTTTTTTTTTTTTTTGAGATGGAGTCTTGCTTTGTCGCCCAGACTGGAGTGCAGTGGCGTGATCTCGGCTCATGCTAGCTCCGCCTCCGGGGTTCACGCCATTCTCCTGCCTCAGCCTGTCGAGTATCTGGGACTACAGGTGCCCGCCACCACGCCTGGCTAATTTTTCGTATTTTTAGTAGAGACGGGGTTTCTTCGTGTTAGCCAGGATGGTCTCGATCTCCTGACCTCGTGATCCACCCGCCTTGGCCTCTCAAAGTGCCTGGATTACAGGCATGAGCCACCGCACCCAGCCCCTTGACTCTTAAAATTATGTAAAGGAAAGTAAAAATCTCAGGACTGTCAAACTCATTACACCAAAGTGATAGTTCAGTCTGGAGGCTGAGTCATGTGACTCCACCATCTTTTCCCCAGATGAACAACTGTTATTATACAACCTGTGTCAAAGCATTGTACATTAGCCAGACCCCCACAGGAAGGCAAAAAGACCTCGGACATCTCTGGGTGACTGTCCTCACAAATTATTCTTTACTGGCCTTGGAACTTTTCAAGATGTATATCCTCCCATAAAACAAGGACAAAGCGGCCGGGCGTGGTGGCTCACACCTGTAATCCTAGCACTTTGGGAGGCCGAGACGGGCGGATCACGAGGTCAGAAGATCGAGACCATCCTGGCTAACATGGTGAAACCCCGTCTCTACTAAAAAAATTAGCCGGGTGTAGTCGCGGGCGTCTGTAGTCCCAGCTACTTGGGAGGCTGAGGCAGGAGAATGGCGTGAACCTGGGAGACGGAGCTTGCAGTGAGCCGAGATCGTGCCACTGCACTCCAGCCTGGGCGACTGAGCGAGACTCTGTCTCAAAAAAAAACAAGGACAAAGCAATTGTAACAATAGGTGTATAAGCTAAATCTAGCTTCTAAAACTAAAGCCTGTTAGATGTCACAATGATAATGCTTGTATTTCCAAGTACAGAAGAAAGACTAGATGAGACCAATTATTCTTCCCTCTACTTGTCTCTTCCTATCTCCCTTCTCCACTTTAAGCAGATGTATAAGTATCAGGCCTCCTGAAAACCTCTTCAAAGATGAGAAACGCTATGGAGCATTTCTATGACTTATGTTTTTCCAGGGCGTGCCCTCAAGCTTTGGTTTAATAAACCTCAATGGACTCAGTCACTTGCCCCAGTCACTCATTTTGGTTAACATTTTGGTGACCATGAAGGAACCCTCTGAGTGGAGCTTAGCTCTTTAGGCCTGCAGCGATTCTCCTGTTTACGCTTGGTACCAACTATCAAGCTTTAGCTTTGACTGATTTTGTGACTTTCTGAGGATCAGATGCTATTCCTTCTTGAGGTCACTGCTCTCCCCAGTTGATTGTTTGAGATCTGAGTTTTGTTTTGCCATAAAATTCCTTTACTCTTGGAGTTTTGCTCACTTCCTATAAGGAAGGTGAGTTTTCTTCTCCTGTGCCAATGGAGAGCAGCCTTCAGCTTGGTCCCCTCCCAGGTAAGGAGCTGGGTTGGGATTTTGTTTTAGAATTTGATAGCTGCAGATTAAGGTTTATTGCTAGTTGGCTCTAACCTCTCTATTTTTTTTTTTTTTTTTTGAGATGGAGTCTCACTCTGTGGCCCAGGTTGGAGTGCAGTGGCGCGATCTCGGCTCACTGCAACCTCTGCCTCCCGGGCTCACGCCATTCTCCTGCCTCAGCCTCCCGGGTAGCTGGGACTACAGGCTCCCACCACCACGCCTGGCTAATTTTTTGTGTTTTTAGTAGAGGCGGAGTTTCACCGTGTTAGCCAGAATGGTCTCGATCTCCTGACCTCGTGATCCGCCAGCCTCGGCCTCCCAAAGTGCTGGGATTACAGGTGTGAGCCACTGCGCCCGGCCGGCTCTAACCTCTCTTTATGCTTAGAGTGTTCAACAGTACGTAATTTGTGCAATCACTTGTTGTGTTTTTGATTTTTGTCATTCTTCCTTTGGATTTGACCAACTCTTGACCCCGCGTAGTGTCCAAAACACCTTCCAACTTGGTCAAATCCAGCAGGAGCTCTACATTATGGTGAACCGTCCTCAAAATTGGCGAAAACACCCGCAACTGCAGGACACCAAGTTAAACCTCTAGAAACATGTGTCAGTTGAAGGAAATAAGATGTTTAACCCAAAATGTATTTTCTGACCTATTTTGAGATGTCTGTTGGAGGGCCAGCAAGCAGAAGTGGCCCTGCAAAGCTGTCTTTCATGAGAAAATTGGCATCTGTAGAGAATCCCTATTAATACAGGCAGACTTTCTCTTGTCTGGATCCAGGAAAAATGAACTGAGCTTGATACCTTAAAGATCTGAAATAAATATTTACCATCTACTCTCTCTGGGAGCTGCTACCTGTGAAGTTTCATCTACATAACAAGACCATCTTTGTTAGCCGAGCCTCCTCCTTTCTCCCTCCCATAACCTGTCTTGCTACTAAAACCTGATGTACAACCATAACCTGTTTTTGGCCATGACGGAATCCAGGAAGATGATCAGCTAGCAAAAGGGTAAGAATTTATTTCCAGTGAGGCTCCTGGCTTCTCTTTCTCTGTGCAATCTGGTCAAGCAGACAATAAAAATCACCATTTCCTCTGGAAAATTTTGGTTAATGACAGAAGATTTGTGTAGGACTAGTCTTGATGTAGTGACTCTGCTGTACTTTTTGGTACATTTTTGTATATCAAAGCTAACATTTTCAAATTTTTCTTCCGTTTTTCTGACTTGGAATCATTAGAAATTAAAACAGTGCTTTTTCCTAAAGCCCTGCAACCTGAAGCTAGACAATTTAAGTAAACTTCAGGAGAAAAACACAGCATTATAGATCAACAGCCTTCATGCCTGCTGATGTATGGACTACTGAAAAGGCTCAGTTGTACACCTGATTCAGACTACAATCCAGAGGAACCTGCCACTGGAATTTGAAGATGCTTCAGAGACTCTAAAAAAAAAAACAAAACAAAAAAAACACAAAAACTAGCCTATAGTCTGCTCCACATATTACCACATATTACAAGTGAGCCAACATATAACTGAAAGGGTTAGAGTGATGATTGCCTAAAGAATTGCTTTAGTTGAAGAGGCAGCTGTGTAGCTTGAATAGGGTTCCAGGATTACTTTCCCTTTGTTCCCGTAACTTGACTTTGGTCTTTTTCTAATGAACTTCATGCCCTTCTCCATGGAACACAATGTCCTAAGAATGAACCTTCCTAGTGATGTAGGATCAGACGAAACATACAGCCAAAAACTCATGTTTTCTACAACGCTTTCTGTGAAAGATTTTGAAGAATAGGTGCTGGTCAGGTGCAGTGGCTCATGCCTGTAATCCTCGAACTTTGGGATGCCAAGGCGGGTTGACTACTTGAGCTCAGGAGTTCAAGACCAGCTTGGGCAACAGGGTGAAGCCTTGTCTCCAGAAAAAATACAAAAAAAAAAAATGTAGCCAGGTGTGTTGGCATGTGCCTGTAGTCCCAGCTACTTGGGAGGCTGAGGTGGGAGGATTGCTTGAGCCTTGGAAGTGGAGTTTGCAGTGAGCTGAGATTGTGCCACTGCACTCCAGCTCAGCTGCCTGGGTGACAGAGCAAGACTGTCTCAAAAAAAAAAAAAAAAAAAAAAAAAGGGGGTAAATGTAAAGGGAAAAAAAAATCTCAGAACTCCCAAACTCTTTATGCCAAAGGGAAGTTCAACCTGGAGACTGAGTCATGTAACACCATAATCATTTCCTAAAATGAATAGCTATTACTACACGACCTTGTGTCAAGGCATTGTACATTAGTCAGACCTCCATGGGAAGGTGAAAAGGCCTCAGGCATCTCTGGATAACTGCCCTCACAAATTGTTCTTTGCTGCTCTCAAACCCTTTTTATTTTTTATACACCTTTTAAGATGTATATTCTCCCATAAAACAAGAACATGTCGATTGTAACTTTAGGTCTGCAATCTAAATCTAGTTCTTAAGAATAAAGCCTGTTATATTTCAGACTGATAATGCTTATCTTTCCAGGTACAGAACAAAGGCAAGATTAATCATTCTTCTGCCTACCCCACCTCTTCCTATCTGCCTTCCCCGCTTTAAGGAAACGTATAAACACTTGGCCTCGGCTGGGTGCAGTGGCTCATGCTTGTAATCCCAGCACTTTGGGAGGCCAAGGTGGATGGATCACTTGAGATGAGGAGTTCGAGACCAGCCTGAGCAACATGGTGAAACCCTGTCTCTACTAAAAATACAAAAATTAGCCAGGTGTTGTGGCACATGCCTTTAATCCCAGCTAGTTGGGAGGCTGAGGCAGGAGAATTGCTTGAACCTGGGAGTTGGAGCTTGCAGTGAGCCGAGATCATGCCACTGCACTCCAGCCTAAGAGACAGAGTGAGACTCCATCTCAAAAAAAAAAAAAAAAAAAGACAGAAAACCTGGTCTCTTGAAAACCACTTCAGAGAGAATGCAAGCCACAGAGGTTTTCTAGGCCTCATGTTTTCCCAGGGCGTGCCCTCAAGCTCTGGCTTAATAAATCTCGATTGATTCAGACACTTGCCTCAGTCACTCATTTTGATGAATTACCATAAGTCTCGCACAGGTCATCATGAATCCACTTTCTGCCCAGGTGATGTGTACCTAGGTGAGTCAGACGCCCATAAGTTAAACACTCTTCTCTCTTTTCAGCTCCTCCACCCTGACGACTCAGTGCTATGTGCTCTGGTCTGGCCCCAGCTCCCAGGTGGTTAGTATTGATCTAAGAAAGCAAGGGCAGGAAGGGCAGGCTGAGAAGGAAGATAGAGGCCACGAGGCATGGAAAGAGACAGGTGGGGCTGTCATTATTCAAAGGCCATACTCTGGGTGTGTTTTATGACTGCTTCTGGATTTGAAATCTTCTCCTCTTTGGGACCATTCCAGGAAGTCACCCTCCTCCTACTTCCTTCTCATTACACTTTCTGTCCCTAGCATACCTCAATTGTGGCCAGGGAATGGCTGTGCAAGTAGTTGACAATTGAGTAAAAATGACTTTGTATATGACTGGGAACCTGGCCCTGTTTTTTTTCCAAAGAGATTGAGGTCCATAAAAGCCAGCTTTTATTCCAGGCTGTGCAGTTGTGAGTGTGGTGTTAGGGAACAGGTGCATAAGTGAAGAGTGAGACAGAAAACAAAATGCTGGCTGTTTGTCAAATCCTGAGAGTAGAGGGGGCAAAAATCATTCTGGAAGGTGGATGTCATTCAAGAGACCTTGGAAATCTTAGGGTGTCCTCTGCCCAGAGGGGGAGGGGAATGAGGTTAAATTATGGGTTGGGTGACAATGGTTACACTACTTCACTTCTCTGCCTCAGTTTTAAAAATCTGTAAAAATGGGGATGGTGGCACTCAGGATGTTTTGTGAGGACTGTAGCTAGCTGGAAAGCTCTTAGGATAGTGCCTGGTGCATAGTGAGTGCTGCATTAGTGTGAGCTATTATAATTATGGGAATAGGCAAAGGTGCCACCCTGGCCATCCAGCGTGGGCGGTATTTTCCAGCCAGAGTCCTGGCAGTCCACCTGGAGATGAAGATGGTTAAGAAGGAAGTTTAACTTCCAGGAGTGGAAGGACTGGGGAGGAGTAACTCATGCTCAACATTCTGTGAAAATACATTTATCCAACAGCAGGAATACGTGGAGTGAATGTGGCTTCTGTGGTAATTATCGTCTCCTGTTTGGGGAGCGTCTAAGAGTGTGTTGTAGGCTCAAATGGTTTTTCCAAAAGCCAAGCCTAAAAACAGGCTTCAGGGGTGCCTTGCAAATTAGCATTCCTTTTGCCAAAAAAAAAGCATTGATTTTTTTTAATGGAAAGCATTCGTCTTGCTAAAAAAAAAATCCCCTCTTGTGGCCTGGGTCATTAGTTTTGTCTCTGTGCTATCCTAGATTATAAGGTATAAAGAGAAAGACTAAAGAAGAATGAATAAGGAAGTGCACATATAAATTAACAGGGCAGAATTGGGATGGGTATGTGTAAGTTAAGGGGACATAGGTATAAATTTTTTTTTTTTTTTGAGACAGAATTTCACTCTTTGTTGCCCAGGCTTGAGTGCAGTGGCGTGATCTTGGCTCACTGCAACCTCTGCCTCCTGGGCTCAAGCAATTCTCCTGTCTCAGCCTCCCGAGTAGCTGGGATTACAGGCACCCACCACTACGCCCAGCTAATTTTTGTATTTTTAGTGGAGACGGGGTTTTACTATGTTGACCAGGCTGTTCTCGACCTCCTGACCTCAGGTGATCTGCCCGCCTCGGCCTCTCAGAGTGCTGGGATTACAGGCGTGAGCCATTGCACCCGGCCATATGTACACATTTTATGCGAACATAAAAAGGACCTCTTGTTCTAAACAGACCTCTCCATATAAATAATGTGGGCTTTCTTGAGTAGATAGCAGGCTCTATCACAAGAACATTCCAGCAGAATCAAGAGAGAATGGGTAGCTGGCTTCTTTGCTAACTGGTAGGGTAGACTGTGTAAGTTGCTGAAGAGAAAGAAGATGAAAGGGCAGATGGGTGAGGGTGAAAGAAACAGGATGTTGAAAGGAAGAGACTGAAAGGAATGTTTACCGAGGGCTCATCAGGTACCACGCTCTGTGTTTAGTATCTTAATTTACTCTTGCACTGTCATTTTCTGATGCAGTAAGTGTCATCCTTGTGCTGCAAATGAGAAGAGACTGTGGGAGGTGAAGTGAGTGGTCCAGGATCATCCAGGCAGTTCACAGCAGAGCTGGTGTGTTTCACCTTGAAGTTTGTGCTCTGGCCTGTGATTCAGGCAGAAAGGTGAGACACAGAAGGAAGGCAAAGCAAATTTTTGTTGTGGGTGATGTTTATGAAAGTTACTTGTGTTAGGCAGAATAATGACCTCCTAAAAATGTCCACATCCTAATCCCTGGAACATGTGCATGTTACATTATTTGGCAAAAATACTTTGCAAATAAGTAAAGTTAAGGATCTTGAGATGGGAGGTTATTCTGGATAATCTGGGCGAGCTCAGTGTATTCAGAAGGGCCCTTGTAAGTGAAAGAGGAAGGCAGGAGGGTCGGAGTGAGAATGACGCCGCCTGAGAGACTCCACTGGCCGTGGCTGGCTGTGAACCCACATCAAGAGACAGAATTACAACAAATTTAGTTATAGAGCTAATTGGCTTTTATTTGTGATTTATGAATTAAAGCAGCACCACTCTACAAGTACAGTGATAGCTCCCCCTGGGCAATACAATACAAGAACAGTGGGTTTTGTCAAATTGGAACAAGGAAACAGAACCACAGAAATAAATACATTGGTTAACATCAGATTAGTTCAGGTTACTTTTTTGTAAAAGTTAAAGTAGAGGGGACTTCTGTATTATGCTAACTCAAGTAGACTGGAATCTCCTGTGTTCTTTTTTTTTTTAAATTGGTTTTAATTTTTTTTAATTGGATCTATCTTCTTCCTTAACATTTCAGTTGGAGTATGTAGCATTTAGCACCACTGGCTCAATGCGCTCACCTAGGTGAGAGTGTGACCAAATCTTAAAGCATTAGTGCTATTATCAGTTACCACCATTTGGGGCTTTTATCCTTCATGGGTTATGATGTTCTCCTGATGACACATTTCTCTGAGTTTTGTAATTCCAGCCAAAGAGAGACCATTCACTATTTGATGGCTGGCTGCATGCAGACATTTAAAGCTTTTAGAGAATACACTACACCAGGGAGTATGACTACTAGTATGACTATTAGGAGGGTAATACCAAGAGTTGGACTACGCACCTTAGGCAAGATACAAACCAACTAAAATAGAATAAAGAATGAGTCAGATGAGTGTAGCCATTTTAACCAAGCAGCACATTTGTTAATTTCTACAACTTAGTCTCAGCGATACCCATTGTATTTAGCCATGTTCAACAACAAGTGTCAGAAACTGCACAGACTCCTCCCTGTTCAGCTGGTAGGGAGCAATTCTATTATTTGGCATTGCATGGCTGGGTTGAATTAAAACAGGGAGTGAGAACAGGTGAGTCTAGAAGTCCAACTCTGAAAAGGACCACTGTACATTTGAACACACGGCTGTGTTAAAGATGCTGCTAATGTCAGTCACTGGGTGCACTAAAGGATCTCTTATTTTATGTAAAACGTTGGGATTGACAAGATAGATCTGACACTCTGTTAAGTTACCCTCTGAAGCTACTTCTTGTGAAATACTAATGACAGCATCATCCTGCCAAGCGAAAGAGGCAGGCATAAGCAAGGACAAATTAAAAGGGGGTAAGAGCCTTATCATGATGAGGAGTCTTGTTTTGACATCTTGGGAAAAGCTGTCCATAGTGTGAAGTCGTCAATTTCTCACCATGGTTTGCAGTTTGACTGTCTCTAGTTAGGTGAAGTCTCTGAGTGGCACACACCTCAGGCCTGAGGGTTTTCCCTTTAAATTTTCATTGAGTTGTCCATCTCCAGCATATAGGGCTTCAGGAGCAGAGCAGACCTTGTTTTTAGTGGTTCCATGGGATAAAATGGGATTGGAGGAGCTAGAAGAATTCAGGGTCTGGTCCAATCTATAGGTGGATAATGAAAATAAAAAACAATAAGCAGAGCTGTGATGTCATAACAGGTGTACTATAGTTTTTTTCAACATAATTTTTCTCTTCATAGGCATCTTTATTTCTACCAAAGATAATCCCAGTAAGACATATTTGTTTTCCAAATAAGTTTAGTCTCATCGAACTTGGCCTCATTCTTTATATAAGTGCAACAAGAGTAGCAGGTGACCACATAGTCTTTTTTTTTTCCTTTTGAGACAGAGTCTTGCCCTGTTGCCCAGGTTGGAGTGCAGCTCACTGCAACCTCCACCTCCCAAGTTCAAGCGATTCTCCTTGAATAGGAGTATAGGCCTATGTATAGCCCTATGTATGCACATGAATAGTATAGGCCCATGTACGCACATGAATAGTATAGGCCTATGTATGCACTCCCAGGCTGGAGCGCAGCTCACTGCAGCCTCTACCTCCCAGGTTTAAGTGATTCTCCTGCCTCAGCCTCCCGAGTAACTGGGATTACAGGAGCCCGCCACCACACCTAGCTTTTTTTTTTTTTTTTTTTTTGTATTTTTAGCAGAGACGAGGTTTTGCCATGTTGGCCAGGCTGGTCTTGAACTCCTGATCTCATGATTCACCCACCTCGGCCTCCCAAAGTGCTGGGATTATCGACGTGAGCTACTGTGCCCAGCCTGGGGTCTTTTCAAGTTTGTTTTACAGGAAGTTTTTATAAGGAATCTCAGATTAAACTTTTAGAAACCTCTTGACATGAGGAAGCCAAACCAAGGCCGACTTCAGACTTTGCCAGCAGTGCCTATGGGTTCATCTATGTATATTCCCAAATATAACATCCCAATCAAAGCCTGGGTAATATAACCAGTGTTTTCAAATGTATCCTGTTATAAAGGGAGCAGATTTTTATTGAGCAAATAACTATACTATTATATTTATTATATAATATTAATATTAATTAACAATTACAATTAGTCGTTAAATAATAATTATTAATTTATTAATAAATATTAATAAATTATTAAATAATGATCATCAAATAATTGTTTATCAATAATAATTATTTTATAACAATTAATATTAATAACTATATTTTTTGTGCAAATAACGATATTATTATAAACATATAAATATTCATGAATAATTTCCGAATTCTGGAGCAGTCAGGTAGGGAGAAAATATAGATGTTTCAATTTTTGTTCGCAAAATTGTTGAAGCTCTAGATAGCTTAAAAGAAAAAATGTTTCCTGAAATCTGGGAAACAAAACAAAGAATCCACAAAATTTCAAATAAAAAATCATAAAAATATTATTTTCATTATTATCTTTTAGTCTCATGAAATGAATTCTCTGCTTGCTCTTGGTTGGCAGTTTCATGAAGCTATCAGTTTGTTAAAATTTTGGAAATTCTTAAATAGTCTAATGGTATGATTTTAATGTTATCAGAAACTTGTATTCAAGAGTACATGTCGGAGTATTTTCTGTAAATATCCTCAATGAAGAAGCAATTTTGGATGGTAGCTGATTGCAAATGCTTTAAGGAAGGAAGAATCAAAATAATTGTCGGGGCTGGGCGCGGTGGTTCATGCCTGTAATCCGAGCACTTTGGGAGGCTGAGGCGGGTGGATCACCTGAAGTCAGGAGTTCGAGACCAGCCTTATCACCATGGAGAAACCCCGTCTCTACTAAAAATACAAAATTAGCCGGGCATGGTGACGCATGCCTGTAATCCCAGCTGTGCAGGGGGCTGAGGCAGGAGAATCGCTTGAACCCAGGAGGCAGAGGTTGCGGTGAGCCGAAATCACGCCATTGCACTTCAGCCTGGGCAACTAGTGAAACTCCATCTCAAAACAAAAACAAAAACAAAAAACAACCCCCCCACCAAACAAAACAAAACAAAAAACAATTGTCAGTGAATGACAAAGATTGAAAATGAGTATGGTTAAACATCTGATGAGAGTTCATTATGATAAGAATGCATCTCCCAGGTGAGGGGCGCCTCTGCCCGGCCGCCCCTACTGGGAAGTGAGGAGCCCCTCTGCCCGGCCAGCCGCCCCGTCCGGGAGGGAGGTGGGGGGGTCAGCCCCCCGCCCGGCCAGCCGCCCCGTCTGGGAGGTGAGGGGCGCCTCTGCCCGGCCGCCCCTACTGGGAAGTGAGGAGCCCCTCTGCCTGGCCACCACCCCGTCTGGGAGGTGTACCCAACAGCTCATTGAGAACGGGCCATGATGACAATGGCAGTTTTGTGGAATAGAAAAGGGGGAAAGGTGGGGAAAAGATTGAGAAATCGGATGGTTGCCGTGTCTGTGTAGAAAGAAGTAGACATGGGAGACTTTTCATTTTGTTCTGTACTAAGAAAAATTCTTCTGCCTTGGGATCCTGTTGAACTGTGACCTTACCCCCAAACTTGTGCTCTCTGAAACATGTGCTGTGTCCACTCAGGGTTAAATGGATTAAGGGCGGTACAAGATGTGCTTTGTTAAACAGATCCTTGAAGGCAGCATGCTCGTTAAGAGTCATCACCACTCCCTAATCTCAAGTACCCAGGGACACAAACACTGCGGAAGGCCGCAGGGTCCTCTGCCTAGGAAAACCAGAGACCTTTGTTCACTTGTTTCTTTGTTCACTTGTTTATCTGCTGACCTTCCCTCCACTATTGTCCTATGACCCTGCCAAATCCCCCTCTGCGAGAAACACCCAAGAATGATCAATAAAAAAAAATAAAAATAAATAAAAATAAAAATAAAAAAAGAATGCATCTCCCATAGACATTTAGTTACTTCTGTGGCATATGACATTATGGCTTATAATCTGTTAGATTTCTGGGAATCTCTTATAATTTTTGGAACACTCACATCAATAACATAACCATAAATATAACTTAGAGAAGGTTTAGCATCACTTATCATTTGACAGTGCTTCCCATATAATGTAACATATCAAATAAGGCGGCTTTTCCTTTTAGTTTCTGTTTCTCAGTTAGATTACTGAGTTCTTGGTGGAGCCCATTAATGAATTAGGCCAACAAAGTATAGGCCCATGTATGTTGAAAAAGCTCCAGAGGTAATTCTAATCCTCCTAGCTAAAAACCATGGGTTTAGCCCCAAGTCCTACCTATTAGAACAGGGATCCTCCATCGTGGCTACACATTAGTAGCGTCTGGAGAGGCTTAAAAATTACCAATGCCTGGGTCCCACTCCAGATCAGTAGATCAGAATTTATGGTTGGGGCTTGAGCATCCGTTTTTAAAAATGTTTCGGAGTGATTCCAATGTGTAGCTATATTTCCCATCAGATTTATCTGAATTTTTGTGGCATTCGCTCCTTTCTACTTTGGTATCATGATTATTTTTCAGGTCTTATCTCCTGTCTTGGGCTTTATGTTCCCTGGGGGTAGGGACCTTGCCTTCTTCATTTCTGTATCTGTTATGAACACATGAATTGATTGTCAGGAAAAGGTTCTCAGCCACATGCAGGATGTGTCCAAAGTTCACATATTAATACTACACAGTCTGTGTTCTCCATGAAATAAGAGGTTGCTTGTGATGAAGGGTGTGAGTAAGTCCACAGGGCAGGTAGTGGAGGGGAGATCACCCTGTTTTTAGGTGTAACATTGAAACTAAGAATTCTATGTGCATCCGGGGTAAAGGGGCAGGGATGTGTAGAGAGTCAGATTCTAATTAAGATGGAGGAATTATACTGGGAAGTAGAGGGAAAGAAAGTAAGAAGAATTAGTAAAGAGAAGAAATTTGAACTTAACTAGTAGGCCAGAGCAGGTTCCTTTGGCTTCTTTTTTTTTTTTTTTTTTTTGAGACGGAGTCTTGCACTGTCGCCCAGGCTGGAGTGCAGTGGCACGATCTCGGCTCACTGCAAGCTCCACCTCCCAGGTTCACGCCATTCTCCTGCCTCAGCCTCCCGAGTAGCTGGGACTACAGGTGCTCGCCACCATGCCTGAATAATTTTTTGTATTTTTACTAGAGACGGGGTTTCACTGTGTTATCCAGGATGGTCTGTATCTCCTGACCTCATGATCCGCCCACCTCGGCCTCCCAAGGGGCTGGGATTACAGGCATAAGCCACTGTGCCTGGCCCCCTTTGGCTCCTTAAGTAGGTGAGTGAACTAGATTTTAGGAAGGTAATGAGGCAGTCATATGCAAGAAGGATTCCAACCTTACAACAAGGGGTCAAGCAGGATGTTGAACAATTATTGAGGTTGATGGGAATGGAGAGACTGACAAAAGTGAGAGATGTTGAAAAAGGACGAAGAGGCTTTGACAATGTATTGACTCTAGGAAACAAATGAGCAGAGGCTGGGGATAATTATATCTAGGAGACAGTGGGGTACAGGGAGCATGAAGACCAGGGAAGAAGAGACCTGCAGGAATTAGTGCTGAGAAGCAGGAGTTTAGCGGTAGAAGGAGATCCAGTCCCAGATACAGGTGAAGAAGTTTTTTTCCTTTCCCAAGCATGGTGGTCAGCCCTGCAGGAAACATGGCAAGAGGAAAGGCGATCATACCTGCCAGTCTTCCTGAAATATCGAAAATACACCAGGGCTGCTATATCAGAGCCACCCTGGCCAGCACTCCAATCGTGATGCCGACGGTGGCCACAGCTGAGAGGACAGGAGCACTTCCTTGTGGGAAGAAGAGAGAAGGAATGAAGGTGATGTTATTCTACAGTGGGGTCCCCAAGAACTAGCTGTCAACATGAAGTAGGCTTGACTTGTTCCTTCAAGGAATACACTAGTTTTGTGGGAAAGTTGCAATTTTTTTTCTCTCTTACCACGTTTCTAGGTTGGTGATCAGTCTTCTGTCAATTTCATCCTGTTCTTTCTGCACTCAGACATTTTTGAAGGCTTTGAAAATTTGAGAAAGTCTGATTGCTATTTTTGCATGTCATTAGAACTTTCTATATTTTTATGTTTGCATCTTTTTCTCAGTGTCTCAATTGTGGCAGCCATGAATAAGAGCCTGTTGGAGCTCTATGGCAGGGACTTGATGGACAGAAGGCCCAGGCTAGTGCATTCTGAATTTACTATGTTCTTTGCACAGAGAACTCACTTCCCATGGGCTCCCACCAGGGGAAAGAAAGCAAGCCCAGGTCTGTGAGACCCTGCTTCACTCTCATGGGTGAGGGGTTCAAGGACTCCCCATCGGTCTTGGGGAAACTCAGAACTGCACTGCTATGTAAAACTTCCCTCCTTCTCTTTCTCCTTCTCAGGAATGAGATCTGCATCGTGGTCTGAGGGCTCTCTTAGGCTCTCCTGTCACTGCTGCTCCACCTTCCCTCATGGCTGTTTTACCCAGTGAATTATCTTGTACCTCTAATCCCATCTTGGCTGCATCTCAGTGGATGAAAGCTAACATACCAGGCTTGATTCTTTGCACTGTTTTTCCTCTCTCCCATGTTTAGCCAGTAACCATGTCCTAGTGAGTTTCCATTTGGTGCTTAGCCCTCACCAGTCATCTCAGTGCGATGGTTAATGCTAGGTTAGCTACTGTTGAGGGGCATGTCCTAGATACCAGGCCCTGTGCTAAATACTTTACCTGTATCTCATTTGATTTATACAGTAACTCTCTTGGGTAGACATTATTTCCATTTTACAGATGAAAAGACAGAGGCTTAGGGTGATGAGAAAACTTATCCAAAGTCACATGGTTAGTGACAAGTGGATTTAGAATTTGACTCTAGGACTACCTGACTTTAAGGTTAATGGTAACAGTAGTAATAATAATAGCTAATATTTGTGAAGCTTTTCTTTGTGTGTGGCATTTTGCTGAAGGCTTAATCAAATGTTACATTAAATCTTCAAAACGATACTATGAAACAGGCATTGTTATTTCAATTTTCATTTTTTCCACCCATTTCTTAGTGATGAGAATTATTGCAATTTTCAGTTGAAGAATTGAAGGCTCAGAGAAGTTAAGAATCTTGTGCAAGAAATTGATAGTGGTAAATACTTACATTAAAGAGAGACCTCAAATCAACAACCTAACTTTACAAATTCAGGATATAGAAAAAGAACAAAATCAACCCAAAGATAGTGAATGAAGGAAACAATAAGAATTATAACTGAAATAAATAAAATGGAGGCTATAAAAACAATAAAGGGAGTCAATGAAACCAAAAGTTGGTTCTTCAAAACAGATCAACAAAATTGACAATCATTTACTAGGTTGACTGAGAAAAAAAGAGAAGATTCAGATTACTAAAATCAGAAATGAAAATGGGGGCATGGTGGCTCACACCTTTAATTCCAGCACCCTGGTAGGTCAGAGGATGAGGGTTGCTTGAGGCCAGAAAGTCATGACCAGCCTATGCAACATAGGGCGACACAGTCTCCACATTTTTTTTTTTTTAAACTAGCCAGGCATGATGGCATATGCCTGTAGTCCCAGCTACTCAGGAGGCTGAGGTAGGAGGATCACTTGAGCCCAGGGGGTTCAGCCTGCAAGTAAGCTATGATCAAGCCACTGCACTCCAGCTTGGGTTGGGTTACAGAGTGAGACCTACTCTCAAAAAAATTGATGACATTGCTACCAATTCTACAGAAATAATAAAGATTAAAAGAGTGCGGTAAATAATTGTATGCCAACAAATTGGATAACCTAGATGAAACGGACAAATTCCTGGAACACACAAAAAAATCTGAATAGACCTATAATTAGTAATAAGATTTAGCCAATAAAAGCATTTGACAAAATTCAACATTCTTTTATAAATAAAAACACTCTGTGAATGGAAGGAAACCACCTCAACATAATAGAGGGATACTCAATGGAGAAAGACTGAAAGCTTTCCCTGTAAGACCAGGAGCAAGACAAGGATGCCTGCTTGCCCCACTTCTCTTCAACATAGTGTTTTAAGTCCTAGCTGGAGAAATTAGGCAGCAAACAAACAAATAAACAGACATCCAAATCGGAAAGAAGTAAAATTATCTCTGTTCACAGATAACTTAAACTTATATGTAGAAAACTCTACAGGGTTGGAGTTGTTGCTGGTGACCGAGGGCTTGGGCAGCTCCGCTGTGCAGAAAACAGAGAGAAGATTGCCGTGTGTGGCACCTTTGATTCCTCTGCAGGCATCGTTCAGTCAGAGTTGGCATCTCCCACCCCTCAGTCCACCCAAGTCCTTAAGAGCCCAGGGCAGGTGTGTGTGTCAGAAGACGGATGCACAACGATCTGAGGGCTCGGAGATCGAGGCCACCTGCTTTGTGTGGGAGAAGTACAGACTTTCTCAAATGTGAATAGGGCAGAAGCATTGAGTCTTGGGCAGATACAGGACTGACAGCCACAGCCTCTGGCACCTCTCCTGTTTCTTCCCTGACTGGCTGACTGCCTGGTCTTTTGGGGTACTCACCTGGAACATGCAGGTGCTGTTTCTTTCAGCTGCACAGTCCCACACCACCCAGCCAAGGTGTGTTTTTTCTGAGGCTTTGCTATTTAAGGACATCCTGGAGATGGGTGATGATGGGGATGGGGGTTTGAGCGGGAGACCAGAAGCAAGTCTAGAGGTGAGTTCAGGGGTCAGGCTGTGGGTCACAGGTGGGCAGCTCTGCCCAGGAGTTTGATGGGAACAGAGTTTCATTTTGGGAGGAAGAAGAGAGTTCTGTGGGTGGGTGGTGGTGATGGTAGCAGAACAACGGGAATGTGTTTAATACTACGGACCTGCACACGTGGAAGGGTTGAAAAGGTAAGTCCTATATTAGATACATAGTGGCTGGTAGTCTTATCCTCTCTATAAATACACACTTTTTGTCACTGCCCCTTCCCTGCCATGCAGAGTCCCCATGGCTGAATCTCCCTATGTCTCCAAGTGTGCGTCACTTGCTGTCCTCTGTGCTGTGTCCCATGTGCTGTGCCCACAGTCTTATACAGCCAGTGACTTCAGAGCCAGGACACAGCTCAGCAGTCTGTCATGAGGCTCCATGTCTTCCCATTTTCCTGCGGCCTGATCCAGGGGAGGCTTTGGTGTTGATTAGCATCTTGATTTAGCCTGATTCAGGACAGACACCTGGGCACCTTCTCCATATGCCCTGGTTCCACCTTAGGTGGCTTCAGGGTGGGGTCAGTCAGTCACTGGGGGTGCTGGGAGCAGAGATGGGGGCAGAGTCTGAGCTGCTCCTCCATCACCCAAGGGGCTTCCTCTTCTCATTTAAGGAAAAAGTGTGAGCTCATTTCAAAACCTCCTTGTCCCTTGTAGCTTATGGAGTAGGTAAAAGAACACAAAGAAGTGACAGAAAGGGAATTGTTGGTGACAGAGAGCAGGAACTTGACCCTGAGGACCCTTCCTCCTTTTTTCTCTGTGAAGCCCCTTTCACTACACAGGGCTCAGTGCTGAGGGAGCCCCCTCCTCTCATTCCAGGATGGACCCAAAGTCAGACATGAGAAATCAAAAAACAAAAAACAACAAAAAACAAAAAAACAAGGGGAAAAGAGTCTGCAGAGGTGAATTGGGAGGGTTCAGGGGAGAATTTGGGATTTGCGTGTGCCCCTTGGACACAGGTTGGGAAAGAAAATTTCTTCCTGGCTCTTCTCTGAGAGCCAGACTCCACCTGAAAATGTGATGCTAGTGCTTCATGGATCCACTTACCAGAGACTGTGATCATCGTGACTGTGGTCCTATTGAGGCCAGTGGCTGAGTTATGGGCTTGGCACATATAGGATCCGCTATTATTCACAGTGATGTTGGGGATAAAGAGCTCTTGTGTGGATTGCTGGAACGTCCCATTGATAAACCAAGAGTACTGTGCAGGTGGGTTAGAGGCTGCGTGGCAGGAGAGGTTCAGATTTTCCCCTGGACGGTAATTGGCCTTTGAGGGGGAAATGGTGGGGACATCTGGGCCATCTGGAGGAAACAGAATAAAGCCACAGGTGATGTTGTCAGAGGGAAGCATAAGTTCCTGGTCTGTGGAAGGGCCACGGTGTCCCCCTGAGCCATGTCACAACCCTGAAGTCTCAACCAAACCCCCGCTATGTCCCCTGAGCCAAAGTCTGAGACATTCACCTGTTTCTCCCATCAGAAAATGTGAACCCTGAGCCTTAAGGACATCCTGGAGATGAGTGATGATGGGAATGGGTGTTTGAGCAGAAGTAGCACAGGAGACAGCCCCTCCCCTCCCATTCTTGGTCAAGGCCTGGTCTGCCCAGGTTTGCTCAGGGCAGGAAGTCATGGCCAGCCTGGGTGAGGGTCTGAGTCCTTAGACCTGAGAGGGACTGAGAGACCTGGACTCTGGCTGTGTGGATTTGGGCTGGCAGCCTGGGCCACAGAGGAACAGAAGATACTCACAGAGGACATTCAGGGTGACTGGGTCACTGCGGTTGGCACTCGCTGGGTTCTGTATTTCACATTCATAGGATCCTGCATCGTTCCTTTTGACGCTGAGTAGAGTGAGGGTCATGTTGCCATTGGACAGCTGCAGCCTGGGACTGACCGGGAGGCTCTGACCATTTACCCACCACAGGTAGGTTGTGTTCTGAACCTCAGGTTCACAGGTGAAGGCCACAGCATCCTTGTCCTCCACGGGGTTGGAGTTGTTGCTGGAGATGGAGGGCTTGGGCAGCTCCGCTGTGCAGAAAACAGAGAGAAGATTGCCCTGTGTGGCACCTTTGATTCCTCCACAGGCATCTTTCAATCAGAGTTGGCATCTCTCACCTCTCAGCCCCCTTGAGTCCTTAAAAGCCCCTGGCAGGTGTGTGTGTCACACAACAGATGCACGATGATTTGAGGGCTGAGATTGTGTGAGATCACCTGCTCTGTGTGGGAGAAGCACAGTCTTTCTCAAGTGTGAATTGAGCAGCAGCATTGGGTCATGGACAGACACAGGACCCGGGGTCACAGCCCCTTGTGCTTCTCCTGGTTTCTCCCTGACCAGCTGCCTGCCTGGCTTCCCTTGGAGTCCTCACCTGAAACATTCAGGTGCTGGGTCTTTTCAAGCTTTAGTCCTACTTTGCCCCCCTAGCTGTATTTTCTGTGTGGCTTCCTTTTCTAAGGACATTCTAGAGATGGGTGATGATGGGACTTCTTATTGTCCTTAAACCCCAAGGATACTGTGCAGCCTGGCCTGGGATTGGACCTTTCAGCAGAAATAACACAGGGGACACCAGGGGCAAGCCTGGAGGTCAGTTCGGTCATCAGGCAGTGGAACCACAGGTGGGGCAGTTTTTCCCAGGTGTTTAATAATGACTGACTTGAGCCTGTGACACCTACAGATAGAGCAGAATTCAGAGAATGATCTAGAAGACAGTGAGGGGGACAGGCAGGAGCTGCCTGAATTTCCCAGCAGAACCGTGTTCCTTTTCTTTGGCCTTTAATGTTTCTTCTCCCTCTGCGGAGGGCAGGTGAGGACCCTGTGGCTCTCTCCATAAACACATGTGGATGTTTGCAAATGCACAGCTGAGTGGTGGAAAGGGGGAGCATGAAATGCTGCAAATCTGACTCTCAAGGACCATGTGTGTTTGACAGATATGAGACAGAAATTTGAGGAGAAGTTTTGCAAATATTTTCTCCCATTGGACATTATGCTAAATGCAATAAGTCACTCACAGGACAGATACTGTAGGGTTCCACTTATATGAGGTCCCTAGAGTAGTCACACTCATGGAATCAGAGTAGAATCATGGTTGCCAGGGATTGGGAGAGGCAGAATGGGGAGTTAGTCAATGGGTGTGCGCTTTCAGTTATACACAGGATGAGGTTCTAGAGATTTGCTGTACAGCTTGGTACCTATAGTTCATACGGATTGAGTATCACTTACGCATAAGGCTTAGGACCAAAAGTGTTTTGGATTTCTGACTGTTTCTGGATTTTTGAATATTTGCAGTAGACTTACCCGTTTAGCACCCTAATTTTGAAAACCCAGAATCTAAAATGCTCCAGTGAGCATTTCTTTTCAGCATCACTTTAGTGGTCAAAAAGTGTTAGATTTGGGAGCATTTCAGATTTTGGATTATTGGATGTGGGATGCTTGACCTGTAGTGTTGTAATTTGCTTTGAAAAGTTTGTCAGGAGTTTAGACCTCATGTTATGTTCTGAATATAGTAAAAAATAAAAGAACTTTGGGGGAAACATTTAATTTTTTCCATAAGTGGAGATCGTTACTAATGTCCTAAAGATCAAAGATCAAGGGCTGGAAGTAGTATTTTTCTTGATAACATACTAAGGTTTAGGTGTGCTGTGAATTCCAGCAGGATCATATTGTCGTCAAATGAAGATGCTGAAGTTGGTTTGAAATTAGCAACTCCTTGAGTAGAGAGAGGCATATGAGTCCTCTTAGGAGGATAGAACCAGTAGGAGAGGAAGTCTTAGGTGTGTGTCAGTTACATAAAGGAAGGAACGATGCCAAATTAGAAGCAACGTGTGTTATGTTAGTAAATTTAGAAAGAGCTCCCTGCCCCTAATTCCTGTGCAGTTAGGCAAATAGGGAAGGAGCCCCAAACAGTCATGTGAAATGCTTTCTTCCTCTCCTGTTAACCTGAGAAAACACAATGAGAGTTTAAGTTCATCTAAACTGGGCAGAGTCTATGTGAGACTCCAGTGGCTGGTGCACTTCTCAGTCCAAGGGACCCCACCTTATGACAATGGCATCATCATGAGGACACAGTAGTGTATGTGGAATGGGCAGCAAACCCATCAGACAGCACCTGCCTGGCCGGCTCCACCTGGGGAAGGTCCTGGGGAATGACTGGAGGATGTGAGCCTCACACCAAGATGAGGACGGAAGTCAATGGATGAAATTAGCCTCTGGGCCTTGGGGAAAGCAGACCTGTCATCCTGCCTCTGACTGCCTGGTGAGTCAGTAGAGACTGTATGGAGGAGTCGCTTGTCCCTGTCCCGTGGCCTGTTCCACATGTCGGCCTCACTGGGGGAAAGAGCCCTGGATGGGGACACAGTGGAAGCTCATTCTCCTGTTGACTTGGGGACATTGGCTCGTGATGGAGCCCGGCAGGGGCGGCTGCTCCGGCTGATTTCTGTGCCTTCTCTGTTGCCTGGGATGTGGGCCAGGACACAGTGTGAGCAGGAAGGGAACAGGACAGCCAGCCTTGTTAGAGGGGTTTTCTGGGGAAGGCCTAAGGGTGGAGGAAGCTGTGCAGGGCAGGGCATCCCAGCTAGAATGAAAGGGGAGGAAAATGAGGGACAGAGAGGAGCAGAAAGAGCCAGAGATACCCATGGCAGTGAGCAGTGGGGGATACAGTGACCTCAGAGACCCCAGGGACCAGGAGCCTCTTGGCTGCCCCAGACCAGGACCAGGGAGACCTGAAAACCCTCTAATGACCAAGGAACCCCAGAGTCACATGAGATGGGGTAGGTTTAGGGACAGGGGTTCAGAGGGATGGAACATGGGTGTCAGCCCCTGAGGGACAAGAAACAGGTGTGGCCAGAACCTCATAGGATTCTGCATCCAGGAGCCGGTCTCTAAAGAGGTTATGGATCCTTTTTTCATTCCTTCTTCCTTTCTTCCCTTTTTCAAGAGAGAACTCCTGAGCGAGCGTGTGTCTCACTTTGGGCCTGTGCTGGTGCAGGGTGTGAGTGGGGAGAGAAAGCAAAGTCCTCTCCTTTATCCTCCCATGGGAGTGACACCCACACATCGGGAAACAGGATTTCAGGTGCAGTGAGGGGACTGTGGATCGAAGGGAGAGGCCTGGACAATCCCAGCACTGACTCTGTTATTTGAGGCAGGTGATTTAGTTCTAGAGTAAAACTGATTAATTCTCTGTTTGCTTCTTACTTTCCAGACCAGAATCTCCACTTCTGAGCTGCGGATGCACAAGACAAAAGGAAGTGAACCCATGACTGGCCTCAGATGCAGATGCCTAACAACAAACAGCCCCATCACCCCCGGTTGAGGAGAGGAGGGGGCTGTGGCTGCAGACAGACCTCATATGTCTCTAATCTGCCACCTATGGCCTGTGTGACCCTTGTTAGTGACTGTCTCCCTGTCCCTCAATTTCCTTTCTATAAGTAGGATAAGTGCTATTTGGCTGTGAGGTTGTTTGTGAGTTAACCTCAAAATATTTACAATTACTTGATCTCAGCTCTGCACAGAGGAGCTGCCCAAGTGAACAGTTATCTATGATTATTTGCTTCCAAGACAGAGGGCCCTGGGCCTGATCCCTGGTGGACATGGAGCTGCCAGGAGCATCCTCTCTTCTCTGTTCCTCCCCTTGGGGACTCTGAACTTCCCAGGGAGTAACCTGTGTCCCCCAGGGCAGTGGGCTCATGCACTAGTAATTTTTTCCATCTGTCCTTTCCATGCTGAGCCTCAAGTGAAGGAGGAGGCCCTATCCTCAGCTAGATGAGGCTCTGGGTGCTCGGACCTGGCTGGTGACCAACTCCAGGAGTCATGGCCCTTGGATAGCTCACATCCTTGCTCCCAGCCAGCCCTGCCCAAGAGGCCACCACACAGCCCTGGCACAGACTCCCCAGGATCACCTGGAATCAGGAACCAGGGACAGGGCTTTGTACAGGGGCTCAGTTCAGGGAAGAGTTGAGCTTCTCTCTGAGGGGTCCCTAGGGGGACCCCTCAGGCCAGGCCCTGATCCAGTTCTCCAGGGTCTTTCTCAGGGTCAGGTCCATGGGGAGACCATGGGGTGCTTGTCTGACACTGACCTCGCCCTGCTGAGTCCCCCCATCAGACTGTCCTTCCTCTGCAGCGAGTGTCTGCAGGGTCTGGATCCAGGAAAGGAATTCTGATCTGTGGAAGTTTGTCTCCCCCGTGTGTGTCCTGCACTAAATGTCCAAACCCTGATACAGGATGTAATGCAGAGAGGGCCACAGGCACAACCCAGGCCTGACAATCCCGTATGTGGGAAGTAGAACTGACCCCCAACACCCAGAGGTCATGTGGAAATACTCACGGTATACATGGAACTGTCCGGTTGCTTCTTCATTCACAAGATCTGACTTTATGACTTGTAGGGTATAGAATCCTGTGTCATTCTGGGTGACGTTCTGGATCAGCAGGGATGCATTGGGGTATATTGTCTCTCGACCACTGTATGCGGGCCCTGGGGTAGCTTGTTGAGTTCCTATTACATATCCTACAATTAGA
The DNA here is from genome assembly GCF_000001405.40 of Homo sapiens. NCBI lineage: Eukaryota > Metazoa > Chordata > Mammalia > Primates > Hominidae > Homo > Homo sapiens. Next base: position 41,756,765 of record NC_000019.10, on the reverse strand, counting down.
CTGTTGCCATCCACTCTTTCGCCTTTGTACCAGCTGTAACCAATACGATTCTGGGGCAGGTTGTGGGCGAGTAGAAGAACCTCCTTCCCCTCTGCGACATTGAACGGCGTGGATTCAATAGTGAGCTTGGCAGTGGTGGGTGGGTTCCAGAAGGTTAGAAGTGAGGCTAGGAGAGAGGAGAGAGCATCGGTCAATATTGGGACCTATGCATTAGGGTGGAAAAACAGGGCCCTGGGTCCTGAGCAGGTCTCTTCACCCCTCCACGTTGGAGCGTGTGTGTGTGTGTGTGTGTGTGTGTGTGTGTGTGTGTGTCCTACTGAGTCAAAGTCAGCAGTGTGACACCCCCATTCCTTCAGCACCTTTGACCTTGGCATTTCCCTGTGTGGAATGCTCTTCCCCAGGGGTCTGCATGGCTCCCTCCCCACTGGCCTCAGGTCCTGCTCACATCAGGGCATTCTTGGGAGATCCCTTCCCTGACACCCCCTCTACAGACCCTGGGTCTTTTCTTTCTGACCTTTCCCTGCTCTGTTCCTTCCAGGGCTCTTGTCAACACCTGACCTCACATTCTATATCTCTTTGTGTGTGTGTTTTCCTCTTCATGACAGCATAAGCTCTGTGATGACTGAGACTTGTCTGATGCTTGTTGTATGCCATTGACTAAAATTGATTGCAAATGCTTGTGGATGAGTTAATGAGTGTATCTGGTGGTTATTTTTCAACTTCTGATTGGTGAGTAAGGGCAGCATTTAGTTTCCTTGTTATATTTTTATTTGGAGTGTCATCCTAATGCAGTTCTGATTTCTATCATTTTTCTTTTTTTTCAAATGGTAATGACAAATGATGATTAACTTGGAAAACATGATCAATTGATTTTCCTCCCTTTTTATCAATCCCAGTTTAGTGTGACTTTCCTGTTGTGACCCCTGTCCCTCTCTGGTGTTCTGTTTCCTCAGGCTTCAACAAAAGCCCTCTGTCTCCTCTCAGAGCCTTGTCCTCCCCAGGAGACCCTAGCCAGTCTCTGTGCTCCCTCCTCCCATCCACTCCGAGGGAGTCCTCCCCTCACCTGTGAGCAGGACCTCCTTCCAGGGGACATGCAATCTGCAGGGAGGGGCTGAGGGGGGTCCCATGGTCTCTGCTGTCTTCTCTGTCCACCTCTTTGTAGAGGAGCTTGAGCTCCAGGAATGCTCTGGTCAGGGCTGCTGTGACTGTTGGCCCTGCTGTCCTTCCTCCTTCTGTGCTGAGCCTCCTCTCAGGGATAGAAGCATTTCCCAGGGTCACGTGGGTCATGGGTGCGGTCTCTGTTCAGGAATCCTCTATCCCCTCCCCTCTCATTTCTGTCTCTTTTGTCCCTCCTCCTCTTCCCTTTCTGTTTATATTCAGTTCCCCAGAAGATGCTCTGAGAAGCAAGCTTGTTTGGACCCCTGTTCCATAACAGGACGACCCGCCCTCCCCAGCACGGACCTCTGCTGTGTCTGGGCCTTGGGTCTGTCAGCACCACACAGAGAGTCCCTGGGGTCCTCAAACCTGGTGTTATTTTCTCTGTGACAGAGAAACCCCTCTATGTGTGCAGGATGTTCCTAGTGTTCTCACACGTCTGGGAAGGTTGGATTTACCTCCAGCAAGGAGGTCACAGAGATGTTTGGGGTCCTAGGAGTGGACACATCCAGGGCTAAAGCCCGGGTCTAAGATTCTGAATTGTTCTTTCTGCAGTGTTATGTGACTCTAATTTCCTGGGAGTAACTGAGAATGAAGCTGCATGGTGCTGTAGTATTATGTCATCCAGACCCCAGACATTTCTAGACCAACTTTATGATTTTCTCTACAGCTTTACCACCTTTATTATTATTTACTTCATACTTTTTTTGTAATTAAATTTAGTTTACAAAACATCCTTGTCTTAGCAGGGCTTGGTGGCTCACACCTGTGATCTCAGCTACTCAAGAGGTTGAGGTGAGAGGATGGCTTGAGGCCAGGAACTGAAGACAAAATATTTTTGTCTTATGCAATATTGTCCATGAAATCAGAGATTTGATGTGTGCTTAATTTTTTTTCCTGTCATGCGTTAAAATAAACACAGTTAAACTTAAAAGTTTATTTATGTTTCACCTAAAATCAGTTTTGGGAAATGCTTATATAGTGGCATAAGCATGGAATTTATATCCAGATATAGACCTGGGCTCAGCTAATGGTTCTGTCACTTAACTATGTTGACTTGGACAAGTCACTTGGCTTCTATGATCCTTGATTCCCTGATTTGTAAAAGGAGGATGGTAAAATCCTCCTTGCAGAGTTGTTGGGAATATGTGGGAGCCCAGTGTCCAGGCGGGTGTTGAGTACGTGATGGTTATCATTGTGTTTATTGCTGTGGAATTCTGGTTATTTTCCAAAGAGAGTGTCTATGCTGGAATATTGGGCTTGTGGCTTTCTGCTAACATGCATGTGTGAAGAAGTTACTTTTGCTTGTTAGGACTTGTGCATCTGTCATTATTTTTGTTTTCCAGTTCTACTACCTATTTTCTCTGTGATGTTGGTCAAGTTGTCTAACTTTTCTGTGCCTCATTTACCTAATTTGTGAAATGTGGGTAACAGTACACTAGTGTGGGTGTGTTATTTCCCAGCTCCGACCACTAGAGGGCATAGAAGCACCGGCACCTACTAGCAATGGGCATATGGGTGCCCATGGTCTGTAAACATCATTTTCCCATGAAAGGAACCAGGGGTCCCTGGAGAAATAGCTGATCCAGGGCTGGGCAAGAAAGCACAAGAGGAGCCTTGTGGGGCCAGAAGTAAACATTCTGTGGGGCCAGAAGTAAGGAACTGCTTGAAAAATGATGGGGTTGTGTCAAAAGTCACAGAAACCAACTAGAAGGAACTCCCAATGGCCAAATTTGGGACAATATCAGCGACATAATAAACAATGCCAGCCACTCGGGGCGGTGGTTTACGCTTTGGCACTTTGGCAGGCCGAGATGGACGGATCACTTGAGGTCGGGAGTTCGAGACCAGCCTGGCCAACACGGCAAAACCACGTCTCTATTAAAAACATGAAAATTAGCTGGGTGTGGTGGCAGGGACCAATAGTTCCATCTACTAGGGAGGCTGAGGCAGGAGAGTAGCTTGAATCCAGGAGGCAGAGGTTGCAGCGAGCCGAGATTGCGCCAATGCACTCTAGCCTGGGCAACAGAGCAAAACTCCATCTCAAAAAAAAAAAAAAAGGGATATAAAATAAGATTAGATTTTATTTTGAGATTTATTTTGGGAATGGAGGGGCTATTATTTCTTCCAGCCACTAAGTAGCTCAGAGTCAGGCCCGCATTACAAACTACTTGGCTGGGAAACAAAGCTCGAGCCCGGCGCCACCCACCGAGGTGGTTTGTGATGGCGCCCCCTGGCGGCGCAGCGAGCTTTCCCCAGTTCCTCACCCTAGTGCTTTAGGAGCGACTTTAGAAATTCCATTCAGTCCATTTATTGAACCCTTTCCAGGTTACACTGAGGTTCATCTAATCTTCACAACAAGCCTGTGTGAACAGTGGTATTTATTCATCTTAAGACGATAAAAAGGCTAGAAAAAAAATGAAGCGACTTGTCCAGGGTTGCAAAGGGAGTGACAGAACCAGGATTTGGATCTAGGCCCCCCTGACTTCCAGGCTGAGGGTAAATGCCTAGATAAGTGTAAATGTGTGGGCCAGGTGGAGAACTATTGGTATAAAGCAATGGTTGTCGACTAGGGGTGGTTTCCCTCAAGGAGACATTTGGCAATATCTAGAAATATTTTTTGCTTTCATGAAGGAAGAGGGTGCTTGAGGGAGGGGGAAGGCTGCTATTGGCATGTAGTGGAGAGAGGGCATGTGGATGCTGCTGAACATCTCACAATGCACAGAACAGCCCTCACTACAAGGAATCGGTCAGCCCAGTTGTCAGTAGACCTGCTCTGAAGCCCTGGTTTGATTTAGAAACCTGAGGACGCATTCGTGCGGTTAGCTAATGGTTGCTGAGTGCTGAGCTGGATAGCATGAGGGATATGGAAACAGTGCACCAGTCTGTGCTGCCAAGGAGGCTGCAACCTCTAAGGGTAGTGGGTGGAGGCAGGAGAGACACAGGAAGGTCTTCAATATAAGGCAGCAGATAAGTGCAAGAAGAGAGAGTCCAGTAGGGCTAAGCCAGCTTTCAGGATGGAGAGTGATTGTCTGGGTGTGGGAGGAGCTGAGCACTTGTCTGGCCTGTGGGAAGATGGTTTTTGAGTTGAGTGTATCTGCAAAGTTGAACTGGTGGGAAAACACAAGCCCTGTTCAGGGAAGGGCAAACAGTCTAGTTTGGGTGGAGAGAGAGTAATTTTTAGTGAGTGGAGGGGGTTGCACTGGAAACGGAGGTTGGGGCTAGACCTTTTAGTCTAGGCTGAGGACTCTGGCCTGGGTGTCTGTCACAGTGATGGAAAAACCTTCCCTTCCTGAATGGTGGTTTAGGCCCCAGGGCTATGGGGCTCAGCAGCTTCCAGAGCGCTCTCTCTACAAAGCAAGGAACATTGGAAATTGGAGTGGAGAAGGCTGAACATCTCCTGATTTTAGGACCAAGTTGACGCTGAGTATGTAACAAAGCTGTTTCACCTCAAAGTGGCCCTTGGGGAGATGGTGCTCCCAAGTGGAAATATACATGGGGCTAAGCTGTCTTCTGCATGATTTCTTTGCAAAGGGCTTGGCCACTTTGGTTGTAGTGAAAACTGGAGCAGATTAGAAAGCCTTAGCCAAAGGTCTGCTACCCAAATGGTGCACTGTTGCAGCAGGGCTTGGTGTGGCTAAAGCTTCAAATACGGACACTACCTGGTGATAGGATTTTCTTCCGTTTATTAGCTACCATTGAATAGCATTAAAGTATGTCATGCTTGGTGCACTCTAAAGAATATAAACAATACAAGCAAAGTTTGAGATCTGACTGAGAAACATAGTGATACTTTGACTCTAAAAAAAAAAAAAGGAAAAACTAGGCAGGCAGAGTGGTGCACACTTTTAGCCCTACTTACTTGGAAGACTGAGGCAGGAAGACTGCTTGAGCCCAGGAGTTTGAGCTGTAATGAGCTATGATTGCACCATTGTACTCCAAGCTTGGGCGACAGCGTAAGATCCTGTCTTTAAAAAAAAAAAAAAAAGAATATAAGCAAAGAGTTCCTTATCTTTTATAAATATATGGTTGCCTTCAATACCCTCCCACTACTGCCACCAAGTTTGACCCTGGGGAAATGCATTACTCTTCTGGAAAAGGCTTGGGGGTGAAGGCATGGGAGCAAATATTCGTTGAACCAATATGTACATATGTATATATCTGCCAGCTGTAGTTGCAGACACTTTCACATACAATATCTCATTTAACCCTCACAACACTAGATGTAAGTACAGTTTGCTCCTTTCAGTAAATGAGGAAACTGGCACTGAAAAAGGCTCACTTGCTCCCAATCCCTGTAGCTGAAAGGGCTACATTTTGATGCACCTGTGGCCTGTTTTGCTCCATTTCCTCCCCCCGTTTTCCCCTTCATAGACAGTCTTATTTACCTGGATTCAGGCTGCTAGAGACCATGGACATCAGCAACAGGAGGAGGGAAGATATTAGAATTTTTATTGTGACTGTCGGTGGAGCTGTACGTTGCTTGAAGAGTGTATGAAAGGTTCCCGGTTGGAAGCTCCTGACCTCTGGGGATGGCTCAGCCTGGTGGTCTGCAGTATAGTCCCAGGGCAGTGTTCCTACTTGAGGGCAAGAACAGGTGAGATCATGCTTTCCTGCTGTTAGGTAACAGATTAGACCATGTGCTTTACGGGAATCTGGGAAGTGAAACTGGTCAAACAAAAGAAATGCAGCATTCTTAAGAACATAAGAAGGTGACTGACAACTTGGCAGCCATGCCAGTTCTCTCCTGTACTCCTTCCCACCTCCCCACACCCCAATGCCTCATGGTTTCTTCCTCAAGTCTTTTTTCTCATTTGAATTTTCTTGTACTTTCAGTGACCTTCTCTATCTGAGTATTTGGCAGGAAAGTGGGTGTTATGTGTTGGTGGAGGAGACGTTGACAAGGTCTGTTTTCCCTCTGTGCTCCTGCTCCCATCCTTGGCAAAATATTGGCAATAGTAGTGTTGTTGCCTGGGAAGTTGCCCTGTCCTCTCTCTGTTCACAATTCCCTCCAATTCTGCAGCCACATAAGGTGGCAGCAGAGCAGGATCCGGGACAAGAGGCAGCTCCCCTGCCGAGAACACCGCCCCTGGAGCAGTGGGTGACACCAGGCCTCCTTGTGTGTCCATCGGGAAGGTGGCCATGGCTTAGTTGTTCTGGTCTAAAGGGGAGGGAACTGGGTTGGGGGAAGAGACCCCCAGAGCTGCAGGTCCCAGAGGGTTTGAGAAACAGGAGCCACAGGAGGGAAGGAGCCCTGAAGTGTGTTTGCCCAGCTGCTGGGGCGCCTGGCTCCAGCCCTTGTTTGGAAATGGCCCCGGGCAAAAGAAGAAAGGTAATAATACTTGAAGTAAACATTAGGGGCATAGAATATCAGCACTCACTAAACTTGACATTTATTTGAGACTTTAGGCAATGTGCTCAAAGGGAGAGGAGAGGCTGGGCTTGAATGCTGGGTGATATTCATGGGGGCTGAAGGGAAGGCTAACAAGGGAGCCCTCCCTGGAAGCCTCCAGGCAGGAGTGAGAGCAGGGGGTGTGACTTTGTTTCCCTGAGAAAAGGGAAGAGGCAAGGCATGAGTCAAAGCCCTTTGATTTTTGTTTGACTGTTCTTCTCTGTCTGCATTTTCAACTTATCCCAGCCTGTTGACTGACACACGAGTTGATTGTGGACTTTGCTACTGCAGGGTTTATAAAGCACTGCAGGGACCAGGGACTGTGCTAGGCAGTGGAGTCTCTGTCTAAGTTGAAGGCTTGAGCAGAGTCTAAGCTTGTTCTGATGCAAATTACTGATGTGGCTTTTTTTCTGGAAAATTCTAAAAATGGTCTCTGCCTTCAGGAGGCTCAAGTCTAACCAGGGAGATGACATCCACTTCATAAAACCTAGAGATATGAGTGCAGTCATCTCTCAAAGTGGCAGGAGTGCAGGGGGACTGAGAGGGACTTGGTTGGGTGGAACTTGAGCTGGAGGTGGAGGAGGATTTGGGTTGGTGGAGGGCAGAGAGGAGGGCCGTGCAGAGCAGGGGCGTGTTGTAGGAGAGGTGCTCCCTGGAGCTCATTGGATGGGGATCTTAGAGGACAGGAGCTTTTATGTTCATTTTTGTATTGCCTGAACTCACACAGGGCCTGGCACTTTGGGAGTATTCTATAAATGACTGCTGAATGGAACGATGGTTTGTAACCTATTAACTTGTCCTGATGTGTTAGAAAGTGGGCAAAAGTGAAGCCCATTAGCAGAAAGAAAATCTTACTGAAAAATGGTCCCATGTATGCATAGAGCCTGGTGCGGCCACTTTACTTACTTATGCTGCTGAGTTCTGCATCAGTCCACACCGAGGCCACCGCAGGGGTTGGGAGCAACTCCTCAGACCTCCCTCCGGGTGCCTCAGTCTCTTTACCCCCTGTTCTTCCAGGTCCTGCTCCCTGTCAACTCACTCCATCTGGTTTCCCCTCCATGAACTTAGGGTGGGTGTTGCACCCTGTGTGTCATCAGAGGGGGCTTCGGGTCCTTCAGATCCATTGACTAAAACACCCCCAAGACAAATGGACTTTCCTCTTGTTAACATGACTTCTTGCAATGCATCTCAAGAACATTATTTGTGTCAAGAGTCTCCCTGATGTACAGAGTCCTTCCCACCTTCAGGAAGGTGGTCAGGGGAAGTTAGGAGAAAACACCACCCTGCCTGGGTTACTTATTTCCCTATTCTACAGTGTACTTGGTAGATGTTCAAAAATATTTATTGACTTTGTCCATGATCCACATGGCTCTCATATAGTCATTTATTCACACACACATTCAGTGAGGCTTTGAGCGTCTAGTGTGTGCCTGGTATTTGCTAGATGGTGGATGCGAGAAGATCAGATGTGCTGCTGTCTCTCAGGAGCTCTCACTATATAGCTGCACCTAGGGTGACCGAATCCACCTGCCCCACTTTACAGACGTGGAAATTAAAGTGCAGGGAAGTTATAGGAGTAGTTCAATGTCACAAGGTCACTGGCCTCAAATTTACAGGAGTAAATCAAGTTTTCTGACTTGCTGGATTTTCTATTAGTGTGCAGCCACCTGGCTGCTGCAGGTGCAGACGTGGTGAGCTCCGATAGGAAAGAGGACGCTCAGAGTGAAGTGGGAGCCCTGAGCACCCTGGATTAACTGGGAGGACATGCCGGGTACAGCTGTGACCGCACAAAGGACCATCAGGGACATTTACATTCTCTTTTTCATTCTGAACTTGAAATGAGAAAAACTGAGCCCAGAAAACCAACAGCAGATTTTTCACAGGGCATTGGTGAGATGGGTCAGAAAACCCTTTTCTGATGCCTGTCACGGTGTTTCTCACTGAATAGTAATGGTCTGACTTTGAGTGGGTTCCGTCCATAGCCTGGAGCTCTGCAAGCCAGGGACCGGGTGTGATTCACCTTTGTCTCTCCAGTGACAGTACACAGCAGGCTCCTATAAATCAATCTTTTCCTTCCTTCCTTCCTTCCTTCCTTCCTTCCTTCCTTCCTTCCTTCCTTCCTTCCTTCCTTCCTCCTTCCCTCCCTTCCTCTCTCTCTTTCTTTCTCCCTTTCTCTCTTTCTTTCTTTCTTTCTTTCTTTCTTTCTTTCTTTCTTTCTTTCTTTCTTCCTTCCTTCCTTCCTTCCTTCCTTCCTTCCTTCCTTCCTTCCTTCCTTTCTTCCTCTCTTATCTTTCTCTTTTGATGGAGTCTTGCTCTGTCGCCTGGCTGGAGTGCAGTGGCGCGATCTCGGCTCACTGCAACTTCTGCCTCCCTGGTTCAAGTGATTCTCCTGCCTCAGCCTCCGAAGTAGCTGGGACTACAGGCGCACGCCACCAAGCCCAGCTAATTTTTGTATTTTTAGTAAAGATGGGGTTTCACCATGTTGGCCAGGATGGTCTTGATCTCTTAACCTTGTGATCCACCTGCTTCAGCCTCCCAAAGTGCTGGGATTACAGGCATGAGCCACTGTGCCCAGCCTCAGATAAATATTTCTTACAAATAAAACTGAATAAAAAGTAGACACCTGCACAGGTGTGGGATGACTGAGCAGTGGCATAAGCAGGAGAAGTCAGCGTCCCCAGATCAGCTGATGTGGCATTTGGCTTCTAGGTAGCGGTGAGGCGCCAGGACGGGGACGGGGGTCCTGTGGCTCTGCTGCTCTGGGGACACTCCTAGGATTCAGAGTGTCTGTTGTTGTTACTGCACTTCACTTGCCCATTGGAACGTGATCAGAGGGTGTGGGGCTTCAGGTGACCCCACATGGGAAACGGCCAAGGAATGGTGGTATGGGCAGCACATGGTGGTTTTGTTTTTTTCTTAACCAATATTTGAAGGTCAGTTGTATGAAAAGCTGTTAGACTTATTCAGCCTACAGAGAGTAGTGTGAGGATCGGTGACTGCGAATCAGATACATTTTGTCTCCGGATGAAAAAGAACTGTTACAGTAGAGTAAGTTTCCTTGGAAAGTTACAAGTTTACTGGCAGAGTTCAGGCTGAGGCTGATGTTGAAAATACCTGTTAGAGTAAGTTTTAAGGTTACAAGGGCAGAGCTTGACCTGGAACCATTTCCTACTGATATCACATAGTAAGTATTATAAAAACTGTCCTTTGCAAGGGGACATTGCTTTATGATGCAGGCTGAGCCCCCTCTGACAGTTACTTCCAGCCTTTGTGGGTGGTTATAACTCCCTTATCTCATCTGTGACTTGGAGTTCATCCCGTATACCCTCTCTGCTCCAGCCCCGTCCCGTCCTTGACTGGTGAGACTGGTTAAGAGTTAAGTGCGTTTCCTGATGATAGTCACAAGGTGGCAGCCCTGCCTCTCTGGTGTTTTCTAAAACCTCTACCCAGATGCGGGCGAGTCTAAGAGGCTGTTAGGATTAAGAAAAGGTCACGAACGAGGTAAAATGTAAATGCCATTTTCCTTCTTTCTCCTGTGAGGTGACAAAGTTCAGATGAGTGTGAAATCACTGCATTTTAGAACTGGAAGACATTTCGGAGAACTGCTTCACAATCTTTAATGTGCTCACAGGTCACCCCAAGTTCTTGTTAAAATACGGATTCTGATCCTTCTGGTGGGGTCTGAGATTCTGCATTTCTGAGGAGCTTTTGGACATGTTGTTGCTGCTGGTTGGTGGGCCACACTTTGAGTAGCAAGGGTTGAGGGTCATTTAGACATTAATTCTCACTCCATGTGATTTATAGATGAAGAGATACCAAACTGCAGAGAGAGAATATAACTTGCCCTCCACAGCCATGCCCTTACTTTATGACTTTTTGCATTTAAACTCAGGGCTTCAGCTTCTCCATCCAGTTCTTTCTCCACACATCTCATGGCTCCTTCACTGTTGTTGGTGGCATCTCTTTAGCTTAGGAACCCAGAACCCCATTTTCACACCCTCTTTTGTCTTGTCTTTTCTGTAATCAGAAGATCAAGTTCACACGACTGTCTAGTGTTCATGCCTCTGCAACATATGATCCCCATTTAGCAAGCTTACCTAACTTCCCTGTTTTAAAATGGTTTCTTTCTGCTTTAACTCTCTCTGCTCCTACCTGTTCCCTACACATACCCTGTTCAGGGCTCTCGGTGGTAGTGGTGGTGGCATGGGCTCCGGTGTTAGACTCACTGAGGTTCTAATCCCACATCCACCAACAACCTTGGCAAGTTACTTCCCCTTTCTGAGGACGAGAATCCTCCTTGTGAAATATCCCCATATGGTGTTTGAGAAGAGCAAATAAAATAACATCTGCAAACCCACTCTTCTTCCTGGGACCTTCTTCAAAACTAGCATCTCCAGTGGGGCCTGTGTGCATCTTTGTGCATCCAGAGTGGTGCAAAGTGTGTATCTTTGCGTGCGTTGTGTATTTCTATCACACGATTCATAATTTCCGTCCCATCTGTGGCAATTAGGAGCTCATGTCAGGCTTAGGATAGTAAATTTATATGACATTTGCTTTCACTACGATAAAGGTCTCTCTGAAGTCTGAATAGAAAATTGGCCAGGAAGGCTAGATGCTTTTCTTGGGCTTCTGTTTCTCTTTGTGTCTGCTTTCTTAAGGCTGAGTCTTTCGGGGCCTAACCCAAATCCTTCCCGTTTTGTGAAATCTTCAACCTTTTCTGACCCAGTTGATCCCACCCTTCTGTAAATTATTTTACCCATGTATTGGCATTTAATTATGTGCCAGTCCTCCCAGTGAGGCCCCACAGGGAGGCTGGAAGGGTATTGGCTGTGTGAGAACTGAAGGTGAATTGAGTGAGCTCCTTTCTTACTACCCCCTGAGTGTTAGAGCTGCCGTCCCTTTTTTTTTTTTCCAGCTATTGCCAGCAGCAGTTCCTCCTGCACCAGCTGCACCAGACCCTGGCAGGCATGTGAATACCTTAGGGATTGTTCCTGTCAGGGTCCTTCCTGCCTCTGGGTTTTGGTGAAATTGGCATTTCCTTTTGCATGTTATTAGATGGTCCCTCTGAAGAGAGGATTGATGGCATTCCTTTATGGAGAACCCAAGATAATAACTCTAGGGAAGTTGAGCACAGTGTCCTGTTGCTTAAACAGCCAGGTGACAGGAGATTTGTACACTTCCCTATTTTGTGAAATTTACAACAGTCTTCGTTCTCTTACTTCAGAAGAGATTAAGGACAAAGGACCAAGTGGGGAGGGCGGGGTGGTGTACCTCTGACGTGGATTCTGTGAATTTTTCATTCAACTGTATCCGGAAGTGTGCATCTCTGCATATGTGGTCATATATTTCTATCACATGATTTATAATTTCCTTCTTCTTAGTGGCAATTAGGAGTTCACATCAGGCTTATGATAGTTAAATTTTATGGTGTGTGCTTTCTCTACAATACAGGTTTCTCTATAGTCTGGAGAGAAAATACTCCAGAAGGGCTGGACACCTTACTTAGCATTTTGCCTTCTCTCTCTCTCTCTCTCTCTCTTTTTTTTTTTTGAGACAGGTTCTTGCTCTGTTGCCCAGGCTGGAGCACAGTGGTGCAATCATGGCTCACTGCAGCCTCAACCTCCTGGACCCTAGCAATCTTCCCACCCCAGCCTCCCAAATAACTGGAAGTACAGACACATATTACCTATGCCTGGCTATTATTTTTTTTTGTAGAAATGGGATTTCACCATGTTGCCCAGGCTGGTCTTGAATGCCTGAGCTCAAGTTATCTGGCTGCCTTGATCTCTCAAAGTGCTGGGATTACAGTCATGAGCCACCACACCTGGCCCTGCCTTCTATTTTTATTGGACAGCAGTCTACTCACCCATCATTTTCCCAATCAGGAGATTTTTGGCCTTCCATTCCCCTACCATGGGCCCATGCCAAATGTTGTGTCTGGAACTGGATGTTAGGCCCAAAGAATGGCTTCCTGACTGATTTCCAGGATTCTAATCTTCACTGTCTAAGCTGTGGGTTTCCAATCCTGGATGCTGGTTACAGTCAGCTGTAGGGCATTTAAAACCTACCAATGCCTGTGCCTTTTCCCAGGAGTGTCTGATTTGATTGGTCCATAGTGTGGCCTGGGGTATTGGTCACTTAAAAATGCTTCCAAAGAAAATAGCCATTTTACAGTGGAGGAACTTTAGCCCAGTGCTCAAAGTTAACATCTCCAGTAATCAGAGATATCTGCATCTTAGGGCATCTTAATACAATGCATGGAGAAGGCGCAGCATCATATCTATGCTATTCTTGCCTAAAGTGCATAATCTGAGTTTAATCAGGAGAAAATATTAGAAAAGCCCAAACTGAGGGCCATGCTACAAAATAACTCCAATACTCTCCATAAATGTTAAGGTCATGAAGGCAAAAGAAATTCTGAGGAACTGTCCCAGATTAAGGGAGACTGAGAGGACAGAAAAATGAGATGCAATGTGTGATCCTGGATTGGATCCTGGTCTAGAAAGAGGACATCACTGGGAAGATAAAAGGGATTTGAATAAGGTCTGCAATTTATTTACTGTACAATGTCAGTGATCATTTATTGATTTTAATGTTTGCACTGTGGTTATCTAAAACAATATTTGGGGAAGTTGAGTGAAAAGTATATGGGGACTCTATTTTTGGAACATTTTTGAAAGTCTGAAATTATTTCAAAATGAGAAGTTAAAAAAAAGAAAAAAAAAAAGATGAAAGCTTCCAGATAATTCTATTAAGTTGCCAGAGTTCAGAACCACTTGTTATCTTGCCTAAGACTGTTGTAACCGAGTACCCCTATTTTTCTAGAGGTGGCCTAATTTTTAAAATTATTTTAACAGAAATAATTATTTTATTTCTCATAGCCCCACATTGTTGCTACACCAATGGGTAGTGTCCTGATTTGGGTCAGAACCATCCTAGTGGCAAAAGCTGCTTGTAATATTGGCCCTGCTTGCAGGGATAGGAATATACCTCTGTTTTGGAGCTTCCTGCTTTTACATCCTCTATATAAAAATACAAGGCAGGCTTTCCAAGAGACCTTCTAGACCTCACATCATAATGCTCCAACCTATATCATCTATAAGCCTGGGTACTCATAAATATTTTTAACTCCAAGTAAATTGGTTCCATTCTGCTGTCCAATGACTATGCCCCCTTTCAGCAAAAAGCAGGCAGAACATATGTGCCACCCATATCTCATAAAGATAAAATAAAGCTTGGCAGTGGAAAACTGGAAGTGAGTACCTCTATTTTTCTAGAGATGGTTTAATTATTTCCCTCTCTTTTCTCATTTTTCCGGCACCCCGTTTCCTACTTAGTCCTTCAGAAATGTATATATAACCTTTCACCTCCCCCATCACCAGACACTCCCTAAGGGGCAAGTTCTTCTAGATAGGTGCTCCATGACGGGTCTCTCCTCAAGAGTTGACAGTTGATCAGCAGACCATAGCATACCTGCCATGGACCTTTCATCTTTAGGGGATTGCCTTAGAACTTCCATCCTGGGCCACCTCGGAACTCACACACTTTCGGAGGGTGCGTCAGAAGCATATCCAGGTGACTGTTTTTATAACTTACTTCTGTCCAGGAAAGTGCCAACTCTGCTGCCCAGGAGACACCTGCCCAGTAGCAGGAGGACCGGACAGTTATCTACTGCTCATTTTCTCTTTTGCTCATTTGTTGGTCATTCTCGCTCATTTCCTCTCTTAACTTATAAAAATACCTGCTTTTTGCTCCAAAGGCGAAGCAGCAAATTTAAAGGCAGAATGCTTTGTGCCCCTTCCTCAAAGCTAGCTTTGGAATAAAGTTACTTTTTTGTATCAGATCTTGCTTTTTTTTTTTTTTTTTTTTTGAGACGGAGTCTTGCTCTGTCGCCCAGGCTGGAGTGCAGTGGCACGATCTCGGCTCACTGCAAGCTCCGTCTCCCGGATTCACGCCATTCTCCCGCCTCAGCCTCCCGAGTAGCTGGGACGACAGGCGCCCGCCACCACTCCTGGCTAATTTTTTGTATTTTTTAGTAGAGATGGGGTTTTACCGTGTTAGCCAGGATGGTCTCGATCTCCTGACCTCGTGATCCACCCGCCTCGGCCTCCCAAAGTGCTGGGATTACAGGCGTGAGCCACCGCGCCCGGCCCAGACCTTGCTTTGGTTAGTGGGACTCTACATGCAGCCTGCAACTAATCTGCTTTTTGGTTACACTGTCAGAGTAATCTTCCTGGAAATGCTGTTTGTCATGTCTCTGACCTTCTCAAAGCTTTCCAATGACTCCTATCATCCATAGGATGAAGTTCCAATTCCTTAGGCTGCCATTCAAAGCCCCCATAACACAGCCCCAGTCTACTCCCTTGGTCTGTGTAGAAAGACTTGACCCACATTTTATGTTTTCATGTCTGAACTTATTCTAATTCTTTCACACCTTCCCGCAATACCTTCAACTGTCTTCTCAGCCTCCTGAGCTGTTCTTTGTCCTAAGGCCCGTTTCAGACCCTGACTCTTCATTGAAGCCTGTGTGGTTATTTCTGTTAGAATCAGTCATCCTGTCTTTCTTTGAGTTCATGTACGCTCAATCGCTCTGCAGTGAAACAAGACCTTTAGATTCAGAAATATGTGAGTCGGAATCCTGGTTCCACCTTTGACCAATTCTGAGATAAAGGACAAGTTAATTGATGTCTTGGGATAGGGTGATAATAGTGCCTACTTAAAACATCATTGGGGACATTAGATAAGGTGGAAATATAAAGGTCCCAGCATGTAGCAGGTTCCTTCCCCATCACTTTTGTAGCTCAGTGCTCTCCAAAGCTACTGTGGGTTGTGCAGAGGCTCTTATCACAATTTTCTGGAGAGCGTTTTAAAAATATTTGTGCCTGGTCATCATTAAAATGAGAGACACTCTTGAACTGAATTAAATGCTTGGAGCTTTAAAGAGTTCAATTGAGATTTTTTTCCCCGTGGAAAACAACTCAGTAAATACGTGATCTATGGACAGAGGAATGTAACCCAATAAGGGAGAAGGAAGGGACAATGGATTTCTAAATGGGAGAAAGGTGTGATGCCTTCCACACCCATCCTTTTGACCTCAGTCAGACAGCATCAAGGAAGTACAACTCCTAAAATTATGTAAGGGAAAATAAAAATCTCATGTCACACTCATTACACCAAAGGGATAGTTCAGTCTGAAGACTGAGTCACATAATGCCACCATCTTTTCTCCAGATGAACAACTGTTACTACACAACCTTGTGTCAAAGCATTGTACGTTATAGCCAGACCTCCCACAAGAAGGTGAAAAGGCCTCAGGCATCTCTAGATGACTGCCTTCACAAATTGTTCTTTGCTGGCCTTGAAACCTTTCAAGATGTATATCCTTCCACAAAACAAGGACATGTCAATACTAACTTTAGGTTTGCAATCTAAGATTTCACACTGATAAGGCTTATCTATCCAAGAAGAAAGACAAGATGAGACAAATCATTCTTTCCTCTACTTGTATCTTCCTACGTGCCTTCCCCCTTTTAAGGAGAAGTATAAATACCAGGCCTCCTGAAAACCTCTTCAAAGACAACACAAGCCACAGATGGTTTCTATGACTTATGTTTTTCCAGGGTGCACCCTCAAGCTCTGGCTCAGTAAACCTCAATGGACTGACACTTGCTTGCCTCAGTCAATCATTTTGGTTAACATTTTGGTGACCATGAAGGGATCCTCTGAGTGGAGCTTAGCCCCTTAGGCCTGCAGCGATTCTCCTGTTTATGCTCAGTACCAACTATCGAGCTTTAGCTCTGACCAAATGTGTGACTTTCCAAGGACTGGATCCTACTCCCTCTTGAGGTCCCTGCTCCCCACAATTTTTTGTTTGAGATCCGAGTTTTGTTTTGCCATGGAACTCCTCTACTCATGCAGCTTTGCTCACTTCCTATAAGGAAGGTGAGTTGCCTTCTCCTGTGACAATGGAGAGCAGCCTTCAGCTTGGTCCCCTCTGAGATAAAGAGCTGGGTTGGGGTTTTGTTTTAAAATGTGGTAGCTGCAGGTCAAAGTTTATTGCTAGTTTGCTTTAATCTCTCCTCATGCTTACAGTGTTCAACAATATGTAATATGTAAAGTGCAATCACTTTTTGTGTTTTTGGTTTTTGTCATTCTTCCTTTGAGTTTGTCCAACTCTTGGCCCTGTCTAGTGTCCAAAACACCTTCCAACTTGGTCAAATCCAGCAGGAGCTCTACATTATGGTGAGCTGGCCTCAAAATTGGCTAAAACCCCTGCAACTGCAGAACATCAAGTTCTACCTCTGGGAATCACCTGTCAGTTGAACGAAATAAGAATATTGTACCCAAAAATATATTTTTTGACATATTTTGAGATGTCTGTCAGAGGGCCAGCAGGCAGAAGTGGCCTGCAAAGCTGTCTTTCATGTGAAAAATTGGCATCTGTAGAGAATCCCCATTAATACAGACAGGCTTTCTTTTGTCTGGATCTGGGAAAAATGAACTGAGCCTTATACCTTAAAGACCTGAATGAAATATTTACCATTTGTTCTCTCTGAGGGCTGCTACCTGTGAGGTTTCATCTATATAACAAGACCATCTTCGTTAGCCAGACTTCCTCCTTTCTCCCTCGAATAACCTGTCTTGCTACTTAAACCTGATTTACCCCCATAACCTGTTTTTGGCCATGCAGGAATCCAGGAAAATGATCAACCACCAAAAGGGTAGAGTTTATTATCAGCGAGGCTCCTGGCTTCTCCCTGTGCAATCTGGTCAAGCAGACAGGAAAAATCAGTTTTCTCTGCAAAATTTTGGTTAATGGGAGAAGATTTGTGTATGACTAGCCTGGGTGTAGAGATTGTGGTGTAGTATTTGGTGCATTTTTCCATATGAATATTTATATTGTTTAATCCCTTTCCTTCCAGAAATAGTCTTTTCCTCTGTCTCTTTCATTCTGTGTTGTTTATAAAGAAGGGTACCAAATAAAATTCCCTCTCATCTTGTTTTATGTCCTTGAAGGCTTCATTTGTGACCAAGTGGGAGCACTTGCTCTTGGTCCCCACCATCTGGGAGGTGTGATTTTTGAGTCATATCAGGTGATCAGCCTGAGAATGACTGGGACCTGAGATTTTTTTGTTTTGTTTTGTTTGTTCCAAATGAGTTGAACTCCCAGGAGGATTTGTTATAAGAAGTCCCATCTATAAGGGGTTTTTGTTGTTCCAACCGTTGTTGCCTGGTTAGTGCTATGGAAACAAAAGTCTTTTGCTGTCCTGTTCTATTCCTGGGAGTGAATATTTTATTTTGTTGAGGGGACAGATCTTTGGGATTGCTTCATCACTGAAGAAACTGCTGGGTTGATTCATTATTGGGATCAGTACACCATTGGAAATTCTAATTACTAATGGCCAGAAGATGGATCCTTTAAATTGGACTCCTACATTAAAAAAAGATTTTGGAGATCTTTTATTTTAAATAGGTGATGGAAAGATAAAATTAAAAGAAAAAGACGCATCATAGTGTTGTAGCTAGCTTTAAAAATTCTCTTGAGTAAATTACAAAAATTTGACCTAAAACAAAGTTAAAATCTTTTGTAAGCTCAAACTGCTTGCTATAGATCTCCTGAGAAAATACGAATAAAAGGCACTCCACCTTCTCTTCTAATAGTTAAAATTCTGTGCTTTAATACTGCAGCCTGGGTTTAATTCTAGTCAGGAAACTAGTCCCTTTTGGTTTTATGTTTCTGTGATTTTGGACTATTTTTTTGGGAGTACTCATTCATTTTTTTTCTTTTTTTTTGAGGCGGAGTCTCGCTCTGTCGCCCAGGCTGGAGTGCAGTGGCAAGATCTCGGCTCACTGCAAGCTCTGCCTCCCGGGTTCATGCCATTCTCCTGGCTCAGCCTCCCGAGTAGCTGGGGCTACAGGCGCCCACCACCACTCCCGGCTAATTTTTTGTATTTTTGGTAGAGACAGGGTTTCACCATGTTAGTCAGGATGGTCTCGATCTCCTGACCTTGTGATCTGCCAGCCTCGGCCTCCCAAAGTGCTGGGATTACAGGCGTGAGCCACTGTGCCTGGCTCATTCATCTATTTGGATATGCCTTGTACATCCTTGGTTAAGTCACAACCCTGGTTAAGCCTTATTAGTTTTAATTGGGAGGGCAACTTTGGTTAAAAAAAAAATTCAAAAACCAGAAATAGCAGTTGTTTGTCCCAGCTAAAATCTGATAACAAGGTACCTAAAATATTTTTTTTTTTAAAAAAAGTCTGTTTTTCCTCATGGAGCCTCAGGAATTTTAAGTGACCAGATTTCTCTCAGGTCTAACACTCTGCTCTTTTCTGTTGTGTTATCTGATGTTTTTGGCTTCTGGAGGCATCAGAGATTGCATCGTACTGTAAAAATACTCGGCCTTGTGTGTGTGATGGCTGCTGGGTCAGGGGTGAGAGCTACAGTTTTGGAGATGACTGACAGTGGTTACAATAAATAATTATTACTTCAGAAGGCTACTCATTTCTTTGCATGTTTTGATAAGAAAGACACGGTTTAAACAATTAGAAAAATGCCTTTGTAGCAAAGTACAACTGTGGAAGGGTTGTACAGCATGGTCCTTTTTGCATTTTCCTTTTTTTGGGGAACCTGGGGTTCAGTGGAATCCTTAATGTTTAAAGATCTAAATGCTCTGCTTTCCAACTGTGCCCACTTTTCCCATATTTAAATTATTAGGCCCCACAAACTGCAAATAATTTGTTGGCCCTGCTGGGCTCCATCTTGAGCTCAGCGGTCCAGTTGGAAAACACACCCTAAATCAAAAGTGACCTATCTAAAGAAAATAAATCTCCTCATAAAATCCTAAGGTAAATATCTATCATTTTGTGTTACCTTGGTGTCTATTTTTTTCCTAAGCTAATTAACACAGGTGGCATCTTTTTTTTCCCTTTTTTAAAAATTATACTTTAAGTTCTAGGGTACATGTGCACAACATGCAGGTTTGTTACATATGTATACACGTGCCATGTTGTTGTGCTGCGCCCGTTAACTTGTCATTTACATTAGGTATATCTCCTAATGCTATCCCTCCCTCCTACCCCCACCCCATGACAGGCTCCGGTGTATGATGTTCCCCACCCTGTGTCCAAGTGTTCTCATTGTTCAGTTCCCACCTGACTTTAAGATCAGCCTGGGCCACAAATAGAGACTCTGTCTCTACAAAAAACAACAACAATAACAAAATTAGCAAGGTGCGGTGGCATGCACCTGTAGTCCCGTATACTCAGGTGGCTGGGTTGGGAGAATTGCATAAGCCCTGAAGGTCAAGGCTGCAGTGAGGTATGATGGTGCCACTGCACTCCAGCCTGGGTGACAGAGCGAGACCCTGACTCAATAAATAAATAAATAAATACATAAATGAAAAAAATGAAGATTTTTCCCTCTTAAAATTTTTGAATTATCACTTTGGCTAAATTAATAACTATGATTTTATAGTGACCTATGACCAATTTTGAACAAGTGTCTTAGACCTTTGATATTTGACAAACTTTCCAAAATGAAAATTTCAGGCCAAGTATAAGACTAAAACTTATTTTGCAAATAATTTGGGTCCTACTATAATTTGGCTTTTGTAAAAATGGAGAACTGGAGACAGAAAACATTATGTTTCAGAAGAAACTACAGTACAGCTGTTATTAAATTCTGGTGTTGCTCATTGTTTTTGAGTTTTGTTATTTCCTTACAATTTGTACTGAATCCTGAATTCTTTCCTGGCTACAAGTCTTGAAAATAACACTTTCAAATTTTTCTTCTGTTTTTCTGACTTGGAATCATTAGAAATTAAAACTGTGCTTTTTCCTAAAGCCCTGCAACCTGAAGCTAGACAACTTAAGTGAATTTCAGGAGAAATTACAACTTATATAACAACAACCTTTGTGCCTGCTGATGTATGGCTACTCAAAAGGTTCACTTGAACATCTAATTCAAACTACAATCCAGAGAAATCTGCCACTGCAATCTCAAGGAGCTTCAGAGGCTCTAGAAAAACTAGTCCATAGACTGCTCCAGATATTACGATCGAACCAACATACAACTGAAACGGTTAGGGTGATGATTGCTCAAAGAATTGCTTTAATTGAAGAGGCAGCTGTGTAGCCCAAATAGGGCTCCACAATTACTTTCCTTTTGTTCCTGTAACTTGGCTTCGGTCCTTTTCTGATGCAACTTCACTCCCTTCTCCATGAGACACAACTTCCTAGGAATGAGCTTTCCTGGTGATGTAGGATCAGATGAAACATACAATCACAAACTCGTATCTTCTATAATGCTTTCTCTGAAAGATTTTGAGGAATTTCAGGGGTTGGCCAGGTGCAGCGACTCATGCCTGTAATCCTAGCACTTTGGGAGGCCGCAGTGGGTGGATCACTTGAGCTCAGGAGTTTGAAACCAGACTGGGCAACATGGTGAAACCCTGTCTCTACAAAAAGATACACACACACACACACACACACACACACACACACACACAAATTAGTTGAGTGTGGTGGGATGGGCCTGTAGTCCCAGATACTACTTGGGAGGCTGAGGTAGGAGGATTGCTTGAGCCTGGGACGTGGAGGTTGCAGTGAACCATGATCACACCACTGCACTCCGGCCTGGGTGACAGTGAGACCCCGCCTCAAAAAAAAAAAAGAGAGAGAGAGAGAGAGAGAATAGCAGGTCAGGTAGCAGGTAAATGTAAAGGGAAAGAAAAACTTCAGGACTCTCTTTAGGTCAAAGGGAAAGTTAAGCTTTGAGACTGAGTCATGCAACATCATCATCATTTCCCCAGATGGATCGCTGTTACTATAAAACCTTGTGTCAAAACATTGTACATTAAACAGACCTCTATAGGAAAGCAAAAGGCCTTAGGTATTTCTGGATGACTGCCCTCACAAATTGTTCTTTGCTGGCCTTAAAATTTTTAAGATGTATATCCCCCCATATAACAAGGACATGTCGATTGTATCTTCAGTTCTGAAATCTAAGTCTGGTTCCTAAGGCTTTAGTCTTAGTCCTTAGGATTTCAGGCTGATAATGCTTATCTTTCTAGGCACAGAACAAAGACAAGAACAATCATTCTTCCACCTACCCGCCTCTTCCTACCTGCCTTCCCCCCTTTAAGGCCTCCTGAAAACCTCTTCAGAGAGAACACAAGCCACAGAGGTTTTCTGTGACTTGTGTTTTCCTAGGGTGTACCCTCAAGGTCTGGCTCAATAAACAATTAATTTAGACACTTGCCTCAGTCACTCATTTTGGATAAACACCATGAGTTCTGCACAGCCCTTCACTAAACCATTTCCCGCCCAGGTGATGTGTACCTAAGTGAGTCAGGTCTTCATAAGTCAAACACTCTTCTCCCTTTTCAGCTCCTCCACCCCACCACTCAGTGCTGTGTGCACTGGTCTGGCCCCAATTCCAAGCTATTAGTATCGGTTTAATAAAGCAAGGCCGGGTGGGGCAGGTTGAGAAGGAAGTCAGAGGCCACCAGCCATGGAAAGAGGCAGGTGGGGCTGTCATTGCTCAGAGGCCTCACACTCTGGGTGTGTTTTATGACTGTTTCTGGATTTGAAATCTTCTCCTCTTTGTGACCATTCCAGGAACTCATGCTTTTCCTGCTTTCTTCTCATTACACTTATTGTTGGTACTATACATCATTTATGGCCAGGGAATGGCTGTGCAAATAGTTGACAATAGAGTACAAATGACTTTTTATGATGACTGGGAACCTGGCCCTGTTTTTTTCCCAAAGAGATTGAGGTCCGTAAAAGCCAGCTTTTATTCCGGGCTGTGCAGTTGTGAGTGTGGCGTTAGAGAACAGGTGCATAAGTGAAGGGTAAGACAGAAAACGAAATACTGGCTGTTTGTCAAATCCTGAGAGTAGAGGGGGCAAAAACCATTCTGGAAGGTGGATGTTATTCAGGACATCTTGGAAATCTTAGGGTGTCCTCTTCCCAGATAAAGTGGAGGATGAGGTTAAATGAGTTGGGTGACACTGGGTACATTACTTCACATCTCTGCCTCAGTTTTTTTTTAATCTGTAAAAATGGGGATGATAACACTCAGGATTTTTTGGCGAGGACTGTAGCTAGCTAGAAAGCTCTTAGGATAGTGCTGGTGCACAGTGAGTGCTGCATCAGTGTGAGCTATTATAGTTATGGGAATGGGCAAAGGTGCCACCCTGGGCATGGAAGGTGGGGAGGTATTTCCCAGCCATAGTCCTGGCAGGCCAGCTGGAGATGAAGATGTTGAAGGGGGAGGCTTAACCTCCAGGAGTGGAAGGATTGGGGAACAGTAATTCATGCACAACATTCTGTGAAAATGCAGCAGGCATACTAAGAGTGGATGTGGCTTCTGTCACTGTTATTACCTCCTGGGGTCTAGAATGTGTCCTAGAGCCAAATGATTTTTCTTCTTCTTTTTTTGTTTTTTGAGATGGAGTCTCGTTCTGTCGCCCAGGCTGGAGTGCAGTGGAGCGATCTCGGCTCACTGCAAGCTCCGTCTCCTGGGTTCACGCCATTCTCCTGCCCCAGCCTCCTGAGTAGCTGGGACTACAGGCGCCCACCACCATGCCTGGCTAATTTTTTGTATTTTTAGTAGAGACGGGGTTTCACTGTGTTAGCCAGGATGGTCTCGATCTCCTGACCTCATGATCCGCCCACCTCAGCCTCCCAAAGTACTGGGATTACAGGCGTGAGCCACCGCGCCCAGCCAGAGTCAAATGATTTCTCTAAAAGCCAATCCTAGGAACAGGTTTCAGGAGTGCCTTGCAAATTAGCATTCATTATGGCAAAAGAAAGCATTCATCTTTTTAAAGGAAAGCATTCATCTTGCTAAAGGAATCCTCTCTTTTGGCCCAGCTCATTATTTTTGTCTCTGTACTATCCAAATTTATAAAGTGTAAAGAGAAATACTGAAGAAGAGTGAAAACAAGAAAGTGCATGTATAAATTAACGGGGCAGAATTGGGACTGGTATGTGTAAATTAAGAGGAAACATGTATAGGTTTTACGTGAACATAAAAAGGACTTGTTTTAACTAGACCTCTCCATATAAATAATGTGGGCTGTCTCGTGTGGATAACAGACTTTATCACAAGAACATTCCAGCAGAATCATGAGAGAATGGGAAGTGTGGCTTCTTTGCTAACTGGCAGCTTAGACTGAGTAAGTCACTGAAGAGAAAGGAGATGAAGGAGCAGATGGATGAGGGTGACAGAAATAGGATGGTGAAAGGAAAGGACTGAAAGGAATGTTTACCGAGGGCTCATCAGGTACCAGGCTCTGTGTCTAATGCCTTACACGTCTTAATTTACCCTTTCATGTAAATTTTCTGATGCAGTAAGAATCACCCTTGTGCTTCAGATGAGAAGAGGCTGAGGGAGGTGAAGTGAGTGGTCCAGGGTCATCCAGCCAGTTCACAGCAGAGCTGGTGTGTTTCACCTTAAACTTTGTGCACAGACAGAAAAGTGAGACACAGAAGACAGGCAAAGCAAATTTTTGTTGTGGGTGAAGTTTATAAAAGGTACCTGTGTTGGGCAGAATAATGGCCTCCTAAAAATGTCCACATCCTAATCCCTGGAGCCAGTGCATAACACTTTTATTTGGCAAAAGGCTTTCCAGATGTGATGAGGTTAAGAATCTTGAGATGGGAGGTTATTCTGGATAATCTGGGTGGGCTCAGTGTAATCAGAAGGGTCCTTGTAAGTGAAAGAGGAAGGCAGGAGGGTCAGGGTGAGAATGACGCAGCCTGAGAGACTCCACTGGCCATCGCTGGCTGTGAACTCGTATCAAGAGACACGATTACAACAGCTTTATTTATAAATCTAATTGGCTTTTATTTGGGATTTGTAATTTGGGGCAGGTCCCACTTTACAAATACAGTGATAACTCCCCTTTGGCCATACAATAACAGAACAGTGGGTTTTGTCAAATTTGAACAAGAAAAGAGAGCAGTAGAAATAAATATATTGGTTAACATCAGTTTAATTCAGGTTACTTTTTTATAAAAATTAAAGCAAAGGGGACCTCCTTATTGTGTTAATTTAAGTAGATTGGAATTTCTTTTCTTTTTTTTTTTTTTTTGAGGTGGAGTCTCACTCTGTCATCCAGGGTGTAGTGCAGTGGTGCAATCTCAGCTCACTGCAACCTTCACCTCCCAAGTTCAAGTGATTCTCCTGCCTCAGCCTCCTGAGTAGCTGGGATTACAGGGCATGTGCCACCACACCCAGCTAATTTTTGTATTTTTAGTAGAGATGGGGTTTCATCATGTTGGTCAGGCTGGTCTCAAACGCCTGACCTCGTGATCCGCCTGCCTCACCCTCCTAAAGTGCTGGGATTATAGGCGTTAGCCACCATGCCTGGCCTTTTTATTTTTTAATTTATTTTATTTTTTTAAATTGGTCTGTTTTGGGATCTATCTGCTTTCTTAAAATTTCAGTTGGAGTATGTAACATTTAGCATCAGTGGCCCTATTTGGAGTCTCTATGCTCTCACTTAGGTGAGAGTGTGACCAAAACTGAAAGCACTGACATTACTCTCAGCTACCATCATTTTGGGCTTCCATCATTCATAGGTTATGATGTCCTCCTGATCACACATTCCTTTGAGTTTTGTCATTCCAGCCAAAGAGAGACCATTTGACATTCGATGGATAGCTGCATGCAAACATTTAAAGCTTTTAGAGATTATAGCACACCAGGGAGACTACTAGTGTGACTATCAGGAGAATAATACCAAGAGTTTGGAGTATGCACCTTAGGCAAGATGCAAACCAACTAAAATGGAATAAAGAATGAGCCAGATGAGTCTACCCATTTTAACCAAGCAGCATGTTTGTTAATTTCTGCAACTGAGTCTCTATAATACCCATTGTATTTATCTATGTGCAACAAGAAGTGTCAGAATCAGCACAGGTTCTTTCCTGTTCAGCTAGTAGGTAGCAATTCTATTATCTGGCATCTCATGGCTGGGTTACATTAAAACAGGGAGTGAGAACAGGTGAGTCTAGAAGTGTAACTTTAAAAGGGACCACCTTGCCTTTGAACAAACAGTTGTATTAAAGATGCTGCTAATGTCAGCCGTTGAGTGGACTAAAGGATCTCTTATGTAAAAATTTGGTAGTGATATCATAGATCTGATACTCTGTTAAGCTACCCTCAGAAGATACTTCCTGTGAAATTCTAATTACAACATTATCCTGCCAAGTGAAAGAGGCAGGCATGAGCTAGGACAAATTAAGAGGGGTAGGAGCCTCATCATGGTAGGAAGTCTTGTTCTGACATCTTGGGGAAAGCTGTCTACAGCGTGAAGTTGTCAATTTCTTGTCCTGGTTTGCAGTTTCAGTGTCTCTAGTTATAGTGTTGAACATACTGGTGAGCTCTGAGTGGCCCACACCTTAGGCATGAGTGTTTTCCCATGAAATTTACATTGAGTTATCCATCTGTAGCTTATAGAGCTTCAGGAACAGAGCAGACTTTGCTCTTAGTGATTCCATGGTAGAAAATGGGATTGAAGAAAGTGGAAGAATTCATGGTCCACTCTAGTCTACAGGTGGATAATAAAAACTCAACAATGTACAAAGTGACAGTCTCATAACAGGTGTACTATAGTTTTTTTTCAACATAATTTCTCTTCATAGGCATCTCTATTTCTACCAAAGATAATCCCAATAAGACAAATTTGTTTTCAAAATAAGTTTATTTTCATCAGACTTGGCCTCATTCTTTTCATAACTGCAGCAAGAGTAGTGACTGACCACATAGACTTTTTTTTTTTTTTGACGGAGTCTCACTTTGTCTCCCAGGCTGGAGTGCAGCGGCATGATCTTGGCTCACTGCAAGCCCTGCCTCCCGGGTTCATGCCGTTCTCCTGCCTCAGCCTCCTGAGTAGCTGGGACTACAGGCCCCCACCACCACGCCCGGCTAACTTTTTTTGTATTTTTAGTAGAGACGGGGTTTCACTGTGTTAGCCAGGATGGTCTGGATCTCCTGACCTCGTGATCCGCCCGCCTCGGCGGATCAAAGTGCTGGGATTACAGGCGTGAGCCACCGCGCCCGGCCCACACAGACTTTTTTAAAGTTGCTTTGCTGGAAGTTTTTATAAGGAATCTCAGATTAAACTTTTAGAAGTTTAATTGACACTAGGAAGCCAAACCAAGGCTGACTTCAGACTTTGTTTGTAGTACCTGTGGGTTTATTACCTATGGGTTTATATCCTCAAATACGACATTCTAGTCAAAGTCTTGGTAATATAACCAATGTTTTCAAATGTATTCTGTCATACAAAGAGCAGATTTTTATTGAACTTGTGCAATAACTATATTACCATACAATATAAATATTCATGAATAGTTTCCCAAGTCTGGAGCGACCACATAGGGAGAAAATGTAAATGTCTCAATTTTTGTTCACAAAAGTATATTTTATCAAATTGCTGTAAGCTGTGGATAGCTTAAAAGAAAAAAAGTTTCCTGAAATCTGGGAAACAAGACATTTAAAGAATCAGCAAAATTTCAAATAAAAAATTATGAAAATATTATCCTCATTAGTTCATTTAGTCCCATGAAATTAATTATTTTCTCTGCTTGATCTTGGTGGACAGTTTCATGAAGCTGTCAGTTAGTTCATTAAAGTTTTGGAAATTCTCAGACAGTGCAGTGGTATCAGAAACTTGTATTCAAGAGTACAGGTCAGAGTCTTCTTTTCTTTTCTTTTTGAGATGGAGTCTTGCTCTGTTGCCAGACTGGAGTGCAGTGGTGCGATCTGGGCTCACTGCAATCTCCACCTCCCGGGTTCAAGCGATTCTCCTGCCTCAGCCTCCCGAGTAACTGGGACTACAGGTGTGCGCCACCAAGCCCAGCTCATTTTTGTATTTTTAGTAGAGATGGGGTTTCACGATGTTGGCTAGGATGGTCTCGATCTCTGGTCAGAGTCTTTTCTGTAAATATCCTTGGTAAAGAAGCAATTTTAGACTGTAGCTGTTGCAAATGCTTTAAGGAAGA
Organism: Homo sapiens; assembly: GCF_000001405.40. Classification (NCBI taxonomy): domain Eukaryota; kingdom Metazoa; phylum Chordata; class Mammalia; order Primates; family Hominidae; genus Homo; species Homo sapiens. The sequence continues at coordinate 41,729,197 of NC_000019.10, read as the reverse complement.
AGCAAAACAACTGTCTGTGAATGACAAAGATTTAAAATGAGTACAGTTAAAAATCTGATGATAATTTATTATAATAAGAACACAACTCACATAGAAATTTAGTTACTTCTGTGGCATATGACATTATGGCTGATAACCAATTAGATTTCTAGAATTTCTTATATAACTTTTGGAATACATCAATAACATACTCATAAATATAACTTAGAGAAGGTTTAACATCACTAATGATTTGACAGTGCTTCCCATATAATTTAACATATCAAATAAGGTGGCCTTTCCATTCAGCTTCTGTTTCTCAACTAGATTCCTAATTTCCTGGTGGAGCCCATTAATGAACAGGGCCAACAAAGTATAGGCTTACGTATGTTGAAAAACTCCACAGGCAATTCTTTTTTTTTTTTTTTTTTTGAGACGGAGTCTTGCTCTGTCGCCCAGGCTGGAGTGCAGTGGCACGATCTCGGCTCACTGCAATCTCCACCTCCCGGGTTCAAGCGATTCTCCTGCCTCAGCCTTCTGAGTAGCTGGAATTACAGGCACGTGCCACCATGCCCAGCTGATTTTTTTGTATTTTTAGTAGAGAGGGGGTTTCACCATGTTGGTCAGGCTGGTCTTGAACTCCTGATCCGTCCGCCTTGGCCTCCCAAAGTGCTGGGATTATAGGCGTGAGCCACCGTGCCCAGCCAGAAAAACTCCATGGGCAATTCTAATCCTCCTAGCTGAAAGTCATGGGTTTAGCCCCAAGTCCTACCTATTTAGAACAGGGTTTCTCCATCCTGGCTACACATTAGTAGCATCTGGGGAGGCTTAAAAATTACGAATGCCTGGGTCCCACTCCAGACCAGTAAATCGGAATTTATCGGTGGGACTTAAGTATCCATTTTATAAAATGTTTCTGAGTGATTCCAATGTGTAGCTATATTTTCCGTCAGATTTCTCTAATTTCTTGTGATGTTCACTCCTTTCTATTTTGGCATTATGATTATTTTTCAGGTTTTGTCTCCTGTTATAGAATTAAGGACCTTGCCTTCTTCATTTCTGTATCTGTTATGAACATATGAATTGGTTATCAGGAAAAGGTTCTCAGTCACAGGCACAGTTGTGTCCTGAGCTTAAGACTCACAGGTTAATGCTACAGTCTTTGTTCTTCATGAGGTCAGAAGTTGCTTGTGATTAAGGGTGTGGGTAACTCCACAGTGCAGACAGTGGAAGGAGGTCACCCTGTTTGACATGTTTTTAGGTGTAACACCGGAACTAAGAATTCTGTGTACATGTGGGGTGGAGAGGCAGGGATGTGTAGGGAAACAGATCTATTAGGATGATGGAATTATATAAGGGAGTGGTGGTAAAGGAAGTAAAAAAGATTAGTAAAGAGAAGAAATGTGAACTTATCTAATACACCACAGTAGGCCCCTGTGTCTTCTTGAGTAGGCGAGTGAACTAGATTTTAGGAAGGTAATGAGGCAGTCATATGCAAGAAAGATTTCAAAGACTGGCAACAAGGGGTCAAGCAGGACTTTGAGCAGTTGTTGAGGTTTATGGGAATGGAGAGAATGACACAAGTGTGAGATGTTAAAAAAGGACCAAGAGGCTTTGACAATGTATTGAATCTGGGAAACAAATGAGCAGAGGGTGGGGATAATTATATCTAAGAGACAGTGGCGTACAGGGAGCATGAAGACCAGGGAAGAAGAGACCTGCAGGAATTAGTGCTGAGAAGCAGGAGCTTGGGGGTAGGAGGAAGAGATCCAGTCCCAGATACAGGTGAAGAAATCCCTTCCCTCTCCCAAGCATGGCAGTCAGCACTGCAGGAAACAGAACAAGAGGAAAGGCCATTATACCTACCAGTCTTCCTGAAATGAAGAAACTACACCAGGGCTGCTATATCAGAGCAACCCCAACCAGCACTCCAATCATGATGCCGACAGTGGCCCCAGCTGAGAGACCAGGAGAAGTTCCAGATGCTGAATCGTCCGTCATGGAAAGAAAAGAGAAGGAATGAATGTGATGTTATTTTACAGTGGGGTGCCCCAGGTTCCAGCTCTCAGCATGAAGCAGTCTCTACTTGTTGCTTCAAGGAATGCATTAGTTTTGTGGGAAAGTTGCAATTTTTTCTCTCTCACTGTGTTGCTAGTTGGTGATCAGTCTTCTGTCAATTCCACCCTGGCCTGTCTGCACTCAGCTATTTCTGAAGGCTTTGAAATTTGAGAAAGTCTGATTGCTATTTTTGCGTGTCATTAGAACTTTCTATCTTTTCATGGTTGCATCTTTTTCTCAGTGTCTCAGTTGTGGTAGGCATAAATAAGTCTGTTGGGTCTCTGTGGCAGGGACTTGATTGGCAGAAGGCCCAGGCTAGTGCATTCTGTATTTACTAAGTCCGTTGCACAGAGAACTCGCTTCTCATGGGCTCCCACCAGGGGAATGAAAAGCCCAGTTCTGGGGGACTCTGCTTCTCTCTCATGGGTGAGGGGCTTGAGGACGCCCCACCAGCCTTGTGGAAACTCTGAGAACTGCATCACTATCTAAAACTCTCTCCTCTTTCTCCTTCTCAGGAATCAGATCTGCATCGTGGTCTGAGGGCTCTCTCAGGCTCCTCCCACTTCTACTCCACTTTTCCTCATGGTGGTTCCCCCCGGTAAATTATCTTGCACCTCTAATTCCATCTTGGCTGAATCTCAGTGGATGAAAACTAACATACCAGGCTTGATTCTTTGCACTTAACTTTTTTTTCTCTCCCCCATTTTTAGCCAGTAACCATGTCCTAGTGGGTTTTCATTTGGGGCTTGGCTCTCACTAGTCAACTCAGGCTGATGATTAATGCTATGTTAGCTACTGTAAATGCTTTTCTGGCATCTCATTTGATCCATACAATAACCCTGTTGGGTAGGCATGATTTCCATCTTACAGATGAAATGACAGAGACTTGGAGTGGTGAAAAAACTTATCCAAAGTCATATAATTAGTGAGAAGTGGATCTAGGATTTGGCTCTAGAACTGCCTAACTTCAAGCTAATAATAACAGTAGTGATAATAGCAGCTAATATTTATGAAGTTTCCCTCTGTGTGTAGCATTTTGCTGAAAGCTTAATCGAATATTACATTAAATCTTTAAAACAATACTGTTAAACAGTCATTCTTATTGCAATTTTCATTTTTCCTCCATTTCCTGGTGATGAGAATTATTACAATTTTCAGTTGAAGAATTGAAGGCTCAGAGAAGTTAAGAATCTTGTGTGAGAAATTTAATGGTAAATACATTAAATATAAAGAGAGATCTCAAATCAACAACCTAACTTTACAACTTCAGGATACAGAAAAAGAACCACCTCAAACCACAGATAGTACATGAAGGAAATAATAAGGATTAGAGTTTAAATAAATAAAATGGAAAATTGAAAAACAATAGAAGGAATCAATGAAACCAAAAGTTGGTTCTTCAAAAAAGATCAACAAAATTGACAATCATTTATTAGATTGACTAAGAAAAAAGAGAGAAGATTCAAATTACTAAAATCAGAAATGAAAATGGAGGTATAGCGGCTCACACATTTAATCCCAGCACATTGGGAGACTCAAGCAAGAGGATTACTTGAGGTCAGGAGGTCAAGACCAGCCTGGGCAACATAGGCAGACACAGTGTCTACAAAATTTCTTTAAAAAACTATCCAGGCTTGGTGTCACATGTCTGTAGTCCCAGCTTCTCAAGAGGCTGGGGCAGAAGATCACTTGAGCCTTGGAGGTTGAGGCTGCAGTAAGCTATGATGGCACCACTGCACTCTAGCTTGTGCTGGGCTACAGAGTGAGACCCTGTCTCTTAAAAAAAAAAAAGAAAAAAAAAAAGAAAATGGAGATATTGCTACCAATGCTACAAATTCTACAGAAATATTAAGGACTACAAGAATGCTATGAATAATTGTATGCCAACAAACTGTTGAATAACCTAGATGAAATGGACAAATTCCTGGAAACACAAAAAAATTTAATAGGCCTATAATTAGATAGAACCAATAAAAGCATTTGACAAAATTCACCATTCTTTCACAACAAAAACACTCTAATTATGAATGGAAGGAAACCACCTCAGCATAATAAAGGCAATGTGTGAAAAGCCCAATGCTAACATGATACTCAATGGAGAAAGACTGAAAGCTTTCCCTGTAAGACCAGGAACAAGACAAGAATGCCTGCTTTTGCCACGTCTATTCGACACAGTATTAGAAGTCCTAGCCAGAGAAATTAGGCAAGAAAAAAAAAGACATCCAAATTGGAAAGAAGTAAAATGATCTGTGTTTTCAGATAACTTGGACTTCTCTGTAGAAAACCCTGAAGATTAAAAAACTTGTTAGAGTTAATAAATAAATTCAGTGATGTTGCAGGATACAAAATCAACACGCAAACATCAGTTGTACTTCTACACACTAACAATGAACAATCTAAAAGGAAATTAAGAAAAAATTTCCAATTCACATTAACATAAAATAGTATAAAATAGTTAGAAATAAGCTTAACCAAGGAGGTGAAAGGATTGTACCCTGAAAACTATAAAACACTGCTGAAGGAAATTAAAGACAACATCAATAGATGGAAAGACATTTTTTTTTCATGGATGGGAAGTCTCAATATTGCTAGGAGGACAATACCACTCAAAGTGAGCTGCAGGTTCAACGCAATTTGTACCAGAGTCCCAGTGACATTTTTTGCAGAAATAGAAAAACATATCCTGAAATTCATATGGAATCTCAGGACTCTAAATAGCCAAACAACCTGGAAAATAAAGAATGAAGCTGGAGGACTCACACTTCCTGATTTCAGCATTTGCTATAAAGCCACAGTAATCAATACAGTGTGGTATTGGCATAAAGGAAGATATTGAAACCAAAGCAATAGAATATAGAGCCCAGAAAGAAATGCTTGCATATATGGCCAAATGATTTTTGATAACGGTGCCAAGACCATTTAATGGGGAAAGGACAGTCTTTTCAACAAATGATATAGGGAAAGCTGAATATCCATGCACAAGAACAAGTTGAATCTTTGCCTGATACCATATATGCAAATTAACCTAAAATGGATCAAAGACCTAAATGTAAGAGTGAAAAGTATAAAACTCTGAGAAGAAAACATAGGGAAAAAAGCTTAATGACATTTAATTTCACAGTCATGTCTTGGTTATAACAACAAATAGGCAACAAAAGAAAAAAATTGATAAACTGGACTTCATGAAAATTAAAAACTTTTTTTTTTTTTTTTTGACAGAGTCTCGCTCTGTCACCCTGGCTGGAGTGCAGTGGTGCGATCTCAGCTCACTGCAAGCTATGCCTCCTGGGTTCATGCCATTCTCCTGCCTCAGCCTCTTGAGTAGCTGGGACTACAGGCGCCCACCACCACGCCTGGATAATTTTTTTTGTATTTTTAGTAGAGACGGGGTTTCACTGTGTTAGCCAGGATGGTCTTGATCTCCTGACCTTGTAATCTACCTGCCTCGGCCTCCCAAAGTGCTGGGATTACAGGAACCACCGTGCAGGGCCTCGAAAATTAAAAACTTTTATATATTAAAGAACATTATCGAGAAAGTGAAAAGGCAACCTATGAAATGGGAAATATATTTGCAAATCATATATCTGATAAGGGATTAATTTCCAGAATATATGAAGAACTCTTACAAATCAACAACCACAAAAATCCAAAATCCCAATTAATAAATGGACAAAGGACTAAAGTAGAGATTTCTCCTAGGAAGATATACAAATGGCCAACAAGCACATGCAAATATGCTCAACATCACTAACACTTAGAGATATGCAAGTCAAAGCCACAATGATACTCCACCTCACACACATCAGGATGGCCACAAAACAATAAGTGTTTTCAAGGAGGTGGAAAAATTGGAACTCTAGTGCATTGCTGATAGAAATGTGAAATATTAGCTACTGTGGAAAATGGTATGGTGGTTCCTCAAAAAATTAAATAAATAATTAACATTTGGGGCCGGACACGGTGGCTCATGCCTGTAATCCCAGCACTTTGGGAGGCCAAGGCAGGCGGATCACGAGGTCAGGAGATCGAGACCATCCTGGCTAACACTGTGAAACTCAGTCTCTACTAAAAATAAAAAAAAAAAAATTAGCCAAGCTTGTTGGCGGGCACCTGTAGTCCCAGCTACTCGGGAGGCTGAGGCAGGAGAATGGCGTGAACACGGGAGGCGGAGCTTGCAGTGAGCCGAGATCGCGCCAGTGCACTCCAGCCTGGTCGACAGAGCGAGACTCCATCTCAAAAAACAAACAAACAAACAAACAAACAAACAAAAAAAAGAATTAACATTTGATCTACCAATTCCATTTCTGGACATACACCAAAAAGAATTGAAGGCAGTGATTTGAACAGATATTTGTACACTGATGTTCACAGCAGCATTACTCACAATAGCCAAAAGGTGGAAACAACTGAAAAGTCCATTGAAAGATAAGTGGATAGAAAAATGAGGTGTATCCATACAATGGAATGTTCTTCAACCTTAACAAGGAAGAAATTGTGATACATGGTGCAAAATGGATGAACCTTGAAGACATTATGCTAAGTGAAATAGGGCAGACACAAAAGGACAACTATTATATAATTCCATTTTTGTAAGATCGTTAGAATAGTTGATTACCTAGAGACAGAAAGTAGAATGGAGATTACCAGAGTTTAGGGGAGAGAAGGAGTTACTGTTTATTGGGTACAGAGGTTTAGTATGGTAAGATGAAAAAGTTCTGGAAATGGATAGTGTGATGTGATGGTTAGACATGAGTATAAAAAGACTTGATTTATTTTTTCCTTTTTTTTTTTTTTTTTGTGATGTAGTCTCACTCTGTCACCCAGGCTGGAGTGCAGTGGCTCAATCTCGGCTCACTGCAAACTACACCGCCCAGGTTCGAGCGATTCTCCTGCCTCAGCCTCCCGAGTAGCTGGGATTACAGGCACCCACCACCATGCCTAGCTATTTTTTTTTTTCTGTATCTTGAACTCCTGACCTCAGGTGATCCACTCGCCTTGGCCTCCCAAAGTGCTGGGATTACAGGGATGAGCCACCACACCGGGCAATATACTTGATTGATATTTATGCTGTTTCACTTAATTGTACACTTAGAAATGGTTAATGGTAAGTTTTATGTTAGATATATATAGTGGCTGATAGTCTTACCCTCTCTATAAACACACACTTTTTGGCACTGCCTGTTCCCTCCCATGCAGAGCCCCTATGGCTGAATCTCCCTATTTCTCCAAGTGTGTGTCACTCACTTTCCTCTGCTGTGTCCTATGTGCTGTGTCCACAGCCTCATACAGCCAGTGACTTCAGAGCCAGGACACAGCTCAGGAGTCTGTCCCGAGGCTCCCTCTTTTCCCATTTCCCTGCAACCTGACCCAAGGGAGGCTCTGCTGTGGATTGGCAGCTTGATTTACCCAGATTCAAAACAGGCCACCTGGACACCTTCTCCACATGCCCCGGTCCCACCCCAAGTGGAGCCAGGGCAGAGCCAGTCACCGGGTGAGCCGGGCGCAGAGCAGGGAGCAGAGTCTGAGCTGCTCCTGCCTCATCCAAGGGGCTTCCTCCTCTCATTTGGGGAAAAAGTGTGGGCTGGTTTCAAAGCCTCCTTGTTCCTTGTAGCTCACAGAGTAGGTGAAAAAACACAAAGAGGTGACAGAAAGGGACATATTGGTGATAGAGAGGAGCAACTCGACCTTAAGGACCCTTCTTTCTTCTGGACTATGAAGTCCCTTTCACTATTGGGGGCCTTCTGGGGCTAAGGGAGGCCCCTCCCCACATTCCAGGCTGGACCCGAGGTCAGCCGTGAGATATCAGAGAAGCCGGGGAGGAGAGAGTTGGCCGAGATGGAGTGAGGGGGCTCAGGATAGAATTTGGGATTTCCTTGTGCCCATGGAACACAGACTGGGAAAGAAAATGTCTTCTTGGCTCTTTGGTGAGAACCAGATAGACTCCACCCCAGAATATGATGCTGATGCTCCAGGGAGCCACTTACCAGAGACTGTGATGCTCTTGACTATGGAATTATTGCGGCCAGTAGCCAAGTTAGAGACAAAACAGGCATAGGTCCCGTTATTATTTGGCGTGATTTTGGCGATAAAGAGAACTTGTGTGTGTTGCTGCGGTATCCCATTGATACGCCAAGAATACTGCGGGGATGGGTTAGAGGCCGAGTGGCAGGAGAGGTTGAGGTTCGCTCCCGAAAGGTAAGACGAGTCTGGGGGGGAAATGATGGGGGTGTCCGGCCCATCTGGAACAAAGAGAACAAAGCCACAGGTGATGTCATCAGAGGAAAGGGGAAGCTCCTGATTGTAGAAGGGCCACAGTGTCCCTCTGAATCCTGTCCCAATCCTGTGTTAAAAAGTCCAAATCGGCCGGGTGCGGTGGCTCACGCCTGTAATCCCAGCACTTTGGGAGGCCGAGGCGGGCAGATCAGGAGTTCGAGACCAGCCTGACCAACATGGTGAAACCCCGTCTCTACTAAAAATACAAAAAACATTAGCTGGGCATGGCGGCACGTGTGTGTAATCCCAGTTACTCGGGAGGCTGAGGCAGGAGAATGGTGTGAACCTAGGAGGCGGAGCTTGCAGTGAGCCGAGATCACACCACTGCAGTCCAGCCTGGGCGAAAGAGCGAGACTCCGTCTCAAAAAAAAAAAAAAAAAAAAAAAAGTCCAAACCATAACCCTCATGTCCACTGAGTCTGGGTCTGAGACGTTCATCTGTTTCTCCCATCATAGGCTGTGGACTCTGAGCCTCCTAGGACAGGAGCAGCCTCTCCCCTCCTATTCTTGGTCCAGGCTGAGGTTGCCCAAATTTTCCTGGGACAGGAAGTTATGGCCAGCCTGGGTGTCCAGGGGTGGGAGTCTGCCTCTTTGGACCTGAGGAGAACTGAGAGTCCTGGCCTCTGGCTGTGTGGATTTGGGTTGGAAACCAGGGCCACAGAGGAACAGAAGATACTCACAGAGGACATCCAGGGTGACTGGGTCACTGCGGTTTGCACTCACTGAGTTCTGGATTCCACATACATAGGCTCTTGCGTCATTTCTTGTGACATTGAATAGAGTGAGGGTCCTGTTGCCATTGGACAGCTGCAGCCTGGGACTGACTGGGAGGCTCTGACCATTTACCCACCACAGGTAGGTTGTGTTCTGAGCCTCAGGTTCACAGGTGAAGGCCACAGCATCCTTGTCCTCCACGGGTTTGGAGTTGTTGCTGGAGATGGAGGGCTTGGGCAGCTCCGCTGTGCAGATAACAGAGAGAAGATTGCCCTGTGTGGCACTTTTGATTCCTCACAGGCATCTTTCAATCAGAGTTGGCAACTCCCACCCTTCAGCCCACCCGAGTCCTTAAAAGCCCATGGCAGGTGTGTGTATCACAAGACAGATGTACGATGATCTGAGGGCTCAGAGACTGTAAGGCCGGCTGCTTTGTGTGGGGGAAGCACAGACTTTCTCAAGTGTGAATTGGGCAGCAGCGTTGGGTTGTGGACAGACCCAGGACTGGGAGTCACAGCCCCCAGCACCTCCTTTGGTTCTTCCCTGATGGCTGACGGCCTGGCCAACCTGGGGACTTGTGGGTGCTGAATTCCGTTCAGCTGCACGGTCCCACACCACCCAACCGTGGGGTGTTTTCTCTGAGCCTTTTGTTTCAAGGCTATCCTGGAGATGGGTGATGACGGGGATGGGTGTTTAAGCAGAAATAGCTCAGGAGACCAGGAGCAAGTCTAGAGGTGAGTTCAGGGGTCAGGCTGTGGGCCACAGGTGGGCAGCTCTACCCAAGAGTTTGATGGGAACAGAGTTTCATTTTAGGAAGAAGAAAAGAGTTCTGTGGGTGGATGGTGATGATGGTAGCAGAATAATGGGAAAATATTTAATGCTACTAAACTGCATACATAGAAAGGTTAAAATGGTGTCTTATGTTAGATATATATAGTGGCTGGTATTCTTACCCTGTCTATAAACACACACTTTTTGGCACTGCCCCTTCCCTGCCATGTTGAGTCCCCATGGGTGAATCTCTGTGTGTCTCCAAGTGTGTGCCACTGACTGTCTTCTGTGCTGTGTCCCATGTGCTGTGCCCACAATCTCATACAGCCGGTGACTTCAGACTCCAGGACACAGCTCAGGAGTCTGCCCCGAGGCTCCCTCTCTTCTTATTTCCCTGTAGCCTGACCCTGGGAAGGCTTGGCTTCATCTGGCATCTTGACTTAGCCAGATTCAGGACAGGCCACCTGAGCACCTTCTCCACATGCCCGGATCCCACCCCAGGTGAAATCAGGGCAGGGCCAGTCACTGGGGGAGCCCGGAGCGGAGCCGGGAGCAGAGTCTGAGCTGCTCCTCCCTCATCCAAGGGGCATCCTCCTCTCATTTGGGGAAAAAGTGTGAGCTTGTTTCAAAGCCTCAGTTGTTCCTTGTAGCTCATGGATTAGGTAAAAGAACACAAAGTGGTGTCAGAAAGGGACATATTGGTGACAGAGAGGAGCAACTTGACCTTGAGGACCCTTCTTGCTTCCCCCTCTGTGAAGCCCCTTCCACTACATAGGGCTCAGGGCTGATGAAGACCCCTCCCCACATTTCTCAGGGTGGACACAAGGTCAGCCATGAGAAATCAGAAAAACAAGGGGAAGAGTGTTTGTAGAGACAAATTGGGAGTGCTCAGGATTGAATTTGGGATTGCTTGTGCCCATTGGATGCATACTAGGAAAGAAAATTTCTTCCTGGCTCTTTTCTGAAAACCAGACAGATTCCGCTCCAGAACATATTGCTAACGGTCCAGGGATCCACTTACCAGAGACTGTGATTGTCTTGACTGTAGTCCTGCTGTGGCCACTGGCTGAGTTATTGGCCTGGCAGGTATAGAGTCCGCTGTTCTTCTCAGTGATGTTGGAGATAAAGAGCTCTTGTGTGTGTTGCTGGATGTTCCCATCAATCAGCCAAGAATACTGTGCAGGTGGGTTAGAGGCTGCATGGCAGGAGAGGCTGAGGTTCACCCCTGGACGGTAATAGGTGTATGAGGGGGAAATGGTGGGGTCGTCTGGGCCATCTGGAGCAAAGAGAATAGGGCCACAGGTGAATGTCATCAGAGCAAAGGGGAAGCTCCTGGTCTGTGAAAGGGCAACAGTGTCCCCCTGAGCCAAGTCACAATCCTGAAGTCCTAACCAAACCCCTACTGTATCCAATTAGCCAGAGTCTGAGACATTCATCTGTTTCTCCCATCACTAGCTGTGGATCCCGAGTGTTACAGGACAGGAGCAGACCCTCCCCTCCTATTCTTGGTCAGGACTGGGCCTGCATGGATTTGCTGGGGGTAGGGCCAGCCTGGATGTCCAGGGGTAAAAGTCTCTGTCCTTGGGCCTGAGAGGGACTGAGAGGCCTGGACTTTGGCTATGTGGATTTGGGCTGGCAGCCTGAGCCACAGAGGAACAGAAGATACTCACAGAGGACATTCAGGATGACTGGGTCGCTGTGGTCAACACTTAATTCGTTCTGGATTCCACACTCATAGGGTCCTACATCATTCCTTGTGACACTGAGTAGAGTGAGGGTCCTGTTGTCATTGGACAGCTGCAGCCTGGGACTGACCGGGAGGCTCTGATTATTTACCCACCACAGGTAGGTTGTGTTCTGAATCTCAGGTTCACAGGTTAAGGCTACAGCATCCTCATCCTCCACGGGGTTGGAGTTGTTGCTGGTGATGAAGGGTTTGGGTGGCTCTGCTGTGCAGATAACAGAGAGAAGATTGCCCTGTGTGGCACCTGTGATTCCTCCACGGGCATCTATCAATCAGAGTTGGCATCTCCCACCTCTCAGCCCAACTGAGTCCTTAAAAGCTCATGGCAGGTGTGTGTGCGTCACAAGACAGATGCACAATGATCTGAGGGCTCAGAGACCATGAGGCTGGCTGTTTTGTGTGGGAGAAGCACAGACTTTCTCAAGTGTGAATTGGGCAGTAGCATTGGGTTGTGGACAGACACAGGGCTGGGGGTCACAGCCCCCAGCACTTCTGGTCCTTTCCTGACTGGCTGGCTGCCTGGCCCATTGGGGTCCTCACCTGGAATTTGAAGGAGCTGCGTTTCTTCCAGCTGCACAGTCCCACACCACCCAGCCAAGTTGTGTTTGCTCTGAGGCTTTGCTATTTAAGGACATCCTAGAGATAGGTGATGATGGAGATGGATGTTTGAGCAGAAATAGTGCAGGAGACTAGGAGCATGTCTAGAGGTGACAAGTCAGGGATCAGACTGTGGGCCATAGATGGGGCAGCTCTGCCCAGGAGTTTGATGGGAACAGAGTTTCATTTTGGGAGGAAGAAAAGAGTCCTGTGGGTAGATGGTGGTGATGGAAGCAGAACAAGGGGAATATATTTAATACCACTGAACTGCATGTGTAGAAAAGTTAAGATGGTAAGTTTGTGTTAGATATGTACTGTTACCATCTGTATAAACACACGATTTTTGACACTGCCATTCCCTGCCGTGCAGAGCCCCTGTGGTGAATCTCCTGATTTCTCCAAGTGTGGGTCACTTGCTGTCCCCTGTGCTGTGTCCCATGTGCTGTGCCCACAGCCTCATATAGCTGGTGACATCAGAGCCAGGACGCAGCTCAGGAGTCTGCCCTGAGGCTCCCTCTCTTTCCATTTTCCTGCAGCCTGACTGGGACGAAGGGAAGCTTTGGTGTTGATTGGCAGCTTGATTTAGCCGAATTCAGGACAGACCACCCGGGCTCCTTCTCCACACACCTCGTTCCCACCTAGGTGGAGTCAGGCAAGGCCAGTCACCCAGGGGAGCCCAGAGCAGAGCAGGGAGCAGTCTGAGCTGTGTCTCCCTCACCCAAGGGGCTTCCTTCTCTCATTTGGGAAAAAAGTATGAGCTTGTTTCAAAGCCTTGAATGTTGCTTGTAGCTCATGGAGTAGGCAAAAGAACACAAAGAGGTGACAGAAAGGGACACATTGGTGACAGAGAGAAGCAACTTGACCTTGAGAACCCTTGCTCCTTCCCGCTCTGTGAAGCTTCCTCCACTACACAGGGCTGTGGGGCTGAGGGAGCCTCCTCCCCACATTCCAAGCTGGACCTGGGGCCCGCCATGAGAAATCAGAACAAGAAGAAAAGAGTCTGTAGAGACATATTGGGGAGGTTCAGTGGGAGAATCTGGGATTTGCTTGTGCCCACTGGACACAGGCTGGGATAGAAAATGTCTTCCTGGCTCTTGTTTGAAAACCAGACAGACTCCACCTCAAAACATGATGTCAGTGCTTCGTGGATCCACTTACCATAGACTGTGATCGTCGTGACTGTGGTCCTATTGAGGCCAGTGTCTGAGTTATGGGCTTGGCACGTATAGGATCCACTATTATTCACAGTGATGTTGGGGATAAAGAGCTCTTGGGTGGATTGCTGGAAAGTCCCATTGACAAACCAAGAGTACTGTGCAGGTGGGTTAGAGGCTGCGTGGCAGGAGAGGTTCAGATTTTCCCCTGATCTGTAAGATGTGTTTAGAGGGGAAATGGTGGGGGCATCCGGGCCATCTGGAGCAAACAAAATAAAGCCACAGGTGATATTGTCAGAGGGAAGTGGAAGTTCCTGGTCTATGGAAGGACCACAGTGTCCCTCTAAGCTGAATCACAATCCTAAAGTCTCAGCCAAACCCCTCTTGTATCTACTGAGCCTGAGTCTGAGATATTCACCTGTTTCTCCCATCATAGGGTGTGGACCCTGAGCCTCCCAGGACAGAAGCAGCCCCTCCCCTCCTATTCTTGGTCAAGACTTGGTCTGCCCAGGTTTTTCTGGGGCAGAAAGTCACAGACAGTCTGGATGTCCAGGGTTGAGGGTCTGTGTACTTGAACCTGAGAGGGACTGAGAAATCCTGCCTCTGGCCCTGTGGATTTGGGCTGGCAGCCTGGGCCAGAGAGGAGCAGATATACTCACAGAGGACATTCAGGATGACTGAATCACTGCGCCTGGCACTCACTGGGTTCTGGGTTTCACATTTGTAGCTTGCTGTGTCATTTCTTGTGACATTGAATAGAGTGAGGGTCCTGTTGCCATTGGACAGCTGCAGCCTGGGACTGACCGGGAGGCTCTGATTGTTTACCCACCACAGGTAGGTTGCGTCCTGAGTCTCAGGTTCACAGGTGAAGGCCACAGCATCCTTGTCCTCCACGGGTTTGGAGTTGTTGCTGGAGATGGAGGGCTTGGGCAGCTCCGCTGTGCAGATAACAGAGAGAAGATTGCCCTGTGTGGCACCTTTGATTCCTCACAGGCATCTTTCAATCAGAGTTGGCACCTTCCACCTCTCAGCCCACCTGAGCCCTTAAAAACCCACGGTGGGTGCATGTGTCACAAGACAGATGCACGATGATCTGAGATCTCAGAGACTGCGAGGCTGCCTGCTCGGTGTGGGGGAAGCACAGACTTTCTCAAGTGTGAATTAAGCAGCAGCATTGGGCTGTGAACAGACACAGGACTGGGGGGGAGGTCACAGCTCCTGGTGCCTCTCCTGGTCCCTCCCTGACCAGTTGACTACTTGGCCCACTGTAGGGTCCTCACCTGGAACATTCAAGTGCTGGGTCCCTTCCACCTTCAGTCCTACTTTGTTTCCCTAGGTATATTTTTTCTGTGGTTTCCCTTTGCAAGGACATCCTAGAAATGGATAGTGATGGGTCTTCCCATTGTCCTTAAACCCTGTACATATTGTGCAGCCTGGCCTGGGACTGGATGTTTCAGTAGAAATAACACAGGGGACACCAGAGGCAAGCCTGGAGGTCAGCTCAGTCGTTAGGCAGTGGAGGCACAAGGTGGGGCAGTTTTTCCCAGGTGTTTGATGATGACTGACTTGAGCCAGAGACCCCTAAAGATAGAGTGGAGTCCAGGGAATGATCTAGAACTTCAGGTGACAGGCAGGAGCTGCCCGGATTTAACAGCAGAACCATATGTATGTTCTTTGTCTTTGGTCTTTGTTTGTTTGTTTGTTTTTTGAGATGGAGTCTTGCTGTGTTGGCCAGGCACGATCTCGGCTCATGGCAACCTCTGCCTCCCGGGTTCAAGCGATTCTCCTGTCTCAGCCTCCCGAGTAGCTGGGACTACAGGCGCCCACCACCACACCCAGCTAAATTTTGTATTTTTAGTAGAGATGGGGTTTCACCATATTGGTCAGGCTGGTCTTGAACTTCTGACCTCAGGTGTTCTGCCCACCTTGGCCTCCCAAAGTGCTGGGATTACAAGCATGAGCCACTGCACCCGGCCTGTCTTTGGTCTTTAATGTCCCTTCTCCCCTTGCAGAGGGCAGGCGAGGATGCTGTGGATCTCTCCATAAATACATGTGGACATTTGCAAATGCAGAACTGACTGGTGGAAAAGGGGGAGCATGAACTGCTGGAAATCTGGCCCTCAAGGACCATGTGTGTTTGACAGTTATGAGACAGAACTTTGAGAAGAAGTTTTGCAATTATTTTCTCCCATTGGACATTATGCTAAATGAAATAAGCCACTCACAGGGCAGATACTGTAGGATTCCACTTATATGAAGTCCCTAGAGTAGTCACACTTGTGGAATCAGAGAGTAGAATGGTGGTTGTCAAAGCCTGGGAACTGGGGGAATGGAGAGTTGTTCATGGGTCTGCAGTTTCAGTTATGCAGGATGAGGAGGTTCTAGGGATCTGCTGTTCAGCTTGGTGCCTATAGTTCATACAGATTGAGTATGTCTTATGTGTAAGGCTTAGGACTAAAAGTGTTTTGGATTTCTGACTGTTTTTGAGTTTTGAATATTTGCAATATACTTACCAGTTTAGCACCCCAAATCTGAAAATACGGAATCCAAAGTGCTCCAGTGAGCCTTTCTTTTTTCTTTTCTTTTCTTTCTTTTTCTTTTTTTTGAGATGGAGTCTCGCTCTGTTGCCAGGCTGGAGTGCAGTGGCACGATCTCAGCTCACTGCAACCTCCACCTCCCGGGTTCAAGCGATTCTCCTGCCTCAGCCTCCAAAGTAGCTGAGACTGTAGGTGCATGCCACCACGCCCAGCTAATTTTTGTATTTTTAGTAGAGACGGGGTTTCACCATGTTGGCCAGGATGGTCTTGATCTCTTGACTTTGTGATCTTCCCGCCTTGGCCTCCCGAAGTGCTGGGATTACAGGCATGAGCCACCGTGCCCGGCCTTCAGTGAGCATTTCTTTTGAGAATCATGTCAGTGGTCAAAAAATGTTGGATTTTGGAGCATTTCAGATTTTGGATTTTAGGATTTGGGATACTCAATCTGTAGTACTATAATTTGCCCTTAAAAATTTGTCAGGAGTTTAGATCTCATGTTATTTTCTGACTATAGTTAAAAAAGTGAAAGACATTTGGGGGAAACATTAAATTTTTTCCATAAGTGGAAATTCTTATCAATGGCCTAAAGATCTAAGATCAATTGCTGGAAGTAGTACTTCTTTTAATATTATGCTAAGGTTTAGGTCTGCTCTGAATTCCAAAGTGATCACATTATGCTCAAAGGAAGATGCTGAAAGTGGTTTGAAATCAGTGACTCCCTGAACAGAGAGAGGGATGTGAGACCTGTTAAGAGGACAGAACCGGTCAGAGAGGAACTCTTAGGTGTGTCAATTACATAAAGGGAGAAATGATGCCAAGTTAGGAGAAGCAATGTGTGTGATGTTAGTAAATTTAGAAAGCGCTCCCTGCCCCTAGTTCCTGTGCAGAGTTAGGCAAAAAGAGGAGAAGCCTCAAAACAGGCATGTGAAAGGTTTTCTTCCTCTCCTATCAACCTCAGAAAACACAACTAGAGTTTAAGTTTTTGTAACTGGGTAGAGTCTAAGTGAGACGCCAGTGGCTGGTTCACTTCTCAGTCCAAGGGACTCCACCTTATGACAATGGCATCATCATGAGGACACAGGTGTATGTGGAATGGGCAGCAAACCTATCAGACAGCACCTGCCTGGCCAGCTCCACCTGGGGGAGGTCCCAGGATCCACTGGAGGATGTGAGCCCCACACCAGGATGAAGATGGAGTGGGTAGTGAAGTGAGTGAAATAAGCATGCGGGCTTTGGGGACTGCAGACCTGTCCTTCTGCCTCTGACCCCCTGGTGAGTCAGTGTAGGGAGTGGATGGAGGAGTCGCTCATTCCCGTCCTGCTGCCTGTTCCGTGTGTTGGCCTCATGGAAGTAAAGAGCCCTGGGCAGGAACACAGCGGAAGCTCATTCTCCTGGTGACCTGTTGACATTGGCTTGTGATGGAGCCTGGCAGGGGCTCCATCTGTGCCTTCCCTATTGCCTGTGATTTCTGTGCCTTCCCTATTGCCTGGGAAGTGGGCCAGGACACAGTGTGAGCGGCAAGAAAACAGGACAGCCAGCCTTGTTCAAGGGAGTGTCTGGGGAAGGCCTAAGAGTGGAGGAAGATGTTCAGGGATGGGCATCTCAGCTGGAATGAAGAGGGAGGAAGACGAAGAACATGGAGGAATAGAAGAAAGTCAGAAATGCCCATGGCAATGAGCCATGCGGGGTATAGTGACCTCGGAGACCCCAGGACTAGGAGTCCCTTGGCTGTCCCGACCAGGACCAGGGAGCCTTGAAAACCCTCCCATGGCCAAGGAACCCCAGAGTCACATGAGATAGGGTGGCTTTCGGGACAGGGGGTCAGAGGAATGGTACATGGATCTCAGCCCCTGATGGACACGGAACAGGTGTGGTCAGAACCTCCCAGGATTCTGCATCCAGGATCCAGTCTCTATAGAGGTTATGGATCATTCCTTCACTCATTCCCCCCTTCATGAGAGAGCTACTGAGCAAGCGTGTGTCTCACTTTGGGCCTCTGTTGGCACAGGGTGTGAGTGGGGAGAGAAAGCGAAGTCCTTTCCTTTATCCTTCCGTGGGAGTGACACTGACACATCGGGAAACACAGGATTTGAGGTCATGTGAGGGGGCTGTGGATCTCAGGGAGAGGCCTGGACAATCCCGGCACTGACCCTGACTGTTGAGGTGATCTAGTTCTAGAGTAAAACTGATTATTTCTCCATTTACTTATCACTCTCCAGACCAGAATCTCCGCTTCTGAGCTGTGGATGCCCAAGACAAAAGAACGCAAGCCCATGACTGGTCTCAGATGCAGATGCCTAACAACAAACAGCCCCACCCACCCCCAGTTGAGGAGAGGAGGGGGCTGTGGCTACAGACAGACCTCA
This sequence comes from Homo sapiens, assembly GCF_000001405.40. Taxonomy (NCBI): domain Eukaryota; kingdom Metazoa; phylum Chordata; class Mammalia; order Primates; family Hominidae; genus Homo; species Homo sapiens. The sequence goes on along the minus strand of NC_000019.10, from coordinate 41,711,005 downwards.
TGTGACTTCAATCTGACACCTATGGCCTGTGTGACCCTTGTTAGTGACTGTCTCCCTGTGCCTCAATTTCCTTTCAATAAGTAGGATAAGTGCTATTTGGCTGTGAGGTTGTTTGTGAATTAACCTCAAAATATTTACAATTACTTGATCTCAGCTCTGCACAGAGGAGCTGCTCAAATGAACATCATTTATGTTTATTTGCCTCCAAGAGAGAAGGCCCTGGGCCTGATCCCTGGTGGACAAGGAGCTGCCGGGAGCATCTTCTCTCCTCTGTTCCTCTTCCTGGGGACACTGAGCTTCCCATGGAGTCACCTATGTCCCCAGGGCAATGGACTGACACCCTAATAACCTTGTCTATCTATCCTCCCCACATTGAGTCTCAAGTAAAGGACAAGGCTCTGTCCTTGTCCAAATGAGACTCTGGGGACAGGGAACAAGTGTGGCCAGAAAGTCCGATTCTGCATCCAGAATCCAGCTCCAGGAGCCACAGCCCTTGGACAGCTGCTAAGTCCTTGCTTCCAGTTAGCCTTGCCCAGGAGGCCACAACACAGCCCTGGCACAGGCTCCCCTGAGTCACCTGGAACCAGGAGCCCTGGGGCTGAGCTTCTCTGTGAATATCCCAGGGGTCCCTCAGGCCAGGCTCTGATGCAGTTCTCCAGGGTCTTTCTCAGGGTCAGGTTTACGGGGAGGGCACGGGGTGCTTGGCTGAGACTGACCTCCCCCTGCTAAGTCCCCCACATCAGACTGTCCTTCCTCTGCAGTGAGTGTCTGCAGGGTCTGGATGCCGGAAAGGAATTCTGATCTGTTGAAGTTTGTCTCTTCTGTGTGTATCCTGCACTAAATGCCCAAACCCTAACATGGTGCGTAATGCAGAGGGGGCCACAGGCACAGCCCAGGCCTGATAATCCTGTGTGTGGGAAGTAGAACTGACCCCCAACACCCAGAGGTCATGGGGGAATCACTCACGGTATACCCGGAACTGGCCAGTTGCTTCTTCATTCACAAGATCTGACTTTATGACGTGTAGGGTGTAGAATCCTGTGTCATTCTGGATGATGTTCTGGATCAGCAGGGATGCATTGGGGTATATTATCTCTCGACCACTGTATGCGGGCCCTGGGGTAGCTTGTTGAGTTCCTATTACATATCCTATAATTTGACGGTTGCCATCCACTCTTTCACCTTTGTACCAGCTGTAGCCAAAAAGATGCTGGGGCAGATTGTGGACAAGTAGAAGCACCTCCTTCCCCTCTGCGACATTGAACGGCGTGGATTCAATAGTGAGCTTGGCAGTGGTGGGCGGGTTCCAGAAGGTTAGAAGTGAGGCTAGGAGAGAGCAGAGAGCATCGGTCAATATTGGGACCTATGCATTAGGGTGGAAAAATGGGGTCCTGGGTCCTGAGCAGGTCTCTTCATCCCCCAGCCCTGGAGTGAGTGAGTGTGTGTGTGTGTGTGTGTGTGTGTGTGTCCTACTAGGTCAAGGTCAGCAGTGTGTCTCCTATTTCCTTAGCACCTCTGACCTTGGCATTTCCCTGTGTGGAATCTGCTTTTCCAGGGGTCTTCACGGCTCCCTCCCCATTGCCTTCAGGTCCTGCTCACATCAGGGCATTCTTGGGAGATCCCTTCCCTGACACCTCCTCTAGAGACCCTGGGTCTTCCTTTTCTGACCTTTCCCTGCTCTATTCCCTCCAGGGCTCTTGTCAACACCTGACCTCACATTCTAGATCTCTTTGTATGTCTGTCTTCCTCCCCATGAGAGCATGAGCTTCATGAGGGCAGGGATTTGTGTGATCTTGGTTGCACCCCAGTGCCTGGGACAGGCTGCAGATTCCTGTGGATGAGTTCATGAGGGTTCCCAGGGCCCTCCACAGCCTGGGGCTTATTTTCCAATGTCCGCGGTAGGCGGATGAGGACAGTGTTTCATGCCCTGGTTATGTTTTTATTTAAAGTGTCATCTGATGCAGTTATTATGATTTTTAAAAACGTAGTGGCCAGTGACAATTAACTAGGAAAATAGAACTCTTGAGGTTTTCCTGCCCCTTTCCAATTCCAGTTCAATTTGATTTTTCTGGTGTGACTCCTGTCCCTCTCTGATGTCCTCTTCCCTATTCAGGCTCCAACAGGAGCCCTCTGTCCGTCTCACAGCCCTGTCCTACCCAGGAGACCCCAGCTCCCTCCTCCCACCCTCTCCCAGGTTGTCCTCCCTTCACCTGTGAGCAGGAGCCTCTGCCAGGGGATGCACCATCTGTGGGGAGGGGCCGAGGGAGACTCCATGGTCTCTGCTGTCTGCTCTGTCCTCCTCTGTGGAGAAGAGCTTGAGTTCCAGGAACGTTTTGTCAAGGCTGCTGTGACTGTCTGGTCTGCTGTCCTTCCTCCCTCTGCCCTGAGTCTCTTCCTAGGGCAGGAGTACTTCTCAGCATCACGTGGGTCATGGGTGTGGTCTTTATTCAGGTGTCCTCTGTCCCCTCCCCTCTCATTTCTGCCTCTTTTGTCCCTCCTCTTTTTTCCCTTCTATTTTCAGTTCCTCAGACAAATCTTTTCGGCAAGGTGGATGGACCCCCATCCCCTGGGAGGACAACCTGTCTTCCCCAGTGCTGACCTCTGCTGTGTTCTGTCCTTGGGTCTGTCACACCAGGGGGATTATTTTCCTTTGTGACAGAGAAACCCAGCAGGGTCCCGGGTCTCCCCATGCTCTCCAGGGCTCTGGGAAGGTGGGATGATGCCCAACAGGAAGGTGACAGAGGTGGCTCTGGGGGCTAGAAAAAGGCTCACTGGGTGGTGGCTGGGGAGGGACCAGCCCTCTGTCTCCAGTACCACCAACCCCGCCACTGACCCAGGGATGGAGACCCAGGCCCAGAGGTCTCAGGAGTCCCCAGATCCTGCATGTGGAGGGGGAGGTGTCTTGTGTGTCCTGGAAAGAGAGGACTGTGGTGGAGGGAGGTGGGTGACTCTGGGCTCTGCTGTCCTTGGGGAAGGCTCCAGGGGGACCCTCCCTCTCCGTGTCTGTTGGCTGAGCTGCGGCTCAGGGCCTGTCCATGTTCTCCCTGACAGTCCTGGGTGGTCTCTGTCCTCTGCGAGGCTGACTGTCCTGTGATCACCCCACCTTCCCCATGGTGGTACCAGGAGGGAGTCTGGAGTTGCACAGGGACCCCTGGCAGAACAGGGTCCTCATAGGACCCAGAAAGGAACAGAGCAGGTATGTGGGAGAGATCAGAAGGGTCTGTTGGAGCAAGGGATGGAAACCAGGCTCCACCTCCACTTCCTTAGCAAAGCCAGGTTCCTGTCCAGGGGAATCCGTTTCCTGAGTGATGTCTGTGTGCAATGTCACCCCCTGGAGGGCAAGAGGAGACCTCCGGCCTTGTCTGGAACTGCCCTAGGGATGCTGACCAGGGTCGACGTGGTGTGAGCTGACCCTGAACTCTGGATTAGGCTGCAGGGTCAGGCCGGAGGATCTATTCCCTGCAGGCCTCTGTCCTCCCTTCTGAAGCTCTGGGGGTTGAGGCCTCATTCCTGGGGCAGCCGCGGGCACTTGCTGGCCTCCTCCCATGCTGGTGCCAGTGCCCCTGTGTCCACATGGAACAGACTCTGACTGCTGGGGGCCACACGGAGGTGATATGCTTCTTTTTAGAGATCTCCCACACATTTAACCAGTATTTATGGAGCATCTGTTCCGTGTCAGGCACTGGGCTGGGCCCTGGGATTCCACAGAGAGCAGGACAGACGTGGTCCCTGTCACAGAGTTTTCCTGTAACCGGGAGACAGGCGCTCAGTGAACTTCATGGGACTGAGGAGTTAATGGTAATGACAGGGCTGTGAGGTGACAGCATAGGGGGCGTCGGAGCCTGTGAGAGACTGAGCTGTCCTGGAGATCACAGGGAGCTGCCCTGGGAGACGCCCTTTCAGCTGAGCCCGGGGAAGGAGGGGGTGTAGGGGACAGGAGCTGCCTGCAGAGGGCAGCCGACAGGCCTCAAGTGGGCGGCCGACAAGCCTCAGGTGGGCGGCCGATAGGCTGCAGGGAGGAGCTGACAGAGTCCGTGTGAGGAGCTCGGAGGGCGAGGAGGACGTGGGCCGAGGTGACCCGGGTGAGGGTGGACCCTGCTGGGCTGTGGGCCCGGCTGAGGGAGGTCAGCAGCCCCTGGGGAGGCTCCAGGGTGGGAGGAACTCTGCCGCCCTCTGGTGGACAGGAGGGAAGTGGGGACAGCAGCGGCCCCAGACCAGGCTGTTTTACTCAACACTGATCTCTAGACATTGAACACGGGTCATGCACATGTTATGCCAAAGTGCTACCAGGTTTCAGCTCGGTGAGCCCCAGTCTCTGTGGCTACAAGTGTACTGTCCTCCCTCTTTCACAATCAGATGTCCCCAAATGCAGATTTTTGTCACCTTTTGTGACTTTGCTTTTGTCGGCAGGAGGCTGCGCTGTGCATGCTCCCAGGGGCAGTGATGTCTGGGGCTAAGCGTGTGCGGGGATCTGGGAGTAGAAGATTGTATTAGTCTGTCCTCGCATTGCTATAAAGAAATACCTGAGACTGGGTAATTTATAAAGAAAAGAGGTTTAATTCGCTCATCATTCTGCAGTTGTACAGGAAGCATAGTGGCTTCTGCTCCTGGGGAGGCCTCAGAAAACTTACAATCATTCTGGACGGTGAAGGGGAAACAGGAACGTCTTACATGGCAGAGCATGAGTAAGAGAGAGAGAGAGAGAGGGGAGAGGTGCTACACACTTTTAAACAACCAGATCATGTGAGATCTCTATCACAGAAACAGCATCAAAGCAGAAAATCCACCCGCATTATCCAATCACTTCTCACAAGGCCCCACCTCCAACATTGGGGTTTACAATTTGACATGAGATTTGGGCGGGGACATAGATCCAAATCATATTTGAGAGAGAGGGGCATGAGGAGAAGGTGAATGTTGGGGTAGCAGAGAGGAGCAGGGACAAGTCAACCTCACTTCTCACTCCCTGGGGACCAGAACAGGAGAGCCCGACTCTGGGGGCACAGCACCACACACTCTGTGTGTCCGTGCATCAGGGGAGGTGGGAGCTGCTTCTCTGTTCATGGGACCTGGCCTCACCTGCTGAGATGTCTTCACACTTAGTCCCATCCTGGGCTGCAGCCCCACAGAGCCTGTGTCCTCCTCTCCTCTCCTGCCCATTCCTGGATTTTTCTTCCTGAACCATCTTCTCCCATCTGTGGCTTCACCTGCTCCCGTTTCAGGCAGCTGCCCCTGGATCATTGCCCTGTCACCATCTCTGGGCTCACTGGCCTCTGCCATTTGTTCTGAGACTTGAGCCCTGAGCCCTGAGCCCTGTGAGGGAGGAAGAGTGAAGTGGGGTGGGCGCTGTCCAAGGTGCTGCCCTCTCTGGACAGCTTGAGTGAGGGACCCTGATGTGTCACCTGGGAGGAGGCTCCGGGAGGGAGCTGTGTCAGGGATGCCTGGATCAGGGGGATGGGGCACCTACACCAGGGTGAGCTGGACCTGTGGACTGCAGGAACCCTGCTCTGTGTCATCCATCAGCTCCTCGAGCCCCGTCTTCCTCTCTGTACCTGATTCTCTGGTGTGATCCCTGAGCCCGCGCTAGAGTCCTCCTCACAATGCCTAATGGTCAGATCTATGTGTGGAGACCTAACGGTGGGGGGGTGGGGAGGTCTCGTGTGCTCACACAGAGTGCCCTGGGGACAGGCTTTATGACCTCCCTTGTCCCAATCCCACAACAAGATCTGGACAGTGGGCCGGGTCAGATAAAGTCAGAATCCACGAGAAGGGTGTGTGTCCTGGCAGTGCTGAGGTTTGTGCCCCCAGCTTTACTCTCAGTCTGTTTGCAGATACATTTATGTTGTGCACCTGCAGTTGGCTGGGAAGCCTCATGTCCTTAAATCCTTAGTTATTCCTGTGCAGGTCATGAGGGGCCTGTACCTGGGTACAATGAGGACTATCTGATTAGGGTGGGTGTATTTTACATGGTGGGCTTTCCCTCTCCCAGTGTTTCTTGGATGTAGTCAAATACATAAGATAAAATATGCCACATTAATCATGTTAAGTGTACAATTAAATGCCGTTAATTATATTCACAATATTCTACATCCTCACCACTATATTTTTTTTTCCAGAACATTTTCATCATCTCACATAGAAACTTCATACTATTAATCATTAACTCTCCACCTTCCCCTGCCCCTAGCCCTTGGTAGCCACTGATGCTATCTTTCTCTTTTTTTTTGAGACAGAGTCTCATTCTGTCACCCAGGCTGGAGTGCAGTGGTGTGATCTCGGCTCACTGCAACCTCTGCCTCCCGGGTTCAAGCAATTCTCCTGCCTCGGCCTCCCAGAGGCACCTAGGTGACCTAACTCTTAAGAGCCTGGGGCCGGCAGGTGGGTGTCCTAGGCATAAATGGTGCCCACTGGACTGGAGGAAGGTGAGAAGCCATGGGTATTCCATGTCTTCTCCCAGCTTCCCAGCTCCTGGGTTGGTGCTGTCCTGCAGTAGGCAGTGGGTAGATGGGCATGGCTGCACGTTAGGCTGGGAAACATGTCGTCCTCTCAGACATTGTCACTGCAGAAGGAGGATTCTGTTCACAGGCCTGGTATGGGCATATGGGAGAGACCACCCTGTTCTCATCAGGGGCTTAGACACTGGTGTTCCCACTCCTGGTGCTGCCTCCTGCTTTCCCTGCCCTGGCCCTCAAGGAAGAGCGGCTCCTGGTCAAAGCTCCATCTCTCTCTCTGAGGCTTCAGCATGGTCTCATTGGTGCAGGGGTCTGGGTAAACCTCAGAGAGAGAGGCTCTGAAGAGCGGGGCACCTGCTGGGGATGCAGAAGGGTCCCCACTATGCTTAAGGGGAGTAATCCTGAGGGTCCCAAGGCTCCTCACCACTACCAGGTGCCAAGAAACTCCCAGCAAATTGGGGCTGCCTTGTGGCGAAGCACCTCCAAGCCTCGCTGCCTGCCATGTGCAGTGATTGGTGGATCCCAGTTAGGGGCATCTTGGCAGGTGGTCACAGATTCAGGGCTGGACTTGGTGCTCACAGTCCATATGTGTTGTAGACCCCAGGCAGGGTTCTGTGGCATGGTTTTGGATGTTCACAGGTATCTGCCCTGGAGAAGTGGGCAGTAATTTGACTTCCAGAAGTTCTTGACATCTGCAGATCCGGGCGACAGCCAAGTGTTCAAGGTTCCAGTGACCACTGGTGTGAGGGCACAAGGTAAGCATCAGGCCACCAGTGAGGCTCACCACCCTCCAGGCTGGTGCCCCTGGGAACAGGAGCGACATTCTAGGAACACAGCTTTATCGAGCAAGGTTAAGCTCCCTAGCCCCCTATTTTGACCAGGGAAGCTCAGGCCTCTGCTCTTCGTGGGGCTGGTTGCAGGCAGCTGACTTTGGGGAGGGGGCCCAGGAGCTGCCTTTAGTTTTGCATTTAAGATTTAAAGGGAGAAAAGACAATACATTCTGCCAGGGAACAAAAATTACAGGCAGCATATTGACTGAAGGGCACTCCTGTCATCACTGCAACACACATGGAATGCTTTTTCTAAGAAAAAAATATCTGATTTAGCTTTACCAGCAACTGTGATGCATGTTTTATTATTCTAGTTTACTGTTAGTGTAACTTTTGTAGTTTTAGCACTGGTAATAATTTTATATGGGCTCTCTTAGGATTTTAGACTCTCATTCATTCACATAAAGGTCTTCTTCTCTCTGAATAGTAATGCGATTTCCCTTTTTCTATTTCCTCTGCATATTCCTGTGTAGAGAGCATACAGTATACACCCTCAAGAGGTGGAAAGCATCTGACTAACAGAAAAAGGGTCCAAATGCTGCTGGTAATGGTGATGGGGACACAGGTGGAGGTAATTCAAAGAGGTGTGAGAAAACTTATCTTGAGAACCTTCTCCTCAAAAATCACATGGAGAAGGCACCTCTTAGGCCTGTCACATTGTTGAAATGGACAAGGGACAGAAATAGAGGTCATTAATTCGAGGATCAAATCCAAGAGTGGGCAACTGATTCTTCCCAGTGTCTAAGAGGTGGATGGGTGAATGGTGAGAATATTAAAAACACCCTTCCTCTCTTCCTCCTAATGAAGGAGCACCCAAAGCTCTCAGGAATCAGAGAGGGCCCAGGGCTGGGGAAGCAGGGCACTGTCACCACACAGGGGTTGGGAGTGAGACACCAACACTATCCAGTCAGTGATAACATTTACTTAGGGGGATAGATTCTTCTTTAAGGAATGATCTAAAAGTATATGAATTTGAACATAAAGAGAAAAAAGAGCATAAAGCACTTCTAGCCTAGATTTTTCCTCTTAATAAAACATGTTTTCTAATGACAGATGTGGCTATGTTCATGGCTGAGATGTCTCCTAGATGGTGAGAGCCTCAAAGTGGACTGTCCACTGCCTTAGGCTGTGGGCTCACGTCATACATTTCCCTTCCCAAAGTCTACAGAATTCCCCACATTCCACTTTGTAATGTAACCCAGTGAGTGTCATTCCAGTTGTGGTTACAGGCCCTTGGAAAACCCACTCTGCTCCTGCTGTGAGGTACAGGCAGCCATGTGGCATCAACTCTAAACACTCTAAATGTATCTTCTCCTGGGACATCAAACTGCTGATTAAGTAAAACTCTTTTGGAAAGATTTTGAAGTCTGCAGTTTCTACCCCTCTCACACTTGTGATTCTTCTCCCAAGAGGTGAAGGATTTCGCTGATGAGTCACTTTTAGAGACTGACGTAGATCAGTGATTCTGCCAGAAGCAATTTTGCTCTCCAGGGGACATTTGGAAAGTCTGGAGACATTGTTGGTTGTTAGAGCTTGGGGAGGGAGTCCTGCTGGCATTTAGTGGGTAGAGTCCCCAGATGGTGCTGAACACCCTACAACTTACAGAACCCCACTAGCACGACCACCCCAAATGTCAATGCTGAGGAGTGGAGAGCTCTGCTGTACCCTCCCCCGGCCTCCCTGGGGCTTCCCCTTACCTGCTCCTCCCATCTCTCCCGACCACTCCCCTACTTCAGCCCCCTCTTTGCACCTCAGTCCTCTCCATCTGAGCCTTAGTCCAAGGCCAGCCCTGATCTCTCAACTCTCCTGGCCCCTTTTTGCTCATTAACAGGAGGCGCCCACTAGAGGACGCCATCGCCCTTCCTGGAGCTCATGTCCTCCCTTTCCTTCCTGAGACAAATGTGGCTGCTTTTACTGCCACAATCCCAGCCCTCTGCACTCTAGATTTGCTCAGGGGGCAGCTCCTGGACAGGCATCAGGGACTCAAGGGAGGACCCTCAATCTGGAGATTTTGGTGGCATGGACTGGAGACCTGGAGCCACCCCAGGGGTCACGTCATTGGGGAAGGGCTGGGTTCAGTCGCGGGAGCTACACACTCAGGGTCCAGATGCCCCTGCTCTGTGTGGGCACTGGGGACATGGCCGTGCACCTGTGTCCCTAAAGGTTCTCTCACTCAGGATCTGTGTCCAAGGGCCTTAGCTGGGCTGCTGTGGAACCGTCCACACTGGGCCTTTCCCAGTGGGGGTTGAGTCCTCCCTGGGATTTCAAGAAGGGCCCTCAGCTGAAAGAATCAGGAGGGATGTGGCAGCCTCCAGGGTGCAGGTTCCCCTCAGGGACAGAGGGGACCAGTGGCCTCCAGGCCAATCCATCACCCCCAGAGTCAGTCCCCTGGGCATGGGGGGACGTGTGATCCTCCTGACCGCACCTCCATAGGACCCTGTTGCTGGGTGGTCTGTGGGAACGTGACCTCCACTCCTTGCAATGCAGAACAGGGACCCCAGAGGCCCTTTTGTGTGGAATGAGACAGGAAAGATGCACGTTAGGGCAGGAGTTGTGTCCCTAGAGGCGGGGGCTGTGAGAGGATGGGCAGCGGGGAGGTACACAGACCGTCCAGTGCTGCAGGCTACATCGGGGTGGGAGCATTTCCTTAGAGCACTCAGGCTTGTCCAGAACATTCCAGAACTTCCCACTTCAGTGCTTCTTTTCCCACTGAGGCTCCTCAGGTCTGTCCCTGAACTCTCAGCTGAGCCTCCCGACCCGTCTGAAGCCCTGAGCCCTGTGTCACCCTCTGTCCGCGTCATCTTGTGCAGCTCTGTGGGATGCCCAGCTCTCTTGACACCCCTAGTCTTCAGAATGGAGGCCAAGTCCTGCCTTCCTGTCAATCATGGGGCCAGCTCTAGGATCCCTTGTCCTGACCATCAGTCACCCCCAGGAGGGGCGGCAGTTGAGCCAAGAGGAGGAGCAAGGACAGATGTCAGCCACCCTGTGCACCTGCAAGTCAGACTGGGGGCATGGGAGGACCCCAGGAGTGACTGAACTTCCTGATTTAAAGGGTGCTAGCTTGTGCTTAGGGAATTTGAGATAGTAGAAAAAGTAGGGTTATTTCCTATTTTGTAGGCACAGTAGTTTAAGTTTGGAATCACAGATGCCCCTTGGATGTCACGGTCAACCTCCGTCCCACCCAATGGGGCACGAAATTTGGAATCCACACCCTGGCCCAGGGCAGTCATGGGGGCTCCTGTGTCTGTGCAGCTGCTGCAGGAAGATGTGCTCTCTGTTGGGAACAGTGCTCCTGCCTCCCTGGAGGGCAGTACCCAGCTCCCTGCAGCCCCCTCCCTGGAGGGCAGTACCCAGCTCCCTGCAGCCCCCTCCCTGGAGGGCAGTACCCAGCTCCCTGCAGCCCCCTCCCTGGAGGGCAGTACCCAGCTCCCTGCAGCCCCCTCCCTGGAGGGCAGTACCCAGCTCCCTGCAGCCCCCTCCCTGGAGGCCCCACCCTCTCTAAGTCTCTCCCCTGCCTAGCCCCATCTCAGCCCTCACAGGGTCTCTGAGCTGATGGGGCCCAGGGCACTGCATGGGTCATTCACGCTGTTTGCTCTGCCTGTGAAGCCTGCCTGGTGCTGTCCAGGATCCTGCACTTTCCCTGTGTGTGTGTGTGTGTGTGTGTGTGTGTGTGTTTGTGTGTGTGATGGGCCTACACACAGGTGAGCTCTCATGGTGAGGGAATTTGACTCATTTAACAAACGTTTATTTAAATGCAGGGGTCATGGAGCAGGGCTTCTACTTATGATAGACGATGGTTTGTGCTGTAGGTTGGACCACCCTTCCTAACTGCTCATGGCCTCTCTTTGCACTGACCTTGGGTTCCATCACTAAAGGGGATGCTGTTTCCTTCCTTCCACATTGGTCCTGGGCTTGGTCATGTGACTTACCGAGGCTGATGCATGCAGGGGAGTGGCCTGGGTCAGTCGCAGCCATGCCATGGGGGCCTGGCATGGTGTCCCACTCTCTCCTGATCTGCCACGAGAGCAGGGTCCCGTGGTGGCCCCTTCATCTCGGGTGCATTCAGCGATCCTGTCGTGTCAGGGTCCCCTCAGAGTCACCCTAGGAAAGGCCTAGAGTGCTGGCTCCTCCCATGCGGGCTCTGAGGTTGGAGCCCGGAGCCTGGTTGCCCCCATCCAGGGAGCTGCCTTCCCTTAGGCCTGGGTGTCCTCAGGAAGCTCTGACCCCAGCAGCTCTGCTCTCCAGCCCCCATGGCTCTGGCGTCAGCTCCTGCCATGTGTGGGCATCAGAGGGCTCTGCCCTGTCCTCATGCTCTCCCCATGGGGTGGCCAAAGGAGAGCCTCTGCGGGAGGTTGAGGCCCACGGGTTGGAGCCTGTGTGGCCATCGCAGGCAGCCTTGCCTGGGGCTGATTAAAGGGGAGGTTACAGTGATTCACTGGGAAGACGGGTGCTTGCTGGAGCTGTGTGGACATGTTTACCGGGTGACGGAGGTCCCTCTTTTTATTGTCATTGGCGTCTGCACTGTCTCCATCATGATGATATGATGTGGAATTTTAGGAAGGCCAAATTGCTTCTGTTCTGCTAGTTGTAATTTTTTTCTAGCTAATCTGTCTATGTAGTAAAGGCAATGATTGATTTTCAGGTGTTAAAATCACCTTGCATACCTGGGGAATGAACTCAATGCAGTAAATCTTAGCTCCTTCTGGTAATGTTTTATTTGTGGATTTTCCCTCTCTGCACCCAAGTAGGGCCTGCAGTTTTACTTCCTCATTGTGTCCTGGTCTCCTTTTGACATGAAGGTTTTATTGCCACAAAAGTGAGTTAATGAGTATTTGTGTTTCCTGTTCTCTGGCAGAGTTGTGTAAGTTTGATAAGAGCTGGTGTTTGTTTTGTGGATCTTTTTTTGTTAACCCAAAGAGATTTTATACTTTCTTTTCTTTTTCTTTCTTTCTTTTTTTTTTTTTTTTTTTTTTTTTTTTTTTTTACAGAGTCTGGCTCTGTTGCCCAAGCTGGAGTGCAGTGGCACAATCTTGGCTCACTGCAACCTCTGCTTCCTGGGTCCAAGCAATTGTCCAGCCTCAGCCTCCCGAGTAGCTGGGATTACAGGCGCGCACCACCATGCCCAGCTAATTTTTGTATTTTTAGTAGAGCCGGGGTTTCACCATATTGGCCAGGGTGGTCTTGAACTCCTGACCTCAAGTAATCTGCCCACCTCAGCCTTCTAAAGTGCTGGGATTACAGGCGTGAGCCACCGCGCCCGGCTGATTTTATTCTTCTTTTCCGGTGAAGTAAAATGAACACAGCAGTAATGTCTGCATTCCTATGTGCTCATGAAAGCCCTGCCCAGATTAAGATACGGCACATTGCCTGCACTAAGTGACACTCCCGTGACCCTCACAGCCATTGCAAGGCACAGGTCACCTCCATTCTGATCTCTAGCAGCAGAATTGGGTTTTCCTCTTGGAAACTTTATAGAGGTGGAATTAGTGATCATTTTCTATTCTGCGATTGACTCCTTTCTTTCAACTCTATGTGTGAGATCATCCATGTTCTGTGCAGCAGCAATCCCTTCCTTTCTCATGTTCCAAAATATCCCTCAGTTTGAATGCACCACAGTTTTATCCCCTGCACTGTTGCACATTTGGACTGTGACACTTTTTGATTCTTCTGAACCATGCTGGAATTTGACACAGATTCTCCTGCCCGATAGCTGAACACATCTAAATTTCCACAAGTAACATCTCCATGTCCACTTGTTCCAACTCTTGATGTTGTCAATCCATTGGGTTTTAAGCTTTCTCATGTGGATGGATGAAGATTTGATGATGAGATTTGAAACACCTATTTGTTGGTTGAGATTTGGGAAGGAGGAAGAGGTCAGAGGAGGGGCAGGAGCTGCTTTCATCTCTGGACAGAAGGATCCTTGCTGTGCCTCACAGAGCAGAGACCCTTAAGGTCCCGAGTTCTCAAGGACAGGCACGTGCTGCCCCCGCCTGCCCCGGGCACAGCCCTGAGGCCCGGTCTCCTAGGAAGAGAGAACTGGCTTCCCCTGGGTACAGACTGTCCCCACATGTATTGTACCTGCAGGGTCTGGGGCTGGGGTTTTGTTGTGGTTTCAGGGTGACTGGGACAGACGCAGAAGTCACTGTGGCCACCCAGGGTCGACCCTCTCAGTGGCAAAGGGAGGAGCTGGGGCCCTTTCCTCATTGCCTAGTCCTGGAGACCAGGGATGTTTCCTGATGTGCCTTTCAGACTCTGATGAGAGTGTCCCCAGAGACTCAGCTTCTCCCAACACCTCTCAGGGGACAGGTCCAGGCCAGGGCTGTCCAGGGCATCTGGAGAAAGACCCAGAGTGGCTGGAGCAGAGAGGGTAGTGGATGGGCAGAACCAGCAGCATCTGGCTGGGCAAAGGCGCCCCTTCATGGGCAGTGTCCCCAGGTTGTGACTATGGGAGGGAACTTGGCAGAGCCCAGGGAATCCCACGTGCCCACTCCCACAGACCCCCCATTGCTATCACCCTCCCTGATGGGGCAGCCTTTCCTGACATCCATCTCCCCATCTGGGCTCCCATGCCTCCTCAGACCAGGTCCTGCCTGCCCTCAGGTTTCTCTCTTTGGTGCCCCCAGCACATGCCATGACCCCTCCTAGCAACACAAGCTCCTGGCTTTACATGGACTCCCCAGAACCCACCAGGTAGATGTGGTCGGCTTCCGGATGTTCCTTCAAGGAATCCTGAGGGACAAAGGGAGAGCCCAGCCCAGGAGGACCCTGCATGCCCATTCATCAGTCACCTGCCTGGGTGGGGACACTGGGGTCCTCCTATCCTGGGGATCCCCTGTCCTGCTCCTTCTCCATCTGAACCCCGGCCATCTGGTTCTATGGGGCATGGAATCCCCCACCCCATATACAGAGCAGGAAGCCACGTGCTCCCACTCTTGTTCATGGGACCTGGCCTTACTTGCTGAGATGGCTTCACACTCATAGTCCAACCCTGGGCTGCAGCCCCACAGAGCCTGTGTCCTCCTTTCCTGCCCATTTCTGGGTTTCCCTTCCTGCATCACCTTCTCCCTGTGGCCCCGCCAGCTCCTGCTCCAGGCATCTGCCCCTGGGTCACTGCCTGTCACCATCTCTGGGCTCACTGGCCTCTGCCATTTATTCTTTGCCCTGAACCCTGTGAAGGAGGAAGGGTGAAGCTGAGATGGGCGCTGTCCAAGGTTCTGTCCTTTCTGGACTGCTTGACAGTGAGGGACCCTGATATGTCACCAGAGAGGAGGTGTGTGTCAGGAGTGCCCAGATCATAGGGGGCAGAAAAGGCTCCCGGGACAAGGGAGAAATCCATGATGGGGGAGAATCAGCGTCCTATTTTGGGAAGAATGAGAGCAGAGAGGTCATTGTCATGGGATTGAAACTGGCCTGTTTGGGAAATTGGGCTGTTATCTCCCCTGATGGCTCTAAGGTTAGGTAGCACCTCAGTTTCCCTTTGGTGACCTGTGACGTTGGGGAAGGACTGCATTGTGCTGTTGGTCTGGTCTGTTGGGGCCTGGAGCAGGAGCTCAGCCACTGCCATGGCCTCCTCTGACTGCTGTTTAGCAAAGCTCTCAGGCAGGGCTGATGGCGCTGTCCTGGGGAGGCCCTTTCAGTAGCAAGGCTGGTGCACCCCTGTCCCCTGGGTGGATGACCCACCCTCCCTAGGGCTGACCTCTGCTATCTCCTGGCCTCAGGTCTGTCAGCTCCACATACAGAGCCCTGGGAATCCGAACCTGGGGGATTATTTTCTTTGTGATGCAGAAACCCAGCTAGCCAGGTCTCCCCATGCTCTTTAGTGCTTGTGAAGGTGGGATGATGCCCAGCAGGAAGGTGACAGAGGTGGCTCTGGGGGCTGGATAGGAGCTCACTGTTTACTGAATCCACCCACCCAGCAAGGGGGTATTTGCAGGCTCAGGATCTGAGGGGTGGTCCTGGACATGGTCACAAAGTGGAGAGTGGAAGGGCCTGGACAGGCTGGGTGAGATCAGCACCTACCATGGCTGATGCAGTAACTACAGTCCCTGAGGTGTGAGACAGAGAACCTGGACCTCCCAGGAAGCCATGTCCTGGAATGTCCTTTATGTCTCTTGCCAAATGGTGGGGAGAGAGGACAAGGCCATTGTCCTATTTCAGCATGTCCAGGCCTGAGTAGAGAGTCTGGCCATGGCAGGGACACTGAATTCAGGGAGAATCTAAGACACATATGCCCCACCAGTGTCCTGCACATGCAGCCGGCCCTGCTTTCCCTCGGGGCCTTGATCCTTCCTCTCAGGCAAACCCTGGTGGTCTGACTCCTTTCTTGGGTCCTCGGTCCCTTTCCTGGGTCAACATTCTCCTGGTTCAGCATCTGATGGTTTTTCCCCTCTGGCCAGGACAGATGTGACTTCTTCAGACCTTTCCTCAGCTTCTGTCTCCTGGACCCTCCTTACCCTAGAAGTAATGGGTCCTGGGTTATCAGGGTATTGGGTGGATGCAGCCGGGCCAGGGACTGGGGTGCTGTGTCCAGGGTGGGAGGCTGAGATCAGGAAGCAGAGCTGGTCATTGCTGAGGGAAAATGACCAAAGGTAGATGCAGGGAAGTAAATCCTGGATGGTCAGAGACAAGAACCTTCCAGGCTGGGTCTCGATGACCCTTCCTCCCTGTCCCCTGACGTCCTTTCTCCCCTGCCCAGGCCCCGTTGGCCCAGCCCCAGGGAAGCCATTCCCATCTAGGAGGTCAGTATGGGTGATGAATGTTCTGGCCCTGCAGGACCCAGGAGGACCCATGATCTTTCCCACCTGCTGTCCTCACATGGCCCCGGGGATGAAGGCCATGCACAGACCCTAGCCTGTGTCCTTCTGTGAAGGTACAGAAAATGGGGCCATCTGATATCAACAGAAAGGTGAGCAATGAAGGAGCATCCATGGGTGGTGCAGATCATGGGTGTGGTTTTCACTCAGTCCCCAGTGTCTCGAGCCTTCCTGCCCTCTTCACCTAGGCCCTCGTGGGATTGTCATCACTGGCCTCCACAAATAAACGTCTTTCCCCAAATCCAGAGTCCTGGTTGCTTAGTCTTGCTAACCAAGGAGTGAGAAGAAGGCAGATCCCAAATGCATTCTCCTGGATTGGGAACATGAGCAACCCCCTTCTCCTTCCCATGCAAAACATTTGATGCAGGGGTGGTTCCTTCACTTCTTGCCTCGTCATATCTCTGGGCATTTGGTGCACCTGCTCACCTGGATTTGGACTTTGGGTTGCCCCTCTGTTTCTGTTCAGAGAACCTGGGGCAGTGATAGTTTGCCTGCTCCTCTCCCAGGTATATTTTTAGGCATTTGACAGCTGTCCCCCCAGACCATGGTTGGATCTGGTGTTTGTACCTTCCTTACCCTAGAAGTAATGGGTCCTGGGTCCAATGGTTCTCAGGCCACTGGGAGCCCTGAGGGTAGGCTTGCCTGGTTTGGCTCCACCCAGCTTCACCCTTCACTTCTGGGGCTGAGTATGGAGCCCAGGTCACTTGGGTTAGACAGACCAGCTCACTGTCTAAAGCACTAAAAAGCTTCTTCTGGTAAACAAAGCATAAGCCCCACTGCTATCACTGCAGTACTGCAGTTGGCTCTCTCTCTCTCTCTTTTTTTTGTGAGATGGAGTTTCACTTTTGTTGCCCAGGCTGGAGTGCAATGGTGTGATCTCAGCTCATTGCAACCTCTGTCTCCTGGGTTCAAGCAATTCTCCTGTTTCAGCCTCCCGAGTAGCTGGGATCACAGGCACGGACCACCACATCTGGCTAATTTTTGTATTTTTAGTAGAGATGGGGTTTCACCATGTTGGCCAGGCTGGCCTCGAACCTGACCTCAGGTGATCTGCTCACCTTGGCCTCCCAAAGTGTTGGGATTACAGGTGTGAACCACTGAGCCTGGCCTGCAGCTGGCTCTTTACCTTCAAATGACACCTAATGGCTTGGAGGCTGATCTTCTAAACCCAGTGCAAAACTTGACAATCAAGTGCATGGAACTTGGGAACAAGATAAGTTTCTTTTATTATTATTATTATTATTATTAATTTTTTTAAAGATAAGGTTCTTGAGATCTCTGCCACTCTAGTTCTGCAGGAGGCCATGAGTTTGCTCACATACCTGACGCACTGCTACAGTCACTGGCATTTGAAAAAGCCACCACACTAAGGCTATCTATAACCAAAGAATTCATATAGAGTGTCTGCCATTGAAAGCACCCAGAAGGAAAGCCAATTGACCCTACTCAACATGCAATATAATTGCAATTTCAAGAAAAAAGTTCCATCAAAAGTAAATTCAAAAATAAAAAGAAGTGACAGTTTCTACAAATGAGAAGGAACCAGTGTAACAATTCTGGAAGCATAAAAAAATAGGATAACACCCCAAAAAGATCACACTAACTATCCAGCAATAGATTCTAATGAAAATAAAATCTTTAAGATACCAGATAAAGGATTCAAAATATTGATTTTCTAGAAGCTCCATTAGATCCAAGATAAATATGAAAACTAATGCAAAGAAATCAGAAAATCAATTCAGGATATGAATGAGAAATTTACCAGAAAGATAGATATTAAACAAACAAACAAATGGAACTTCTGAAAATAAAAAAAAAATTGAAGGAATTACAAAATGCAGTTGAAAGCTTTAACAACAGACCAGATCAAGCAGAAGAAAGAATCTCAGAACTTGAAGACAGGTCTTTATAATTAATCCAGTCAGAGAAAAATAAAGAAAAAACATTTACAAAGGAACAAAACCTTTGAGAGGCATGGGGCTAAGTAAAACATCCAAACCTAGGAATTATAGGTATTTCTGAGGGAGAAGAAAAACTGTAAAGTTTGGTCAACCTATTTGAGGAAATTATTGAGGAAAACTTAGCTAGTCTAGCAAGACATCTAGGCATTCAGATAGAAAAGGCTTAAATAGAACCAGGCAGATACATTGCAAGAAGGACCTCACCGCAACTATAGTTATCAGGCTGTCTAAGGTCAACATGAAGGAAAAAATCCTAAAATCAGCAAGAGAAAAGTGTTTAATCTCCTATAAAGGAAACCCCATCAGACTAGCAGTAGACTTCTCTGCAGAATCCCTACAAGCCAGAAGGGATTGAGAATCTATTTTCAAAGTACTTAAAGAAAAAAACAACAATAAACATCAACTTTGAATTTTTTATCCTGCAAGAATAAGCTTCAAAATGGAGAAATAAAGTCTTTCCCAGAAGCAAATTCTGAGGGAATTTAAGAAATGCTCGAAGGAGTTCCAAACAGAAAAGAAAAGTCCATAAACTAAAAAAAGAAACAAGCTACAAAGTAACTAGCTGACAATTATCATTATGACAGGAAGAAAACCTCACATGTCAATATGAACCTTAAATGTAAATGGATTAAATGCTCCACTTAAAAGATACAGATTGGTGAAACAGATTAAAAATATGAAACAGATAAAAAAACATGATCCAAGCATATGCTGCTTGCAAGAAACTCTACTTATTCATAAAGATACTAACACACTGAAGGTATATACAGATATATTTATATCTGTCTCTGAGGAGGGGTCTGGGGAGGCCTGAGGGGTGACTGGTGCTCCTGACACTGAAACCTGATGTCTCTGCTAAAAATCTCTGGGTGGGTCTGTAAGGGCCCATCACGTTTCTTCATATGAGGAGGCCCAAGAATTCTGCTGAGGGAGAGGAGGGCGAACTCCCCAGAGAGAGAGAGGAAGGGAGGAGGAGGAGGCACAGAGCCCCAGCCCCACCCCTGGATTCTGATTTCATCAGGCTCTGCTCCCTTGTTCTGAGGACTTTTGGGGTCAAGTGGAGCCTTATCCACCCAGACACCCTGGCTCTTGTGAGGATACACGGACACGAATCCTCCCTTCTACCCACACATGCTCCAGCCGGCCCTCAAGTGTGAATACTGTGTGGGATCCCTCTAAGTGCACACAGAACTTGACCTGACATAAGACCACAATCTAATTTTGATGATTCGCTGGGGGTAGAGTAGAGAAGAGCTTGCGTGAGAGATATCTAGAATTTAAAGCGTCAAGCAAACGTGATCAATGCTTAATGATCACGTTGAGTTAAACCTATCCTGATTTTTCCGTCTACACTTTCCTCATTGTCCCCCAGAGGGCAGCAGAGTCCCTCCCGGCCTGGCACCTCCCCAGCGTCCGCTGACGTCCTTCAGCTGGACTAGAGTCCCCCAGGGTATACCCTCACCAGGATCACCTCGACCCACCTCCTCCTCGCCCTCCAAGCTCCCCAGACGCACTCTGTCAGCTCCTCCTTGCAGTCCAGTGGCCGTCCACCAAGTCACAACTTCTGCGGGCAGCTCCTGCCCCCACATCGCCTCCTCCCTGGGGCTCAGCCGAAAGGCATCTCCTAGGGCAGCTCCCTGTGATCCTCAGAGCACATTCACAGCCCTTCTCTCATTAGCATTAGCTCTTCAGTCCCATGATGTTCACTGAGCACCTGTCTCCCTGTTACAGGGAAACTCCATGAGCACAGGGGCCACGTCTGTCCTGCTTTTTGTGGAATCCCAGGGCCCAGTCCAGTGTCTGACATACAACAGATGCTCAACAAATACTGGTTAAATGCGTGGGCGGTCACACAACAGAAGCACATCACCTCTGTGTGACCCCCGGAGTCAGGGTCTGTTCTTTGTGGACACAGAGGCACTGGTGCCAGCATGGGAGGAGGCCAACAAGTGCCCAAGGCTGCCCCAGGGACAGGGCCTGAACCCTCAGAGCTTCAAGAGGGAGGACAGGGCCTTCTAAGAGAGGGGGGTCAGAATCTGACTCATCCCAGAACAGTGACACCCCTTCCCCGTCTCTGACTTGTGAGTCATGTCACGACTCCCAGGGGGCCTGGGCCAGCAGCCTATGTCCTTCCTCTTCTCACAAAGACACCTGACCTGCTGCAGACTCTGGATCCTCCATCCCAGATGGAGTGACCACCAGGGGACCTGATCACAAGGAAGTTGGGTGATGACACCCCACCCCCGAGGGTCCCTGGAGATGGGGGCTCCTGGCTGTGGTCTCTGGAGACCTCTAACCAGCCCAAGGAGACCTGGGGACCCAGGGGAACTTCCCCTGCAGGAGGACAGGATAACCCAGGATCTGCCTTTGTTTCCATCTCAGAGAGGCTAAGGGTCATAGGGCCTCCCCCTCCCATAACAGAGGAACCAGGAAACCCCTGCCTGAGTATCCAGGTGGGAAATGCCCCAGCTCCTGGGTCCTGCCAGGAGGCCTGGAGCAGACGACAGACAGGGACACAGATGACCTGGAGGCAGCACCCCCAGTGCTGTGATGGAGGAACACAGGGCTCTCTGGGGACCACCTCCTAGGCTGGTGTCCTCTCTCTGAAGCCCCCAGAGACACCTCTCTGGGTCCTACCTTTGAAACCTTGGGGACAGGTGGCTCCTTCTGAGGCAGCCTATCCCCCTGGTGGACAGTTCTCCAAATCTTGATTTGCTGTTCTCTGGACAACTCCTGTCCTCTCCTTGAGCTCATCCTGCACTGCATGGAGTTGGGCAGCCTGGGACTCTCCATGAGCAGGACCTGGGGTGACCTGATCCTGTAGCTTGGAGGTCACACCATGTGGACCCTCGTCAACATCCCTGGAACAGCCCCTGACTTTGACCACAGATCTCTTGCCTTCCAGGGGTGCACATCGCACACAGAGAACACTCAGGAAATTGCAGTTGATTCTCGAATAAGGCAGGGGTTAAGGGTGCTGAGGACCCCGTAGAAAATCTTTGTATAACTTTTGGCTTCCCAACAATTGAACCACTAAAACCCTACTCTTGACCAGAAGCCTTATTGTTAACATAAACGGTAAATCAATGTATTTTGCATGTTTATTTATATTATATACTGTACTCTTACAATAACATAAGCTGGGGAAAATAAAATGTTACTATGAAAATCATAAGGAAGATAAAACATATTTACTATTCATTAAGTGACAGTGGATCATCATAAAGGCTTTTATCCTTTTTTTGTCTCCAGGTTAAGTAGGCTGAGGAGGAGGAAAGGAGAGGGTGGTCTTGCTGTCTCAGAGATGGCAGAGGTAGAAGAGGTGGAGGGGAGGCAAGAGGAGGGGACACACTCAGTGCAACTTTTAATTTAAAACATCTGCATGTGGCTGGGCATGGCAGCTCATGCTTGTAATCTCAGCACTTTGGGAGGCTGAGGTGGGTGGATCATTTGAAGTCAGGAGTCTGAGACCAGCCTGGCCAACATGGTGAAACCCCGCCTCTACTAAAAATACAAAAATTAACCAGGCGTGGTGGCGGGTGCCTATAGTCCCAGCTACTTGGGAGGCTGAGGCAGGAGAATCACTTGAACCCGGGAGGTGGAGGTTGTAGTGAGCTGAGATCGTGCCACTGCACTCTAGCATGGGCAACAGAGTGAGACTCTGTCTCAGGAAAAAAAAAAAAGCAAAAAACAAACAAACAAAAAACAAAAAACAAAAATCAAACAAACAAACAAACAAACAAAAAAACATCGACATGTAAGTGGACCTGTGTGTTCAAATCTGTGTGTTCGAAGGTCAGCTGTAATTCCCCTGGACATGAACTTGGCCTTGCTAAGGTGGTGAAGGTGGAGCCTGGTTTCCATTCCTTGCTCCAACAGACCCTTCTTGTCTTTCACGCGTTCCTGCTGTGTCCCACCTCTTCCTTCCTGGGGCCTTTGAAGACCCCGCTCTGCCAGGGGTTTCTGTGCAGCTCCCCATTCCCTCCTGGCACCACCCATGGGGAAGGCGGGGTGACCACAGGACTGTCAGCCAGACAGAGGCTTCCAGGTCAGGTAGAACATGGAAAGGACCTGAGCCACAGCACATCCAAAAGACAGGGAGAGGGAGGGTTTCCTTGAAGCCTTCCCCAAGGACAGCAGAGCTCAGAGCCACACACCTCCCTCCACCACAGCTCTCTTCCCAGGACACACCAGACACCTCCCTCCACACCCAGGAGCTGTAGCTCCTCCTGAGACCCCTGGGCCTTGGTTTCTGTGCCTGGGTCACTGGAGACAGAGGGCTGGTCCCTCCCCAGTCATCCCCCAGTGAGCCCCTTTCTATCCCCCAGAGCCACCTCTGTCACCTTCCTGCTGGGCATCATCCCAGCAGAAACCCAAGGCCCAGCTGGGTTTCTCTGTCACAAGGGAAATAATCCCCCTGGTGTGACAGACCCAAGGCCAGAACACAGCATAGGTCAGCACTGGGAAAGGTTGGTTGTCCTCCCAGGGGACAGGGGTCCATCAGCCTTGCTACTCAAAGCTTTGTATCGGGAACTGAATATAGACAAAAGGGAAAGAGGAAGAGGGACAAAAGAGGCAGGAATGAGAGGGGAGGGGACAGAGGACTCCTGAGCAGAGACCCCACCCCTGGACCATGTGATCTTGGAAAGTGCTCCTGCCCTGGGAGGAGGCTCAGCACAGAGGTAGGAAGGACAGCAGAGCTGACAGTCACAGCAGCCCTGACAAGAGAGTTCCTGGAGCCCAAGCTCTTCTCCACAGAGGACAAGCAGGCAGCAGAGACCATGGGGTCCCCTTCAGCCTGTCCATACAGAGTGTGCATTCCCTGGCAGGGGCTCCTGCTCACAGGTGAGGGGAGGACTTCCTGGGAGTGGGTGGGAGGAGGGCCAGAGAGACTGGCTGGGGTCTCCTTGGGAGGACGGGGCTCTGAGAGGGGACAAAGGGCTTCTGTTGAAGTCCTTTGGGAGAGGACACCAGACAGGGACAGGAAACCAGAACAGGAAAATCACATTGGACTGGAATTGGAAAGGGTCAAGAAAATCTCACATGTTCTCTTTTCCTGGTTAATCATCACTAGCTGCTACATTTTGAAATATGATAATAATAACTATATCATGTGACGCTTCAAATAAAAACATAACCAGGGCATAAAACATTGTCCCTAGCCACCAACCTCAGGCATTGGAAAATAAACCCCAGGATGTGGAGGGAGGGCCCTGGGAACTCTCATGAACTCATCTACTGGAGCCTGCAGCCTGTTCCAGGCACTGGGGTGCAATCCAGTTCACACAAGTCCCTGCCCTCACAGAGCTCACGCTCTCATGCGGCAGAAGACAGACAGGCAAAGAGATCTAGAATGTGAAGCCAGGTGTTGACAAGAGCTCTAAAGGGAACAGAGCAGGGAAATGTCAGAAACGGAACACCCAGGGCTTCTAGAGAAGGTGTCAGGGAAGGGGTCTCCCAAGGATGCCCTGATGTAAGCAGGTCCAGCAGTATGGAGGGAGCCCTGCAGATCCCTGGGGAAGAGGATTCCGAACAGGGAAATGTAAGGTCAGAGGTGCTGATAGGGGACATGCTGCTGACATTGATCCAGTAGGACACACACACACACACACACACTTACTTCAAGATGGGGGTGGGTGAAGAGACCTGCTCAGGATCCAGGGCCCCATCTTTCCACCCCAATACATAGGTCCCAATATTGACTGATGTTCTCTCCCCCTCCTAGCCTCGCTTTTAACCTTCTGGAACCTGCCAAACAGTGCCCAGACCAATATTGATGTCGTGCCGTTCAATGTCGCAGAAGGGAAGGAGGTCCTTCTAGTAGTCCATAATGAGTCCCAGAATCTTTATGGCTACAACTGGTACAAAGGGGAAAGGGTGCATGCCAACTATCGAATTATAGGATATGTAAAAAATATAAGTCAAGAAAATGCCCCAGGGCCCGCACACAACGGTCGAGAGACAATATACCCCAATGGAACCCTGCTGATCCAGAACGTCACCCACAATGACGCAGGAATCTATACCCTACACGTTATAAAAGAAAATCTTGTGAATGAAGAAGTAACCAGACAATTCTACGTATTCTGTGAGTGATACCTCCATGACTTCTGGGTGCTGGGGGCCAGTTCTACTTCATACACACGGGGTTGTCAGGCCTGGGTTGTGCCTGTGTCCCCATCTACATTTTATCCAGTGTTGGAGTTTGGGCATTTAGTGAAGGACACACATGGGGGAGACAAACTTCTACAGACCAGAATCCCTTTCCTGCATCCAGACCCTGCAGATACTTGCTGCAGAGGAAGGACAGTCTGATGGGGGGCACTCAGCAGGGGGAGATCAGTCTCAGCCAAGATTCTGTGCCCTCCCCCTGAAAAAGACCCTGGAGAACTGGGTCAGAGCCTGGCCTGAGGAGTCCCCTGGAATCCTCACAGAGAAGCTCAGCCCTGGAAGCACAAGTCCCAGATCCCTGTCCCAGGGCTCTTGACTCCAGGTGACCCTAAGGAACCTGTGTCAGGGCTGGGTTGTGGCCTCCTGGGCTGAACTGACTGAGAGCAAGGATTTGAGCTGTTTGAGGATCATGGCTCATGGAGCTGGTCACCAGCCTGGTCACCCCCAGGGCCTCATCTGGGCAAGGACAGAGCCTCATCCTTCACCTGAGACTCAGCCTGGAGAGGACAGATGAACAGGATTACTAGGACCTCAGTCCCCCTGGATGAGGAACTTAAGAGAGGTCCTAGGGGAGTCAGTGTCCTCAGGGGGAGAAAAAGAAGAAGAAAGTTTCTGCTGTAAGTTCTTTGTACACCAGGAATCAGGTCCAAATAACCCACTCCTGGAGGCAAACAATCAGAGATCCTGCTTGTTTGGGCAGCTCTTCTACACAGGGCTCTCATCCAGGTAATTGTGATTATTTTAAGGTAAATTCACAGACAGCAAGGCAAGCCAGAGACCATTTACGCTTTATCTCATTTTGTTAAAGGAAACTGAGGCAGAAGGAAATACAGCCACTGAGGCAGGGTCTCACGGACCGGACAGTCACATCAGAGTCCCCAGGTCTTTGTAGCCACAGAGCTTGCTTCCTAGGCATCCAAGCCAGAAGTGGGAGATTCTGGTCTAGGGAGTGAGGAACAAATAGAGAATTAGTTTTTACCTAGAACTGAATCTCTTGCCTCAACTATCAGAGTCAGTGCTGGGAATGTCCAGGCCTCTCCCTTAGATTCACACTCCTACCCTCACTGGACCTGAAATCCTGTGTTTCCTGATGTGTTGGTGTCACTCCCACAGGAGGATAAAGGAGAAGACTTTGCTTTCTCTCCCCACTCACACCCTGCACATGCCAGGGCCCAAAGTGAGAAACACACTCGCTCAGTAGTTCTCTCATGAAGGAGGGAGGGAATGAATGAAGGAATGAATGATCCATAATCTCTTCAGAGACTGGAACCTGATGCAGGATCCTAGGAGGCTCTGGCACCTGTTCCCTGTCCCTCCAAGGGACTGAGACCCATGTTCCACCTCTCTCATCCCCTGCCCCTAAAGCCACCCCAGTGGGAGACTGAGACAGGAGGGTGTCTTGAGCCCAGGAGTTCAAGACCAGCCTGGGCAACATAGCAAGATCCCTGGATCTTAAAAAAAAAAGAAGCCACCCAGGTGTTGAGTCTCATGACTGTGTAAATGCTTGGCCATGGGACAGGGATGAGCAACTCCTCTATCTGCTCTCTACACTGACTCACCAGGGGGCCAGAGGCAGGACAGGTGTGCAGTCCCCAAAGCCCATGGGTTCATTCCACCCATTTTACTACCAACTCCATCCTCGTCTCGCTGTGGGGCTAAGGTCCTCCAGTCATTCCTGGGACCTCCTCCAGGTGCAGCGGCCTAGGCAGGTGCTGTCTGATGGGTTTGCTGTCCATTCCGCATACACCTGTGTCCTCATGATGACACCATTGTCATAAGGTGGGGTCCCTTGGAATGGGAACTGCACCAGCCACTGGCATCTCACTTAGACTCTGCCTAGTTTAGATGAATTTGATCAAACTCTTGTTGTGTTTCCGTAGGTCGAGAGAAAAGGAAGAAAGCATTTCTCATGCCTGTGTTGGGATTTCCTCCATTTTGCTGACTGCACAGGAGCTGGGGACAGGGAGCTCTTTGTAAATTTCCTAACATAACACACATCTCTTCTCCTAATTTGTCTTCATTGTTCTTGTTATGTCATTGAGAATCCTCAGATTTTCAGCCAGCCCCTGCTTGTCTCACTCACCCTTTCTCTATCTTCTTCTGGACTCTGCTGCACTTTCCTGGCGGTCACTAGCTCTTGTCAGTCACCATCAAACACCCGGGTAGAGCTGCCCCACCTGGAGGCCCTGCAGTCTGAGTACTAAACTCACCTCTAGACTTTTTCCTGGTCTCCTCTGCTATGTCTGCTCAAACACCCATTGTTATCATCACCCATCTCTGGGATATCCTTGGAAAAAAAAGGCTCAGAGAAACACCCCTTGGCTGGGTGGTGTAGGAGTGTTCAGCTGGAAGGAACTCAGCTCCTGCCCATTCGAGGTGAGGACCCCAAAGGGCCAGGTAGGCAGCCATCAGGAAAGGACCAGGAGAGGCACCAGTGGCTGTGATTGATGGTCCTGGGTCTGTCCATGGGCCAACGCTGCTGCACAATTTACACTTGAGAAAGTCTGTGCTTCTCTAAGACAAATCAGGCAGCCTCACAGTGTCTGAGCTCTCAGATCATTGTGCATCTGTCTTGTGATACACACACCTTCTGTGGGCTTTTAAGGACTTGAGTGGGCTTAGAGGTGGGAGATGCCAACTCTGATTGAAAGATGTCCGTGGGGGAACCAAGGGGCCACACAGGGCAATCTTTTCTCTCTCTTATCTGCACAGCGGAGCCACCCAAGCCCTCCATCACCAGCAACAACTTCAATCCGGTGGAGAACAAAGATATTGTGGTTTTAACCTGTCAACCTGAGACTCAGAACACAACCTACCTGTGGTGGGTAAACAATCAGAGCCTCCTGGTCAGTCCCAGGCTGCTGCTCTCCACTGACAACAGGACCCTCGTTCTACTCAGCGCCACAAAGAATGACATAGGACCCTATGAATGTGAAATACAGAACCCAGTGGGTGCCAGCCGCAGTGACCCAGTCACCCTGAATGTCCGCTGTGAGTATCTTCTGTTCCTCTGTGGCCCAGGCTGACAGCCCAAATCCATGCAGCCAGAGACCAGGCCTCTTAGTCCCTCTCAGGTCCAAGTACACAGACCCTCACCTCTAGGCACCCAGGCTGGCCATGACTTTCTGCCACAAGCAAACCTGGGCAGACCCAGCCTTGACCAAGAATATGAGAGGAGGGGCTGCTCCTGTCCTGGGAGGCTCAGGGTCCACAGCCTGTGATGGGAGAAACAGGTGAATGTCTCAGGCTCAGTGAACACATCGGGGTTTGGTTGGGACTTCAGGATTGTGATTTGGGTAAGAGGGACAGTGCAGCCCTTCCACAGACCAGGAGCTTCCGCTTCCCTCTGAGGACATCACTTACGGCTTTATTCTCTTTGCTCCGGGTGGCTTGGACACCCCTTCTACCCCAGTTATATCTTACGAGTTAGGAGCAAACCTTAGACTCTTCATCCATGTGGCCTCTAACCCACCCTCTCCGTATTTTTGGCTGAGTAATGGAAACCTTCTGCAACACATGCAAGAGCTCTTTATCCCCAAAGCACTGCAAAGAATAGTGTATCCTATACCTGCTATGCCCACAAATTGGCCACTGACCGCAATAGTACCACAGTCAAGATGATCACAGTCCGTGGTACATGGATCCCTGGACCGTTGGCATCATATTTTGAGATGGGGTCTCTCTGGTGTTAAGGAAGAGCTGAAAAAACTTTTCTTTTCCAGCCTGTGTCCCATGGGCACAAGCAGATCCCAAATTCTCCCCGCTGAACCCTCTCACTCTGTCTCTGCAGACCCTCCTCCCTGTACTTCAGTAATTTCTCATGGCTGATTATGGATCCAGCCTGGAATGTGGGGAGGGGGCTCCCTCAGCCCCAAAGCCCCAGGTAGTGGAAAGAGCTTCACAGAGGGAAAAGCAGGAAGGGTCCTTAAGGGTTCTCTCGGTCATCAATACGTCCCTTTTTGTCACCTCTTTGTGTTCTTTTGCCTAATTCATGAGCTACAAGGAAGAAGGAAGCTTTGAAACATCTCACACTTTTTCCCCAGATGAGAGGAGGAAACCCCTTGGACGAGGGAGGAGCAGCTCAGAGTCTGCTCCCTGCTCTGCTTCCGGCTCACCTGGTGACTGGCCCTGCCCTGACTCCACCTGGGGTGGGACCTGGGTGTGTGGAGAAGGTGCTTGGGCGACCTGTCCTGAATCTGGCTAAATTGAGCTGTCAATCAATGGCAGAGCCTCTCCTGGGTCAGGCTTCAGGGAACTGGGAAGAGAGGGAGCCCTGGGGCAGACTCTTGAACTGTGGCCTGGCTCTGAAGTCACCCGCTGTATGACGCTGTGGACACAGCACAGAGCACAGCTAGGGATGAACATTTGGACAAATAGGGAGATTCAGCCACCGGGACTCTGCAAGGGAGGGAAGGGGCAGGGCCACAAAGTGTGTATTTATAGCGAGGATAAGAGTACCAGCCACTATATATTCATAAAGGTTAAGCACTCATAACCTGAAATTTACCATATTAGCCATTTTACATATACGGTTTAGGGCTGGGCGCGGTGGCTGATTCCTGTAATTCCAGCACTTCGAGAGGTTGAGATGGGTGGCTCGCTTGAGCTCAGGAGTTCAATACCAGCCTGCACAACATGGTGAAACACTGTCTTCCCAAAAAATTAGCGAAACATGGTGGCACATGGCCTGTAGTTCCAACTACTTGGTGGGCTGAGGCGGGAGGACCACTTCAGCCCAGAATGTCGAGGCTCCAGTGAGCCTTGATTGCGCCATTGAATTCCAGCCTCGGTGACAGAGTGAGACCCTGTCTCCAAAAAAAGTATGGTTTAGTGATATCAATTATATTTATACTGTTGTGCAACCATCACCGCTATCCATTTCCAGAACTTTTTCAACTCACCATGCTAAACCTCTGCACTCAATAAACAGTAACTCTCCACTCCTTCTAACCCTAGTCCCTGGTAGCCATCATTCTACTTTCTGTCTGTCTGTAATTGACTATTTTATTAATAAGTACCTCACATCAATAGACTCATACAAAATTTGTCCTTTTGTGTCTGGCCACATTTCACTTAGCATAACGTCTTTAAGGTTCATTCACGTTGTAGTATGTATCAGAATTTGAGTCTCATGAGTGTGTAAATGCTCGGCATTTTATTTTATTTTATTACCTGTTAAGACTGAATGAGTTTCCATTGTGTGGATATATTTCATTTTGCCTCTTGACTTATCGTTCGGTGGACTTTTGAGCTGTTTCCACATTTTGGCTATTGTGAGTAATGCTACTATCAACATGGGTGTATAAATATCTTTTCAAAGCCCTACTCTCCATTATTTTGGGCATATGACCAGAAGTGGAATTGCTGCATCAAATGGTAATGCTTTGCTTAATTTTTTTGAGAAACGGCTCTACCATTTTCCACTGTGGCTGCACCATTTCACACTCCCACCGGCAATGCACGAGAGTTTCAATTTTCCCACCTCCTCAAAATACATGTTTTGTGTTTTCTTTTTTTTCTTTAAATCAAAGCCATCCTAACATGTGTGTGGTGGTGTATCACTGTGGTTCTGATTTGCATATCTCTAAGTATTAGTGATGTTTAGCATCTTTGCATGTGCTTATTGGCCATTTGCATATCTTCCTTGGAGAAATCTCTGTTTTAGTCCTTTGCCCATTTTTAAATTGGGTTTCTGGGTTTTTGCTGTTGAGTTATATTAGTTCTTTATATATTCTGAGAATTAATCCCTTATCAGATATATGATTTGCAAATATTTTCTCCCATTCCATGGGTTGCCTTTTCACTTTCTGGATAATGTCCTTTGATGTAGAGAAGATCTTATTTTTTATGAAGTCAAATTTGTCTGTTTTTTTTTTGTTGCCTGTGCTTTGGGTGTCATAGCCAAGAAATCATTGTGAAATCCAATGTCATGAAGCTCTCCCCCTATGTTTTCTTCTAAGAGTTTTATAGGTTTATCTCTTAGATTTAGGTCTTTGATCCATTTTGGGTTAATTTTTATATGGTGTTAATTTTTATATGGTGTTAAGTAAAGATTCAACTCATCCTTCTTCATGGATATCCAGCTGTCCCAATATCATTTGTTGAAAAGACCATCCTTTCCCTATTGAATGGTCTTGGTACCCTTGTCAAAAATAATTTGACTATAAACGCAAGCATTTGTTTCTGGGCTCTCCATTCTATTCCATTGGTTTCTATGTATTCCTTTATGCCAGTACCACACTGTGTTGATTACTGTGGCTTTGTAGTAAATTCTGAAATCAGGAAGTGTGAGTCCTCCATCTTCATTCTTTCATATTGTTTGGCTATTTAGAGTCCTGAGACTCTATATGAATTTTAGGATTTTTCTATTTCTGCAAAATATGCCACTGGGATTCTGGTAGGGATTGCATTAATATTATCATCTTAATGATATTAGGTCTTCCAATCTATGAAAATGGAATTTCTTTCCATTTATTAATATATTCTTTAATTTCTTTCAGCTGCATTTTATAATTTTCAGCTTACAATTTTTTCACCTCCTTGGTTAAGTATATTCCTAAGAACTTTATTCTTTTTGATGATAATGTGAATCAATTTTTTTCTTAATTTCTTTTCAGATTGTTCATTGTAAGTGCATAGGAATACAACTGTTTTTTGGCTGGATGCAACGGCTTACACATGTAATCCCAGCACTTTGGGAGGCTGAGGTGGTCAGATCATTTGGGGTCACAAGTTCGAGACCAGCCTGACCAATATGGTGAAACCCTGTCTCTACTAAAAAAAAAAAAAAAAAAAAAAAAAAAAAAATTAGCCAGGTGTGGTGGCACACGCCTGTAATTTCAACTACTTGGGAGGCTGAGGCAGGAGAATCATTTGAACTGGGGAGGCAGAGGTTGCAGTGAGCCGAGATCATGCTACTGCACTTCAGCTTGGGCAATAAAATGAGACTCTGTCTCAAAAAAAAAAAAAAAAAAGAGAGAGAGAGAGAAAGAGACAGAGAAAAAAGAAAAAAGAAATACAGCTGATTTCAACTGATTTTTGCATGTTGATTTAGTATCTTGCAGTTATACTGAATCTGTTTATTAGTTCTAAAATTTTGTTTTAATCTCTAGGGTTTTCTACATGTAAGTTCCTGTCATCTGCAAAGTTAATTTTACTTCTTTCTGATTTGGATGTTATTTTCTTTCTTCTTGCCTACTTTCTCTTACTAGAACTTTCAATACTACATAGAATAGAAGTGGTAAAACTAGGCATTCTTGTCTTGTTTTTATCTTAGAGGGAAAGCTTTCAGTCTTTCTCCCTGGAGTATGATGTTAGCGTTGGGCTTTTCAGATAATGCCTTTATTATATTTGAGGTAGTTTCCTTCTATTTATAATCTGAGTGTGTTTACTATGATAGAATGTTGAATTTTGACAAATGTTTTATTGGTTCAGTCTCCCTAGTAGTTATTAGTCTATTCAGATTTTCTGTTTCTTCATGGTTCCATTTGGAAGGTTTTATGTTTCTGGGAATTTATTTCATCCAGGTTCTCTAACTTGTTGGCATATAATTATTCATAATACTCATAACACTTACTATTTCTGTAAAATTGGTAGTAATCACTTTCATTTCTGATTTGAGTAATTTCTATCTTCTCATTTTTTTTCTTAGTCGATCTAATTAAAGGTTTTGAATTTTGTTGAACTTTTTTGAAGAACCACCTTTTGGTTTCATTGCTTTTCTCTATTGTTTTTCTAGTCCACTCTAATCTTTATTATTTCCTTCATTGGCTAACTTTGGGTTTCATTTGTTTTTCTCCTATATCCTTAAGTTGTAAAGCCAGGTTGTTGATTTCAGATCTTTCTTCTTTTTAAATGTATGTATTTATAGTTATACATTTCTTGCACAAGATTCTTAACTTCTCTGAGCCTTAGTTTCCACAACTGAAAATTGCAATAAGAGTGCCTGTTTCACAGTATTGTTTTGAAGATTTAATGTAATAATCAATGAAACATTCAGCAAAATGCCACATGCAGAGGAACTGTTTCATAAATGTTAGCTGCTGTTAAAGCTACCATTATTATTAGCCTTGAAGTCAGGTAGTCTTAGAGGCAAATCCTAGATCCGCCTGTCACTAGCTGTATGACATTGGGTAAGTTTTTTCACCACTCTAAGCCACCTCTATTTTCTACCTGACAGTATTATTTTACAGCTCAAATGAGATACATGTAAATAATTTAACACAGGGCCTGACACATAGGAAGCACCCCTCAACAGTAGCTAATATTAGTGATTATTAATCATCAGTCTGAGTTGACTGATGACTGATGAGAAATTAAGCCCAAATTATTGCAACAGAAATAAAGAAGAAACAGATGCAGAAGGTATTATATATACATGTGCATATATATATTCACATATATACACACATATACATATACATATACATATACATATACATATACATATACATATACATATACATGGGAGAAACAGGCATTACACAAAAAGTCCACTGGGACATGGTTACTGATTAATATGGGAGAGGGAAAAGAACAGAGTTAAATATGAAGTCTCAAGCCTAGTATGTTAGTTTTCATTCAGAGAGATGCAGTCAAGATGGGATTAGACATGCAATATAATTTTGAGGGAAAAACACCTGTGAGGGAAAGTGGGCTGGGAGGGGGAGGAGCCTGGGAGAGCCCTCAGATCATGATGCAGATGTGATGCCTGTGGAGGAGAAAGAGAAAAAAAAGAAAGTTTTAGATTGCAGTGCAGTTCGAAGAGAGTTTCTGCAAGACTGTTGGGAATTCCTCAAGCCCATCACCTTTCAGAGCAAAATAGTCTTGCAGAACTTGACTTGCTTTCACACACCTGCTGGGAGCCCATGGGAAGTGAGGTCTCTGTGCAAAGGAGGTGGTGAATTCAAAATGCACTAACTGCCACAACTGAGACACTAAGAAAAAAAATGCAACCATGAAAAAGTGGGAAGTTTTAATGACATACAAGATTAGCAATCAGTCTTTCTCAAATTTCAAAGCCTTCAAAAATATCTGAGTGTAAAAAGGTCAGGATGGAATTGACAGAAGACTGACCATCAACCTGGAAACCTGGTGAGATAAAAAACCTGCAAGAATTTAGTTGGATAATCATCTCCCAGCAACCTTCCCACAAAAATAATGTATTCCTTGAAGGAACAAATAGAAACGACTTCATGCTGAGAGTTGGTTCCTGGGGGACTTCCCTGTAAAATAAGATCAACTTCATTCCTTCTCTTTTCTTTCCATGGCAGATGAGTCAGTACAAGCAAGTTCACCTGACCTCTCAGCTGGGACCGCTGTCAGCATCATGATTGGAGTACTGGCTGGGATGGCTCTGATATAGCAGCCTTGGTGTAGTTTCTGCATTTCGGGAAGAGTGGTAGGTATTATGACCTTTCCTCTTATCCTATTTCCTGCAGGGCTGACTGCCATGCTTGGGAGAGGGAAAGGACTTCTTCACCTGTATCTGGGACTAGATCTCCTCCTCCTCCCACTAAACTCCTGCTTCTAAGCACTAATTCCTGCAGGTCTCTTCTTCCCTGGTCTTCATGCTTCCTGTACTCCACTGTCTCTTAGACATGACTACTCCCAGCCTCTGCTCATTTGTTTCCCCAATTCAATACATTGTGAAAGCTTCTTGGTCCTTTTTAAAACATCTTTCACTTGTGCTGTTCTCTCCATTCCCATAAACCTCAACAACTGCTTGAAGTCCTGCTTGACTTCTTTTCTCTAGTCTGAATGCTTCCTAGCATATGACTACTTCATTACCTTCCTAAAATCACCTACTGAAGAACCTGCAGCGGCCTACTCTAGCCCATTAGATAAGTTCACATTTCTTCTCTTCATGAATCCTTTTTACTTCCTTTACCACTACTCCTGAGTATAATTTCTCCATCCTAATTAGATCTGTCTTCCTATACATCCTGCCCTTCCACCCCATGTACACATAGAATTCTTAGTTCCAATGTTATATCTAAAAACAAGGTAACCTTCCTCCACCACCTGCATTGTGGAGTTACCCACACCCTTCATCACAAGCAACCTCTGTCCTTGTGGAGGACAAAGACGGTAGCATTAGTATGTGAACCTGAGACTCAGGACACAACCTAAACGTGGCTGAGAATCTTTTCCTGATAACCAATTCATGTGTTCATGAAAGATACAGAAATGAAGAAGGCAAGGTCCCTACTCCAGGGAACATAAAGCCTAAGACAGACGATAAGACAAAGGGCCAGGTGCATTGGCTCACAACTGTCATCCCAGTGCTTTGGGAAGCTGAGGTGGGAGGATCCTCTGAGCCCAAGAGTTCAAGGTTGGAGTGAGCTATGATTGTGCCTCTGCACTCCAACTTGGGCCACAGAGCAAGACCCTGTCTCCAAAAAATAAGACATGAAAAATAATTGTAATACCAAAATAGAAAAAGATAAATTCCACAAGAAGAAAGAGAAATCTAATGGGAAATATGGCTACACACTGGAATCACTGGAAAATTTTTAAAAGAACAACTGATTTCCAGGCTCTGCTCATACATTTTGATTTAATGGTCTAGAGTGGGACCAAGGCGTTATTATTTAAGCCTTCCCACATGCTACTAATGTGCAAGCAGGATGCAGAACCCCTGCTCTGATAAGCAGGACTTGGGCTTAAATCAATGGTTTGTAGCTAGGGGTATGTATCAAAATTACCTGGGGAACTTTTTCAACATACATAAGCTTATACATTGTTGGCCATATTTGTTAATGTACTATGCCCTGAACTCAGTAATCCAGTTGAGAAACAGAAGCGAGATGGAAATTCACCTTAATTGATATGTTAAATTATATGGAAAACACTGTCAAATGACAAGTGATGCCAAACCTTCTCTAAGTTATATTTGCGGGTATGTTATTGATGTGAATGTTTCAAAAATTATATGAGATTTCTAGAAATCTAATATTTTGTCAGTCATAGTGTTACATGCCACAGAAATAACCAAATTTGTTTGTGAGTGGTGTCATTATCATCAAATCTATCAAATCTGAAGTCTTATCAGATTTTTAACCATTGCCATCTTAAGTCTTTGTCATTCACAGACAGTTGTTTTGATTCTTCTCTAAAAGCACTTGGAAATGGTTACAGTCCAAAACTGCTTGTTTTCCAAGGAGATTTATGGCTAAGACTCTGACAAGTTGTCTTGAATACAAGTTTCTGATAACTTTAGAATCATACCATTGGGCTAAGAATTTCCAAAACTTTAATGAAGAGATATCTTCATGAAACTGCCAATCAAGATCAGGCAGAACAAAAAATTAATTTCATGGGACTAGATGAACTAATGAGGATAATGTTTTTATGAATTTTTAGTTGAAGTTTTGATGATTCTTTAAATGTTTTGTTTTCCAAATTTGAAGGAATATTTTTCTTTTAAGCTATCTATAGCTTACAGAAACTTGGTAAAATACAACTTGTGAACAAAAATTGAAACATTAATTTTTCTCCCTACATTTTCCATCCAGAATCAGGCAACTATTCATGGGTGTTCACATTGTTATGAAAATAGTTATTTGCATAAGTTCAATAAGAATCTGTTCTGTTTATAACAGGATACATTTAAAAATACTGGTTATATTACCAAGGCTTTGGCTGGGATGTCATATTTGGAAATATACATAGAATGAACCCGTAGGTACTGAGGTACTGCAGGCAAAGTCTGAAGTCAGCCTTGGTTTGGCTTCCTAGTGCTGAGAGGTTTCTAAAAGTTTAATCTGAGATTCCTTATCAAACCTTCCAGCAAAGCAATCTTAAAAAGATGCTATGTGGTCAATCGCTATTCTTGCTATACTTCTTATATAAAGAATCAGACCAAGTTTGATGAGACTCTACCTATTTTGTAAACAGATTAGTCTTACTCTGATTAACTTTGGTAGAAACAGGGAGAGATAGAGAAAAATTATGTTCAGAGGAAAGACTATAATACAACTGTTATCAAATTGTAGCCCTGTATTTTGTTTTCAAGTTTTTATTATCCACCTGCAGACTGGACTGGATTCTTCTAGCTCCTTCAATCCCATTTTCTCCTGTGGCATCACTAAGTATAAGACCTGCTCTCTTCCTGAAGACCTATAAGCTGGAGGTGGACAACTCAATGTAAATTTCAAGGAAAAACCCTCATGCCTGAGATGTGGGCCACTCAGAGCTAACCAAAATGTTCAACACCATAACTAGAGACACTCAAATTGCCAACCAGGACAAGAAGTTGATGACTTCATGCTGTGGACAGTTTTTCCCAAGATGTCCCAAGCCTCATCGTGACGAGGCTCTTATCCCACTCCATTTTTCCCTGCTCATGCCTGCCTCTTTAATTTGGTAAGATAATGCTGTAACTAGAATTTCACAATCAGCGCCTTGTGCAGGTAATTTGACAGAGTGTTGGATGTGTCATGTCATCATGTCAAACCCAAATATTTGACCTAAGGGATCCTTTATTCTGCCCAGTGGCTAACTTTAACAACATCCCTAATACAACTGTTTATTCAAATGCACGGTGGTCCCTGTTAGAGTTAGACCTCTAGACTCACCTGTTCTCACGCCCTGTTTTAATTTAACCCAGCTATGGGATGCCAGATAACAGAATTGCTGCCTACTAGCTGAACAGGGAGGAGTTTGTGCAGTTGCTGACACTTCTTGTTGCACATAAATAAATACAGTGGGTACTATAGAGACTCAGTTGCAAAAATTAACAAATATGCTGCTTGATTAAAATGGGTAGGCTTCTCATGTGGCTCATTCTTTAATCTATTCTCTTTTATTTGGTTTGGTTCATGGGGTCTCTGCCTATGGATCATACTTCAAACTCTTGGTGTGATCCTCCTGATTGTCACAATATTAGTTACCCTGGTGTGCTGTATTCTCTAAAACCTTTAAATGTTTGCATGCAGCCATTCGTCAAATGTCAAATATTCTCTCTTTGGCTGGAATGACAAAAACTCAAATAAATGTATGATTAGGAGGACATCATAACCTATGAATGATGGAAGTCCAAAATGATGGTAACTGACAGTAGTGTTAATGCCTTATGTTTAGTCAAACTCTCATTTAGGTGACAGCCTGGTGACTCCAGAATGGAGCCAGTCATGCTAAATGCCATATACTCACACTGAAACATGAGGAAGCAGGTAGATCCCAGAACAGACAAAATTTTCCTAAAAACATGAGAGTCCAGGCTGTCTGAGTCAGCACAGTAAGAAAGTCCTTTCTGCTTTAACTCTTAGAAAAAAGTAATATGAAGTATTCTGAAATTAACCAATCAGTTTATTTAAATCAATTTATTTATATTCTTCTGTTCCTGGATTCCCATTTTACAAAACCCACTGTTCTACTGTTGTATTGCCCAGTAGGAGCTATCACTATATTTTGCAGAATGGAAACTGCCCTGACTCATGAATCACAAATAAAAGCCAATTGTATCTATAACTGAATTTGTTATAATTTTGTCTTTTGATGCATGTTTACAGCCAGCGATGGCCAGTGGAGTCTCTCTGGCTGCATCATTCTCACCCTGACCCTTCCGCCTCTCTCTTTCACTTACAAGGACCCTTCTGACTACACTGAGCCCACCCAAATTATCCAGAATAACCTCGCATCTCAAGAAACTTAACTTCATCTCACCTGCAAAGTCTTTTCTTTTGCCAAATAAAGTAGCATGCACAGGTTCCAGGGATTAGGATGTGGACATTTTTAGGAGGCCATTATTCTGCCTAATACAGGTAACTTCTGTAAACTTTACCCACAACAAAAATTGCTTTGCCTTCCTTCTGTGTCTCACTTTTCTGTCTGAATCACAAAGAGCACAAACTTCGAGGTGAAACACACTAGCTCTGCTATGAACTGGCTGGATGACTCTGGACCACTCACTTCACCCACTTCAGCCTCTTCTCATCTGCAGCACAAGAGTCACTCTTACTGCATCAGAAAATGACAGTTTGAATGGGTACGTTAATATGTGGAAGGCATTAGACATAAAGCCTGGTACCTGATGAGCCCTTAGTAAACCTTTCTTTCAGTCTTTTCCTTTTGCCATCTCACATTCTCTCACCCTCACCTATCTTCTCCTTCATCTCCTTTCTCTTCAGTAACATACTCAGTTTAACCTACTATTTAGCAAAGAAGCCACACAACCCATTCTCTCATGACTCTGCTGGAATGTTTTGGTCCTGCAGTCTGCTCTCCACTCAAGGCAGTGTATATTATTTTTATTTTTACACAGAAGTCTGTTTAAAACAGGAAGTCTTTTTCTTTTTTTTTTTTCTTTTTGAGACGGAGTCTCGCTCTGTCGCCCAGGCTGGAGTGCAGTGGCACGATTTCCGCTCACTGCAAGCTCCGCCTCCCGGGTTCACGCCATTCTCCTGCCTCAGCCTCCTGAGTAGCTGGGACTACAGGCGCCCACCACCACGCCCGGCTAATTTTTTGTATTTTTAGTAGAGACGGGGTTTCACCGTGTTAGCCAGGATGGTCTTGATTTCCTGACCTCGTGATCCGCCTGTCTCTGCCTCCCAAAGTGTTGGGATTACAGGCGTGAGCCACCACGCCGGCCAACAAGAAGTCCTTTTTATGTTCACATAAAATATATACATGCTTTCCCTTAATTTACACATACTAGTCCCATTTCTGTCCTGTTAATTCATACATGTGCTTCCTTATGTCACTCTTCTTCGGTCTTTCTCTTTTCAATTTATAAATAAGGATAGTACAGAGGCAAAAAATACTGACCCAGACCATAAGATGGGATTTCTTCATTAAGATGAATGCTTTCCTTTAAAAAGATGAATGCTTTCCATTGGCAACATAAATGCTATTCACAAGGTGCCCCTGAAGCCCATTTCTAGGCTTGGCTTTCAGCAAAACCATTCGATCTTAGGACACATTCCTAGACTCCTAGGAGACAATATTTGTGACAGAAGCCACACCCACTCTGGCTGTTCCTGCTGTCGGGTAAAGGTATTTTTCACAGAATGTTGTACGTCATGAATATTGCTCAAGATTCCAAATCCAGAAACATATGAAGAGGGCGAGTCCCTGGAATGGTCACAAAGGGGAGAAGATTTCAAAGCCAGTAACAGTCATAAAGCACACCCACAGTGTGTGGCCTTTGAGCAATGACAGTCCCCCTGGCCTCTTTCCATGCCTGTTGGCTTCTGAATTCCTTCTCAGGACTGCTCCTCAATCCTTCCACTGTGGAGTTTAAGCCCCCTTAACCATCTTCATCTCCAGCTGCCTGCGAGGACCCTGACTGGAAGGCACCTCCTCACTCTGAATGCTCCTGATGGCACCTTTGCCTATTTCCATAACTATAATAGCTCACACTGACGCAGCACTCACTACTCACCAGGCACTATCCTAAGGGGTTTTCAGGTAGCTACAGTCCTCATAAAAAATCCTGAGTGTCAGCATCCCCATTTTTACAGATTTAAAAAACTGAGGCAGAGAAGTGAAGTCAGGTAATGAGTGTCATCCAACTCCGTAATTTAACCCCATCCTCCACTTTATTTGTGCAGAGGACACTCTAGGTCTTCCAAGGTCTCCTGAATGACATCCACCTTCCAGAATAATTTTTGCTCCCTCTACTTTCAGGATTTGATGAACAGCCAGCATCTTTTTTTTCTGTCTCACTCTTCACTTTTGCACCTGTTCCCTAACACCACACTCACACCTGCACAGCCCTGCATTAAAGCTGGCTTTTATGAACCTCCAGTCTCTTCTGGGAAAAAGCAGGGTGGGCCTGGCTCTCAGTCCTCACAACAAGTAACTTTCACTGAATTGTCATCTAGTCATACAGCCAGTCTCTGGCCATAAAAAGGGTGCACTGGGGACAGAAAGTGCAATGAGAAGGAAATAGGAGGAGGGTGAGTCCCTGGAATGATCACAAAGGGGAGAATATTCCAAAATCCAGAAACAGTCATAAAACACACCCAGAGTGGGTGACTTTGAGCAATGACAGCCTCATCTCTCTCTTTTCATGCTTGGTGGCCTCTGACTTTCCTCTCAGCTGCCCGTCCTGGTCTTGCTTTCTTAGACCAATACTAATGGCCTGGCAGCTGGGGCCAGACCAGAGCACACAGTAGTGAGGGTCAGGGAGCTGAAAAGGGGGAAGAGTGTCTGACTTATGGAGATCTGACTCTTCACCTATGCACACATCACCTGGGCAGGGAATGGATTAGTGAGGTGCTGTGCAGGACTCACGGTTTAAGGGATTGTACTAAGGAGTTGTACTTCTTTGATCCTGCCTGACTGAGAGCAAACTCTCAGAAGGCATCACAGCTTTTTCCTAAGAAGGCATGGCTGTTATATGAAACCATTGCGCTTCCCTTCTCCCTCTGTTGGGTTACATTTTTCTATCCACTTGTTTACTGAGTTGTGTTCCAGGAAAAACAAATCTCGGTTGAGTTTTTTAAAGTCCCATACATTCAGTTCAGTTCAAGGGTGTCTCTCATCTTAGTGATGGCCAGGCACAAGACTTTTTAAAAGGTGCTGCAGAAAATTTTGATAAAAGCCTTTGCATCACCCATAATACCTTTGGGGACCATTGAGCAGCAAAAATGATGAGGAAGAAATCTGTTATGTGCTGGAGACCTTTGTGTTTGCACCTCATCTAATGCTCACAATGACCCTTTAAGTAGGTACTATTATCCCTCTATCCCAAGACATCACTAACTTGTCTTTTATCTCAGAATTGGTGAAAGGTGGAACCAGAATTCAGACTCACATATTTCTGAATCCAAAGCTTATGTTTCAGTCCACACCATTGTACCTTCCAGAATTCAAAGAAACAAAGGATGACGGCTTCTAACAGAAATAACCATACAAGCTTCAATGAAGAGACAGGGACTGAAATAAGCCTTAGGATGAAGAACAATTTAGGAGGTGAACAGGCAGGTATGCATGTTATATGAAGGAGTCAAATAATTGCAAAATATTTAGACATGAGAAAGTCAAATGTGGATCAAGGGAGTAGATTGGGGTCATATTATGGAGACTTTGAATGATGGCTTAAGAAATTGGAATTTCATCCTATAGATGATAAGAGTCACTGGAAAGCTTTGAGAAGGTCAGTAACATCACAAAAAGCATTTCCAGGAAGATTACTCTGACAGTATTAGGCAAGATAACTTAGGCAAGTGGTCTTCAACTCTGGGAACTCAGGATTATCTGGAAGTTTTTTCCCCCTTCTTTTTTATAACTTTCATTTTGAAATAATCTTACACTTCCAAAAATGTTCCAAAAATAGTCAGAGTCCCCATATTCTTTTCGTTCAACTTTCCCTAATATTAACGTTATAGATAACCACAGTGTAATCATCAACATCAGTAAATGATCACTGACATCTTACAATGAATGAACTTGCAGACCCTATTCAAATCCTCTCCATCTTCCCACTAATATCCTTTTTCTGGACAAGGATCCATACAAGATCACACACTGCATCTCATTATTCTGTCCTCTCAATCGCCTTCAATCTGGGATGGTTCCTCAGAATTACTTTTGCCTTCATGACCTTAACATTTTTAAAGAGTATCGGTGAGTTATTTGGTGGAATGACCCTCAGTTTGGGCTTACCTAATATTTTCTCATAATTAAACTCAGGTTATCCACTTTGGGCAAAAATGCCACAGAGGCGATGCTGCACCTTCTCCATCCATCATATTAGGATGCCCAGAATTTCTATATCTTTGATTATTGGGGATGTTAACTTTGAGCACTGGGCTAAAGTTCCTCCACTGTAAAATGACTATTTTCCTTGGAAGCATTTTTAAATGACCAAATCCCAAGGCACACCATGGAGCAATCAAATTAGACTCTCTTTGAGGAAGACACAGGCATTTGTATGTTTTAAATTCCTAAGGTGACTCTAACCAGTAGCCAGGGTTGAAAACCAACGACTTAGACAGTGAAAATTAGAATCCTGGAAATCAGCTAGGAAACCATTCCTCAGGCCTCTCTTTTAAAAAATAACATCAAGCTCCAGGCACAAGTAATTGTATCTGGACATCAGTAATTATATCTGAACCCATGGTAGGAAAACAGGAAGGTCAAAAATGATGGGTGAGTAGACTGCTGCTCAATAAAAAAAGAAGGCAGGACACCAGGTAAAGTGTCCAGCCCTCTTGTCCTATTGTTTCCTTAAACCTCAGAGAAACCTTGTTGCAGTGGAAGAACACACCATATAATTTTACTGTCCTAAGCTTTACATGAGCTCCTAATTGCCACTGACAGGGAGGGAATTATGAGTCATGTGATAGAAATATATGACTGCACATGCAAAGATGCACACTTCCAGGTATGATTGAATGAACATCGTAGAATCCAGGTCAGAGGTACATGACTTCCCCATAAACAACCTTGTCCTCCCCATCTGGTCTTTTGTCCTTCATCTCTTCTGAAGTAAGAGAGGAAAGACCCTATTTTAAATTTCATGAATTAGGAAAGTGAACACAATTCCTATCACCAGGCTTTTTAAGCAAGAGGATACTGTGCTCAACTTCCTTAGAGTTATTATCTTGAGGTTTTCATAAATAAATGTCAACAATCTCTCCCTTGGAGGAATATTTAGAAAAACTCTAAAACCCATTTTATCTGATTTCACACCACATCATCAACACAGAAGAATTCTTTGACCAAATATGGGTGTGGGTGTTCCTCCCCACCACCAAGTGAGCAATCAGTACTGCAGTGGACACTGGCTGGGTGTCCTCCAGTTAAATTCTGCCACGGTCAATCTGTATTTCACAATAACACAAGAGGCCATTGAATAACATGCAAAAGGAAACACAAATGGAACCAAAATCCAGAAGCAGGAAGGACCCTGACAAGAGCAATCCCTAAGGTATTCACATGCCTGCCAGGGTCTGATGCTGCTGGTGCAGAAGGGACTGCTGCTAGCAACAGCTGAAAAAAAGAGAGGGCAGCTCTAACACTCAGTGAGCACTAAAAAAAAATTTACTCAATTATCCCTCAATGATCACACAGCCAATGTCCTTTAAACCTCTCTATAGTGTCTCACCAAGAGGAATGGCACATAATTAAATGTTGACATATGGGAGAAATAATTTATAGAAGGATAGGATCAGCTGGTTCAGGAATGGTTGGAAAAGATTTCACTAAAGAGGCAGGATTCAGGTGAGTACTTGGAAGCATTCAGCCTTAGGAAAACAGAGACAAAGAGAGACATAAACCGAGGGAATCACTGTAAGTTACCACTGTAGATGCTAGTTTTAAAGAGGATCTCAGGAATAAGAGTGGGTTTGCAGATGTTATTTTATTTATTCCTCTCAACCACAATATCTTGTTATTTCAGAGAAGGATACAAATCTTCAGAAAGGTGAAGTAACTTTCCAAGATTGGTGGTGGATCTGGGAATAGAAACTATGTGTACCTAACTCCAGAGCCCATGTCATGACCACTACCACTGACAGAGAACTGAACACAAAACTATGCTCGTGATATTATAAAAGTGAGAGAAAAAAGCATAACTGACTCCATCTTGCCTTTATATTCACAAGCTAACTGCCTTTGCTTATTTCTGTATGTAGGACAGCCTAACTGTGGGAGGAATTTAGTTTATAGTTTAACCTACCCTTCCTTATTCAGGAACAGAAACTACCTTTGAAAAATGGATGAATGTCACAAGGTTAGAATTATCAGAGTGGCCTGAATTCTGCTAAGATGTAGGCATAGTTAAACAGTAAGCAGTCATCATTCCCTACCTTGCTTGCTTTTTAAAATAATTGTTTATTGCTCAGGAGTCAGTCAGCTGATAGTCACAATATTTGTAATTTCTCCATTTGCTCCTATAGATAACATCACTATTGTGAAACTTAAGACTGGTGTTTGAGCCGCATGTTCTCACTCATGGGTTGGAATTGAACAACGAGAACACCTGGACACATGAAGGAGAGCATCACACACCGGGGCTTGTTGTGGGGTGGGGGGAGGGGGGAGGGATAGTATTAGGAGACATATCTAATGTAAATGACGAGTTAATGGGTGCAGCACACCAACATGGCACATGTATACATATGTAACAAACCTGCACGTTGTGCACATGTACCCTAGAACTTAAAGTATAATAAAAAGTATATTTAAAAAAAAAAGACTGGTGTTTGAGATATTTTTCAGACTTTTCGTTCTGGTGGAGCAACTGACACTATTTGGACCAATGACCCATACCAAGAAACTGAATCAACTGGTCCTGTGACCCTCACCCAGGAACTGAATCAGCACACAAGACAGTTTTCACACCACTGTGTTTTCATCCCTGACCCAACCAGTCAGTAGTGTCCATTTCCTAGCCACCTGCCCACCAAACAATTCTTAAAATTTCTAGTCTTCAAATTCTCAGGTAGGCAGATTTGAGAAATATCTCCTGTCTTCATTGCTTGAGCCTCCTGCAATTATTAAGCTCATTCTCTGTTGCAATACCTTCTGTCTCAGTGTGTTGGCATTTTCTGTGCAGCGGGCAAGAAAAACCCACTGGATTGTAACAGATTTGGAGCATCATTTGAGATTGCCCCTGTAGGTGCGTGGCCATGGTTTGGCAGCCCTTCACTGGTGCACTGGCCCTGGAGGTGAGCTTTCTTAAACTGAGGGCCACCTCTGGCACAATCCTTG
Source organism: Homo sapiens (assembly GCF_000001405.40). Classification (NCBI taxonomy): domain Eukaryota; kingdom Metazoa; phylum Chordata; class Mammalia; order Primates; family Hominidae; genus Homo; species Homo sapiens. The sequence continues at coordinate 41,666,111 of NC_000019.10, read as the reverse complement.
CTGGTGGGTGGATGGTCAGTCCATGGTACTTGGACTTGCTTGCAGTGGGGAAACATTTTCTGGGACTGGACGATGTCTTTTGATAAGTATTCTAAAGGCAAACAACACCCTTTTTCTTTTTCTGATCTGGTGGCCCCTGTGGAGGCATTGTGCCCCCTTGACAGATCTTGGTTGGCTCTTCCTAGGTGGTAGAAAGAGTCCTGGCGTGGGGAAATTCCTGCCCAATTGAATGGAGAATAGGAGGCTTGTTTGGAAGAATACTCCTGAAAATTTTCTTATCTGGAATTTAGGTTGGTAAGGTATTTTGATTGTCTTTGTCTTGTTTTTCCCCCATCTTTTTCTTTTCTTTTTTAACTTGTTTTATTTCCATAAGTTTTTGGGGGAACAGGTGGTATTTGGTTACATGGATAAGTTCTTTAATGGTGATTTGTGAGATTTTGTTGCACCTGTCGCCCAGACAGTATACACTGAACCCAGTTTGTAGCCTTTCATTCCTCAACCCCTTCCCACCCTTTCCTCCAAGTCCCCAAAGTCCATTGTATCATTCTTATGCCTTTGCATCCCCTTAGCTTAACTCCTACTTATGAGTGAGAACATATGATTGTTGGTTTTCCATTCCTGAGCTACTTCACTTAGAATAATAGTCACCAATTCCATTCAGGTTGCTGCAAATGCCATTAATTTATGAATGTATTCCCTTTTATGGCTGAGTAGTATTCATATATATATATAAAGAAAATATGAGATATATCTCATACTTTCTTAATCCACTCATTGATTGATGGGCATTTGAGCTGGTTCCATATTTTTTCAATTGGAAATTGCTGCTATAAATATGTGGGTGCAAGTATCTTTTTTGCATAATGATTTCTCTTCATCTGGGCAGACACCCAGTAGTGGTATTGCTGGATCAAATAGTATTTCTACTTTTAGTTCTTTAAGGAATCTCCACACTCTTTTCCATAGTGGTTGTACTAGTTTACATTCCCACCAGCAGTGTTGAAGTGTTCCCTTTTCACTGCATCCACACCAACTTCTATTATTTTTTAATTTTTTGATTATGGCCATTCTTGTGGGAGTAAGGTGGCATTGCATTATGGTTTTGACTTGTATTTGCCTGGTCATTAGTAATGTTGAACATTTTTTCACATTGGCCATTTGTATATCTTCTTTTGAGAATTGTCTATTCATGTTCTTAGCCCACTTTTTGATGGGATAGTTTGTTTTTTCTTTCTAATTTGTTTGAGATCCTTGTAGATTCTGGATATTAATCCTTTGTCAGAGGTACAGATTGTGAAGATTTTCTCTCACTCTGTGGGGTTGTCTTTTTACTCTGCTAACTATTCCTTTGGCTGTGCAAAGGCCGTTTAGTTTAATTAAGTCCCACCTATTTATCTTTGTTTTTGTTGCCTTTGCTTTTGGGTTCTTGGTCATAAAATCTTTGCCTAAGCCCATGTCTAGAAGGGCTTTTCCGATGTTATCTTTGAGAATTTTTATAGTTTCAGGTCTTAAATTTAAGTCCTTGATCCATCTTGAGTTAATTTTTGTATAAGGTGAGAGAGGAGAATCATTTCATTCTCCTACATGTGGCTTGCCAATTATCCCAGCACCATTTGTTGAATAGGGTGTCCTTTCTCCACTTCTTGTTTTTGTTTGCTTTGTCAAAGATCAGTTGGCTGTAAGTATTTGGGTTTATTTCTGGGTTCTCTATTCTGTTCCGTTGGTCTATGTGTCTACTTTTATACCAGTACAATGCTGTTTTAGTGACTATGGCCTTATAGTATAGTTTGAAATCAGATGATGTGATGCCACCAGATTTCTTCTTTTTGCTTAGTCTTACTTTGGTTACATGGGCTCTTTTTTGGTTCCATATGAATTTTCAGATTGTTTTTTCTAGTTCTGTGAAAAATGACGGTGGTATTTTGATGGTGATATGGTTTGGCTCTGTGTCCCCACCCAAATCTCATCCTGAATTGTACTCCCATAATTCCTACGTGTTGTGGGAGGCACCTGGTGGGGGGCAGTTTCTCCCATACTGTTCTCATGGTAGTGAATAAGTCTCATGAGATCTGATGGTTTGATAAGGGGAAACCCGTTTCACTTGGCTCTCATTCTCTTTTTGCCTGCTGCCATCCACATAAGATGTGACTTGCTTCTCCTTGACTTCTGCCATGATTCTGAGGCCTCTCCAGCCATGTGGAACTGCCACAGGGGCAGGGCTGCCCAAGACCATGGATACCCGTATTTTGCATCAGCATTACCTGGATGTGAGACATGCAGTCAAAGGAGATCATTTTGGAGCTTTAAGACTCGACTGCCCCCCTGGATTTTGGACTTGCATGGGCCCTGTAGCCCCTTTGTTTTGGCCAATTTCTCCCATTTGGAATGGCTGTGTTTACCCAATGCCTGTACCTCCACTGTATCTAGGAAGTAGCTAATCTGCTTTTGATTTTACAGACTCATAGGTGGAAGAGACTTGCCTTGTCTCAGTTGAGACTTTGGAATGTGGACTCTTGAGTTAATACTGAACGAGTTAAGACTTTGGGGGACTGTTGGGAAGAAATGATTAGTTTTGAAATGTGAGGACATGAGATTTGGCAGGAGCCAGTGGTGGAATAATATGGTTTGACTCTGTGTCCCTACCCAATTCTCATCTTGAATCATACTCCCATAATTCCCATGTGTTGTGGGAGGGACCCAGTGAGAGATAATTGAGTCACGGGGGCGGTTTCTTTCATACTGTTCTTGTGGTAGTGAATAAGTCTCATGATATCTGATGGTTTGATAACAGGAAACCTGTTTCTCTTGGCTCTCATTCTCTTTTTGCCTGCTGCCATCCACATAAGATGTGACTTGCTTCTCCTTGACTTCTGCCATGATTCTCCCCAGCCACGTGAAACTGTGAGTCCAATTAAAGCTCTTTCTTTTTCTTTATTTTTAAAAAATTATCCTTTAAGTTCTGGGATACATGTGCAGAACGTGAAGGTTTGTTACTTAGGTATAAATGTGTCATGGTAGTTTGCTGCACCCATCTACCCGTCATCTACATTAGGTATTTCTCCTAATGCTATCCCTCCCCTAGCCCTCCACCCCTGACAGGCTCCAGTGTGTGATGTTCCCCTCTCTGTGCCCATATGTTCTCATTGTTCAACTCCCATTTATGAGTGAAAACAAGCGTGTTTGGTTTTCTGTTCCTGTGTTGGTTTGCTGAGAATAATGGTTTCATTTCATGTCCCTGCAAAGGGCATGAACTCATTCTTTTTTATGGTTGTATAGTATTCCATGGTGTATATGTGCCACATTTTCTTTATCCAGTGTATCATTGATGGGCATTTGGGTTGGTTCCAAGTCATTGCTATGGTGAATAATGCTGCAATAAACATACGTATGCATGTGTCTTTATAGCAAAATGATTTATAATCCTTTGGGTATATACCCAATAATGGGATTGCTGGGTCAAATGGTATTTCTGGTTCTAGATCTGTGAGGAATCACCACAGTGTCTTCCACAATAGCTGAACTAATTTACATTCCCACCAACAGTGTAAAACATTCCTATTTCTCCAATCCTCTTCAGCATCTGTTGTTTCCTGACTTTTTAATGATCACCATTCTAACTGCCATGAGATAGCATCTTACTGTGGTTTTGATTTGCGTGTCTCTAATGACCAGTGATGGTTTGGCTCTGTGTCTGTTCATATGTTTTTTGGCCGCATAAATGTTGTCTTCTTTTGAGAAGTGTCTGTTCATATCCTTTGCCTACTTTTTGATGAAGTTGTTTAGTTTTTTCTTGTAAATTTATTTAAGTTCTTTGTGGATTCTGGATATTAGCCCTTTGTCAGATGGATAGATTGTAAAAATTTTCTCCCATTCTGTAGGTTGCCTGTTAATTTTGCTGATAGTTTCTTTTGCTGTGCAGAAGCTTTTAGTTTAATTAGATCCTATTTGTCAATTTTGGCTTTTGTTGCCATTACTTTTGGTGTTTTAGTCATGAAGTCTTTGCCCATGCCTGTGTCCTGAATGATATTGTCTAGGTTTTCTTCTAAGGGTTTTGTGATTTTAGTTCTTATGTTCAAGTCTTTAATCCGTCTTGAGTTAATTTTTGTATAAAGTGTAAAGAAGCGGTCCAGTTTCAGTTTCCTGCATATGTCAAAGATCAGATGGTTGTAGATGTGTAGTGTTATTTCTGAGGCCTCTGCTCTGTTCCATTCGTCTACGTATCTGTTTTGGTACCAGTACCATGCTCTTTTGGTTACTGTAGGCTTGTAGTATAGTTTGAAGTCAGGCAGCATGATGTCTCCAGCTTTGTTCATTTTGCTTAGGATTGTCTTGGCTATGTGGGATCTTTTTTGTTTCCATATGAAATTTAAAGTAGTTTTTTCTAATTCTGTGAAGAAAGTCAATGGTAGCTTGATGGGAATAGCATTGAAGCTATACACTACTTTGGGCAGTATGGCCATTTTCACGATATTGATTCTCTCTATCCATGAGCATGGAATGTTCTTCCATTTGTTTGTGTCATCTCTTATTTCTTTGAGCAGTGGATTGTAGTTCTCCTTGAAGAGGTCATTCACATCCCTTGTAAGTTGTATTCCTAGGTATTTTATTCTCTTTGTAGCAATTGTGAAGGGGAATTCACTTATGATTTGGCTCTGTTTGTCTATTATTGGTGTATAGATGTGCTTGTGATTTTTGCACATGGATTTTGTATCCTGAGACTTTGCTGAAGTTGTTTATCAAGGAGTTTTGGGGATTAGACAATGGGATTTTCTAAATATACAATTCATGTCATCTGCAAACAGAGACAATTTGACTTCCTCTCTTCTTATATAAATACCCCTTTTTTCTTTCTCTTGCTGATTTCCCTGACCAGAATTTCCAATACTATGTTGAATAGGAGTGGTGACAGAGGGCATCCTTGTCTTCTGACGGTTTTCAAAGGGAGTGTTTCCAGCTTTTGCCCATTCATTATGATACTGGCTGTGAGTTTGTCATAAACAGCTCTTATTATTTTGAGATATGTTCCATCAGTACCTAGTTTATGGAGTGTTTTTAGCATGAAGTTGTGTTGAATTTTATCAAAGGCCTTTTCCGCATCTATTGAGATAATCATGTGTTTTTTCTCACTGGTTCTGTTTATGTGATGGATTACGTTTATTGATTTGCATATGTTGAAACAGCCTTGCATCCCAGGGGTGAATCTGACTTGATCATGGTGGATAAGCTCTTTTTATGTGCTGCTGGATTCAGTTTGCCAGTATTTTATTGAGGATTTTTGCATCAATGTTTATCAGGGATATTGGCCTGAAATATTATTTTCTTGTTGTGTCTCTGCGAGGTTTTTGTATCAGGATGATGCTGGCCTCATAAAATGAGTTAGAGAGGTGTCCCTCTTTTTCTAGTGTTTGTAATAGTTTCAGAAGGAATGGTACCAGCTCGTCTTTGTACCTTTGGTAGAATTTGGCTGTGAATCCATCTGGTGCTGGGCTTTTGTTGGTTGGTAGGCTATTACTGCCTGTCTCAATTTCAGAACTTGTTATTGGTCTATTTTTTTTTTTGGTTGGTAGGCTATTAATTACTGCCTCAATTTCAGAACTTGTTATTGGTCTATTCAGGGATTTGACTTCTTCATGATTTAGTCTTGGGAGGGTGTATGTGTCCAGGAATTTATCTATTTCTTCCAGATTTTCTACTGTATTTGCATAGAGGTGTTTATAGTATTCTCTGATGGTAGTTTGTATTTCTGTGGGATCAGTGGCGATATCCCCTTTATCATTTTTTATTGTGTTTGTTTGATTCTTCTCTCTTTTCTTCTTTATTAGTCTGGATAGTGGTCTATCTATTTTGTTAATCTTTTTAAAAAACCAGCTCCTGGATTCATTGATTTTTTGAAGGGTTTTTCATGTCTCTATCTCCTTCAGTTCTGCTCTGGTCTTAGTTATTTCTTGTCTTCCACTAGCTTTTGAATGTGTTTGCTCTTGCTTCTCTAGTTCTTTTAATTGTGATGTTAGGGTGTCAATTTTAGATCTTTCCCACTTTCTCATGTGGGCATTTAGTGCTACAATTTCCCTCTAAACACTGCTTTATCTGTATCCCAGAGATTCTGGTACCTTGTGTCTTTGTTCTCATTGGTTTCAAAGAACTTATTTATTTCTGCCTTAATTTTGTTATTTACCCAGTAGTCACTCAGGAGCAGATTGTTCAGTTTCCATGTAGTTGTGCGGTTTTGAGTGAGTTTCTTAATCCTGAGTTCTAATTTGATTGCACTGTGGTCTGAGAGACTGTTTGATATGATTTCCGTTCTCTTGTATTTGCTGAGGAGTGTTTTACTTCTAATTATGTGGTCAATTTTAGAATAAGTGCTATGTGGTGCTGAGAAGAATGTATATTCTGTTGATTTGGGGTGGAGAGTTCTGTAGATGTCTATTAGGTCTGCTTGGTCCAGAGCTGAATTCAAGTCCTAAATATCCTTGTTAATTTTCTGTCTCTTTGATCTGTCTAATACTGACAGTGGGATGTTAAAGTCTTCCACCATTACTGTGTGGGAGTCTAAATCTCTTCTTAGTTATCTAAGAACTTGTTTTATGAATCTGGGTGCTCCTGTATTGGGTGCATATATATTTGGGATAGTTAGCTCTTCCTGTTGAATTGATCCCTTTACCATTATGTAATGCCTTTTTTTGCCTTTTTTGATCCTTGCTGGCTTAAAGTCTGTTTTATCAGAGACTAGGATTGCAACCCCTGCTTTTCTTTGCTTTCCATTTGCTTGGTAAATCTTTCTCCATCCCTTTATTTTGAGCCTATGTGTGTCTTTGCACGTGAGATGGGCCTCCTGAATACAGCACACCAATGGTTCTTGACTTTTTATCCAATTTGCAATCTATGTCTTTTAATTGGGGCATTCACCCCATTTACATTTAAGGTTAATATTGTTATGTGTGAATTTGAGCATGTCATATGATGTTAGCTGGTTATTTTGCCCATTAGTTGAGGCAATTTCTTCATTGTGTCAATGGTATTTACATTTTGGTTTGTTTTTGCCGTGGGTAGTACTGGTTTTTCCTTTCCATATTTAGTGTTTCCTTCAGGAGCTCCTGTAAGGCAGTCCTGGTGGTGACAAAATCCCTCAGCATTTGCTTCTCTGTAGAGGATTTTATTTCTCCTTCACTTATGAAGCTTAGTTTGGTCAGATATGAAATTCTGGGTTGAAAATTCTTTTCTTTAAGAATGTTGAATATTAGCCCCCACTCTCTTCTGGCTTGTAGGGTTTCTGCAGATAGATTTACTGTTAGTCTAATGGGCTTCCCTTTGTGGGTAACCCGACCTTTCTCTCTGGCTGCCCTTAACATTTTTTCTTTCATTTCAACCTTGGTGAATCTGACAGTTATGTGTCTTGGGGTTGCTCTTCTCAAGGAGTATCTTAGTGGTGTTCTCTGTATTTCCTGAATTTCAATGTTGGTCTGTCTTGCTAGGTTGGGGAAGTTCTCCTGGATAATATCCTGAAGTGTGTTTTCCAACTTGGTCCCATTCTCCCCTATCACATTAAGGTACACCAATCAAACATAGGTTTGGTCTTTTCACATAGTCCCATATTTCTTGGAGGCTTTGTTGATTCCTTTCATTCTTTTTTCTCTAATCTTGTATTCACACTTTATTTCATTAAGTTCATCTTCAATCTCTAATATCCTTTCTTCCACTTGATCGATTCAGCTATTGATACTTGTATACGTTTCATGAAGTTCTCATGCTGTGTTTTTCAGCTCCATCAGATTATTCATGTTCTTCTCTAAACTGGTTATTCAAGTTAGCAGTTCCTGTAACCTTTTATCAAGAGTCTTTGCTTCCTTGCATTGAGTTAGAACATGCTCCTTTAGCTTAGAGGAGTTTGTTATTACTCACCTTCTGAAGTCTACTTCTGTCAATTTGTCAAACTCGTTCTCTGTCCAGTTTTGTTCCCTTGTTGTGATCCTTTGGAGGAGAAGAGGTATTCTGATTTTTGGAATTTTTAGCCTTTTTGTGCTGGTTTATCCTCATCTTTGCGGATTTATCTACCTTTGGTCTTTGATGTTGGTGACCTTTGGATGGGGTTTTTGCTTGGGCATCCTTTCTGTTGATGTTGATATTATTACTTTCTGTTTGTTAGTTTTCCTTCTAATGGTCAGCCCCCTCTTCCGCAGGTCTGCTGGAGTTTGCTGGAGGTCCACTCCACACCCTGTTTGTCTGGGTATCACCAGTGGAGCCTGCATAACAGCAAAGATTGCTGCCTGCTCCTTCCTCTGGAAACTTCATCCCAGAGGGGCACTCACCAGGTGCCAGCCAGAGCTCTCCTGTATGAGGTCTCAGTAAACTCCTGTTGGAAAGTGTCTCCCAGTCAGGTGGCACGGGTGTCAGGGACCTGCTTGAGGAGGCAGTCTGTCCCTTAGCAGAGTTCAAGTGCTGTGTTGGGAGATCTGCTGCTCTCTTCAGAGCTGGTAGGCAGGAACGTTTAAGTCTGCTGAAGCTGTGCCCACAGCCATCCCTTCCCCCAGGTGTTGTTTCCCAGGGAGATGGGAGTTTTATCTATAAGCTTCTGACTGGGGCTGCTGCCTTTCTTTTAGAGATGTCCTGCCCAGAGAGGAGAAATCTAGAGAGCCAGTCTGGCTACAGTGGCTTTGCCATGCTGCTGTGGGTTCTGCACCCAGTTTGAACTTCCTGGAGGCTTTGTTTACACTGTGAGGGGAAAACCATCTACTCAAGCCTCACTAATGGTGGACGCCCCTCCCCCCACCAAGTTCAAGCTTCCCACATAGACTTCAGACTGCTGTGCTGGCAGCGAGAATTTCAAGCCCATTGATCTTAACTTGCTGGGCTCTGTGGGGGTGGACTCCACTGAGCAAGACCACTCAGCTGCCTCACTTAAGCTCCCTTTCCAGGGGAGTAAATGGTACTGTCTCTCTGGTGTTCCAGGTGCCACTGGGGTACAATAAAAACTCCTGCAGGTAGCTATTGTCTGCCCAAACAGCCGCTTAGTTTTGTGCTTGAAACCCAGGGCCCTGATGGTGTAGGCACCCAAGGGAATCTCCTGGCCTGTGGATTGCAAGGACCGTGTGAAAAGCACAGTATATGGGCCAGATAACACCATCCTCACAGCACAGCCTTTCATGGCTTCCCTTGGCTAGGGGAGGGAGTTCCCCAACCCCTTGTGCTTCCTGGGTGAGGTCATGCCCCACTTTGCTTCTGCTCACCTTTCATGGGCTGCACCCACTGCCTAACCAGTCCCAATGAGATGAGCTGGGTACCTCAGTTGGAAATGCAGAATCACCCACCTTCTGCATTGGTCTCACTGGGAGCTGCAGACCAGAGCTGTTCCTATTTGGCCACCTTGCCATACCCTCAATTAAACCTCTTTCTTTTGTAAATTGCCTAGTCTCAGGTATGTCTTTATCAGCAGCATGAAAATGGACTAATACAGATAGGAATTGCATTGAATTTGTAAGTTGCTTTTGGCAGTATGGTCATTTTCCCAATATTGATTCTATCTATGCATGGGCATGGGATGTGTTTCCATTTGTTTGTGTCATCTATGATTTCCTTCAGCAGTGTTTTGTAGTTTTCCTTTTACAGATATTTCACCTCCTTGGTTAGGTATATTCCTAAGTATTTTATTTTATTTTATTTTTGCAGTTATTGTAAAAGGGGTTGAGTTCTTGATTCAATTCTCAGCTTGGTCACTGTTGATGTATCAGAACTACTGATTTATGTACATAAATTTTGTAACCTGAAACTTTGCTGAATTCATTTATCAGTTCTAGAAGCTTTTTGAAGGAGTCTTGATGGTTTGCTAGATGTACAATTAAATCATCAGCAAACAGTGACAGTTTGATTTCCTCTTTATTGATTTGAATGCCCTTTATTTTTTTCTCTTGTCTGATTGCTCTGGATAGGACTTCCAGTACTATGTTTAGTAGAAGTGGTGAGAGTGGGCATCATTGTCCTGTTCCAGTTCTCAGAGGGAATGCTTTCAACTTTTTCCCATTCAGTTTTATGTTGGCTGTGGCTTTGTCATAAATGGCTTTTACTACATTGTGGTATGTCCCTTGTATGCCGATTTTGATGAGGATTTTAATCATAAAGCAATGCTGGATTTTGTCAAATGCTTTTTCTGCATCTATTGAGATGATCATGTAATTTTTGTTTTTAATTCTGTTTATGTGATGCATCACATTTATTGACTTGTGAATGTTAAACCATCCCTGCATCCCTGGTATGAAACCCCCTCGATCATGATAGATTATATCTTTTTGATAAGCTGTTGGATTTGGTTAGCTAGTATTTTGTTAAGAATTTTTGCATTTATGTTCATCAGAGATATTGGTCTGTAGTTTTTTTTTTTTTTTGGTTGTTGTTATGTCCTTTCCTGGTTTTGGTATTGGGGTGATACTGGCTTCACAGAATAATTTAGGGAGGATTGCCTCCTTCTCTATCTTGTGGAAAAGTGTCAGTAGGATTTACACCAATTATTCTTTGAATACCTGGTATAATTGTGCTGTGAATCTGTTTGGTCCTGGACTTTTTTTTTTGTTGGTAATTTTTTGGTTACCATTTCAATCTTGCTGCTTGTTACTGGTCTGCTCAGGGTTTCTAACTCTTTCTAATTTAAGCTAGGAAGGTTGCATCTTTTCAGGAATTTATCCACCTTTTCTAGGTTTTCTAGTTTATGCACATAAAGGTGCTCATAGTAGCCTTGAATGATCTTTTGTATTTCTGTGGTGTCAGTTGTAATATCTTCTGTTTTATTTCTAATTGAGCTTATTTGGATCTTCTCTCTTCTTTTCTTGGTTAATCTTGCTAATGGCCTATCAATTTTATTTAACTTTTCAAAGAACCACGTTTTGTTTTATTCATCTTTTGTGTTTCTGTTTGTTTGTTTCAATTTCATTTATTTCTGCTCAGATCCTGGGAGACTTGTTTTGTGGCCTATCATATGGTCTATCTTGGAGAACGTTCCACATACTGGTGAATTGAATGTATATTCTGTGGTTGTTGGGTAGAATGTTCTGTAAATATCTGTTAAGTCCATTTGTTCCAGGGTATAGTTTAAATCCATTGTTTCTTTGTTGACTTTTGGTCCAGATAACTGGTCTAGTGCTGAAAGTGGAGTATTGAGGTCCCCACTATTATTGTGTTGCTGTATCTCTCATTTCTTAGGTTTAGTAGTAATTGTTTTATAAATTTGGGAACATAAATTTAGGTGCATATATATTTAAGATTGTGATGTTTTCCTGTTGGATAAGGTCTTTTATCATCATATAATGTCCCTTTTTGTCTTTTTTAACTGCTGTTGCCTTAATGTTTGTTTTGTCTGATATAAGAATAGCTACTCCTGCTTGCTTTTCATGTCCATTTGCATGGAATGTCTTTTCCCACCCCTTTACCTTAAGTTTATGTGAGTCCTTGTGTGTTAGGTGAGTCTTTTGAAAGCAGCAGATACTTGGTTGGTAAATTTTTATCAATTCTACAATTCTGTGTCTTTTAAGTGGAGCATTTAGGTCATTTACATTCAATGTTAGTATTGAGATTTAGAATTTTTTTAACTGTATTTTTGTTTTATAGGTCTTGTGAGATTTGTTTCAAAGACATTCTGTTTTGATGTGTTTCCAGGATTTATTTCAAGATTTAGAGCTCCTTTTTAGCAGTTCTTGTAGTGGTGGCTAGGTAGTGTCAAATTCTTTCAGCATTTGTTTGTCTGAAAAAGACTGTATCTTTTCTTTATTTATGAGGCTTAGTTTTGCTGGATACAAAATTCTTGGCTGATAATTGTCTTTTTTTTAAGGAGGCTGAAGATAGGGCCCCAATTCCTTCTAGCTTGTAGGGTTTCTGCTGAGAAATCTGCTGTTAATCTGATGGGTTTTCTTTTATAGGTTACCTGGTGCTTTTGCCTCGCTGCTCTTAAGATTCTTTATCTTGACTTTAGATAACCTGATGACAATGTGCCTAGGTGATGATCTTTTTGCATTGAATTTCCCAGGTGTTCTTTAAGCTTCTTGTATTTGGATGTGTAGGTCTCTAGGAAGGCCAGGGAAGTTTTTCTTGTTTATTTCCCCATATATGTTTTCCAAACTTTTAGATTTCTTTTCTTCCTCAGGAATACCAATTATTCTGAGGTTTGGTTGTATAACACAATACCAAGTTTCTTGGAGGATTTATTCATTTTTTAAATTCTTTTTTCTTGTGTTTGTTGGATTGCATTAATTTGAAAACCTCATCCTTGATATCTGAAGTTCTTTCTTCTGCTTGTTCAATTCTATTGCTGAGACTTTTCAGTACATTTTACATTTCTCTAAGAGTCTTCTTTATTTCCTGAAGTTTTTATTGTTTTTCATTTATGCTATCTGTTGCACTGACAATTTCTCCTCTCATATCTTGTGTCATTTTTTTGGATTTCCTTGAATTAGACTTCACCTTTATCTGGTGCCTCCTTGATTAGCTTAATAATCTATAGTCTGAATTCTTTTTCAGGCAAATCAGGGATTTCTTCTTGGTATGGATCCATTTTTGGTGAGCTAGTGTGATTTTTTTTTTTTGGAGGGGGGTGTTAAAGAACCTTGTTTTGCCATGTTACCAGAGTTGTTTTTCTGTTTTTCTTTTTTTGTTTTTTTGTTTTTTTTTCATTTGGGTAGGCTATGTCAGAGGAAAGATCTGGGACTCAAGGCTGCTGTTCAGATTCTTTAGCCCCACAGGGTGTTCCCTTGATGTAGTACTCTCCCCCTTTTCTGAGGGATATGGCTTCCTGAGAGCTGAATTTTAGTGATTGTTATTTCTCTTCAGGATCTAGCCACCTAGCAAGGCTACCAGGCTCCAGGCTGGTACTGGGAGTGTCTGCACAGAGACCTATGATGTAAATCATCTTCAGATCTCTCATCCATGGATACCAGCACAGTATTTGGGCTGTCTCCTGGGTCCTGCCGGAGCAATCTGCTTCTTTCAGAGGATCTGTGGATTCTCTCAGCTTTCCTGGTATATTCCTGCAATAGTTCTGGAGCAAGAGTTCACAATGTGATTCTACACACCACTCTGTCCCTCTGAGCTGGAGTTGCAATGTAGTCCTGCTTCCTGTCCACCATCTTCCCACAAATACCTTTTAGTGACAGATAATATCTAGGGAAATTTTTAATTCTGGCATGAAGAGCCCAAGTGGAAAACATGAAAATCAATATATAGTTGAGAATCTCTTCTTTCAGATTCAAATCCTGCTTGGCTCCTTACATGTACATCTCCTAGCACATGAGGTATAATGCAGTGTGATCAGAACTGTCATAGGAGATAGCTCCACACCTCTGGGATAGCTGCCGGGAATTGGGACAGCTGAAGAACATGGAGCTGGAGCTGAAGCTGATGGCTCCTCAGTGGCTGAGGATGTGCTGGAGGACAGTCCTGTCCAGGGGCAGCACCGGCAGCATTTTGGGGCATCCCCTTGAGTGCTAAACTCTTGTGTTTCAGCGCGCTGAGGGTGTGGGGTGGGCTCAGCCCACCCAAGAGGTGCTGCTCTGGCTTGCTGACCACAGAAACCCAAAGCTCGCAGTGCACTCGCTGCCTTCAGCCCTGACCATGGGGTCACTGCAGGTTTTTCCCTCCCTTCTTGAATTTGTATTCATCTGTCTTTGTCTTGTTATGTACATTTATGTTTATGGAGGGGATTCCCTGAAGGGCTTGTTATCAGAAGCTCAGCAGGCCTAACTCTGGGAGCTGTTTATCTGGGTAGTCACATTTGGTGAACTCTGAAGGAATCGCTAGTGGAAACTCAGCCAGCCTAACTCAGGGTGACAGTCACTTTCCCATCTTTCCCAGAGACTACCCATTGAACTCCTGGTCAGAGGTTATATCTTCATACCCTGAATGGATCAAAGATGATAGGGGCCAACAAGGGCAAGTTTGAGCTTTGTCAGGTTGATACATGGGTGCTGAGTTGGGTGACTAGTGTCTGTGTTTTGTTATGTGTATATCACTTCAGCCAGAATGGGAAATGTTAATTTGGCTCTCCTGTGCAGCCCATTGGGCTGCATCTTGCAAAATTGGGAGGCCTTTTGCTTATGATTCCATGAAGTGGAAAAGGATGATTTTCTTTTATAACATGGCTTGACCCCAACTCTGGTCTTCTGGAAGCCACAGACAAAGGGAATCCAGGAAGCTGACAAGCTGGCAAAAGGGTAGGAATAACTGTTTGTCTCCTCTATAATGTTTTAATTAATTTAAAAATTTAGAAAAAAATCTTCTGTAAGCTGAACACTGCCTGCTCTAGATTACTTCTGGGAATAGCAATGGAGACTGCCCTACACTGTAGCTCAGTGGCTAAGGTTTGCCCTCTCACTGCAGTGGACTGGGTTTGATGTCTGGCTCAGGCAGATTTTTCTGGTTTGATATCTCTGTGACTTTTGCCATTTATTGATCTTATCCCCTTTCATGGACAGCTTCTGATTCCCTGTCTTGAATTTTCCTTTCAGTGAGCTATCTTTGGAATGAGCAGCCTGCATTCAGAAATTGAAGTTGACTTATAGAGCCAATAAAAGCCCCTTGGAAGAGCTGGTCTTGTACCTTGTCTATGCAGTTCCTTTACAGGATTTCTGATGTGAAGTAAGTAAAGAATGCCACTTTCTGATAGGCCAGGAACCCCAAGTTACTTTGGGACCTTGCAAAGAGAGGAATTCATCCAGTTCATACAGGTATCTGCAGGCTCTATTAGGATGAGCCCACCTGTGTCTCAATAGCCTGCATATCAAGGGCTCCTGCTTACCGGGACATTTTGTAACTCCCTTCTCAGCCTATCTTCATGGTGATAAATTCCACTGATTTCCCCATAGAACAAAACGAGGACTTCAGGCAGACATCAAGATACCTGGTGGCAGAGCCTTCTAGGGATATTTGTTCCTAGTTATGGTGTTTATGGCAACAGAGACATGATCAGGAACCTGTCTGCTACCTTCGGATTGATTGTCTAGAAGAAACTGCAAAAACCCTTAGGGTTCAACAAAGTTCCTTCAGTTTGCTAGCTCACGTAGTCCTAGACAATCTGTTGGTGCTTGATTTCCTGTTGGCTAGACAAAGGGGAATTTGTGCAATATGAAACACCACTTGTTGCACCTATATAAACACCTCAGGAGAAGTTGAAATCTGGATAGAAAGAAATTCCCAAGAAACTTCATGGTTACAGCAGGTCTTTACCGGTGACCCCATGTCTGATTGGTTCTCGGTGTTATTTATCTGGATGCCTTAAAATTTCAGATCAGTTCCACAAGAACTCTTGAGACTTGGGCTTTCACTCTTTATATTAGGGCTCAACACTTACAGTCTGCTGTTCACTTAAGTACTGTGCTGCGGCTGGGGATGTGAATACTAATATCCTTGTCATGCAAAACTTGGGTCCCCAACCAGGCATTCGTGAATATAGGAAGACGACAGCAAGACAGTTTCATTTCTCCTATCCTGGAATAAACCCCAATGATGCCCCCTATCATCAGGAAGAAGTTAGAGTGGTTATCAACCCCTTCCATCTCATCATCTGCTCACACCTCAGGAATAAGGAATGCTTAAGCCCAGGGGGAACTGAAACCACCCTTGGAAAATTTTAATAGTGAGAGAAATCCAATGTAACTGGCTCCATCTTGCTTCTAACTTCACAAACTATCCACCTTTGCTTATTCCTGTACATAGGCCAGCCTAACTATAGAAGGAATTTATAGTTTAACTAATCCCCTTCTTGTTCTGGAATTGAAACCAACTTTGTAAAACAAATGAAATGTTGCAAGGTTAGAATTATGGTAGGGGCCTGAATTTAGCTAAGATATAGGCAGAGTTAAACAGCAAACAGTCATTGTTCCCCATCTTTTTTTTTGTTTTTATAATTACCTGCTGCTCAGGAGTCACGTAGCCAGTGGGCACAAGATTTATATGTTCTTTAATTGCTCCTATAGATTATATTGCTATTGTGAAATTTAAGGCTGGAGTTTGAGATATTGTTTAGACTTTGCATTCTGGTGGATCAATTGACACCACCCAGACTGTTGACCTACACTAAGAAACTGACTCAACTGGTCCTGTGAGCTCCACCCAGGAACTTACTCAGTGCACAAGACAATTTTGACACCCGATGATTTCATTTCCAGCCCAACCAATCAGCCGTGTCCATTTCCTAGTCCCCTGCTCTCCAAACACTCCTTTAAAACCCTAGTCTCCAAATTCTTGGGGAGGCAGATTTGAAAAATATCTCCCATCCTCTTTGCTTGGCCATCTTGCAAGTATTAAACTCTCTGCTGCAACACCTTCTGTCTTATTTTTTTGTTTGAGGAATTTTATCTCCTACATTTCTGGAAAGCACATCGTCTAATCTGTTACTTAACAGTAAGGCCAGCATCACCTCACCTGCTCTTGCCCTCAGATGGAAACACTGACCTGGGACTAAAGTGCAGACCACCGGGCTGAGTACCCTGGCCTGAGCCATCCCCAGAGATCAGGAGCCTCCAACCGGGAAACTTCCATACAGTCTTCAAATGACTTACAGCTGCACCAACAATCACAATGAAAGTTCTAATCTCTTTCCTCCTTCTGTTGCTGCCACTAATGCTAATGACCATGGTCTCTAGCAGCCCAAGTCCAGGTGGATAAGATTAATTGCCTATGAATGGAAAAAAGGGAGGAGAAAATGTGGCATAGTGGGCCACACATGCATCAAAATGTAGCTTCTTTCAGCTACAGGGGATTAGGGCAAGTTAGTCTTTTCCAGTGCCAGCTTCCTCCTTTATCAAAAGAAGTAAACTGTACTTATATACAAACGGTGTCAAGAGAGTTAAGATACTGTATGGGAAAGTGTCCACAACGGTAGCTGGCAAATACACACACACACACACACACACACACACACACACACACGCTAGCTCAACAAATATTTGCTCTCTTGCCTTCTCCTCTAACCCCTTTTCCAGAAGAGTAATGCATTTCTCTGGGGCCAAACATGGTGGCAGAGGTGGGAGGTTGTTAAAGGCAACTGTACATGTATAGAAGGTCAGGAAATCCTTACTTATAGTCTTTACAGTGTACCATACATGCCACAAACATGTCTTAATGCTATTTAATGGTAAAGTAATAAACTAGAAAAATCCTGTCACCAGGTAGTGTCCATATTTGCAACTTTATCCATAGCAAGTCCTGCTGTAGCAACTCACCTTTAGGGTAGCAAACCTTTGCTTAGGGGCTTCAAGTCTGCTCTGGGTTTTCAGTATAAAGTGGCCCAGGCTTTCACAGAGCAACCACGCAGAAGAGAGCTCACCCCATGTAAATTTTCACTTGGGAACACCATCTACCCAAGGGCCACTTTGATGTGAAATGGGTTTGTCACATACTCAGCATGAAATTGGTCCTAAAATCAGGAGATGTTCACCCTCCTACACTACAATTTCCAATGTCCCCTCCTTTGTAGAGAGAGCACTCGGGAAACTGCTGAGCCCCGTAGCCCTACGGTCTAGACAACCATTCTGAGAGGAAAGGCTTTTCCATCTCTGTGACAGACACCCAGGCTTGAGTCCTTAGCCTGGACTCAAAGCTCTAGCCCCAACCTGCTTTTCCAGCATTTCCCTCTCTACTCAATAAAAAAATACTCTCTCCCCACCCAAACTAGACTTTTTGCCCTTCCCTGAACAGGTCTTGTGTTTTCCCATCAGCTCAACTTTGCTCACACACCCAGCTCAAAACCACCTTTCCACAGCTTCCCTCAGTTTCTCCCACAGCCAGACATGTGGTCTCCCTCCTGAGAGCTGGCCTAGCCCTACTGGACACTCTGTTCTTGACACTTATCATCTGCTGCCTTATGTTGAAGGCCTTCATGCGCCTCTCCTGCCTCCAACCCCTGACCTTCTAGGCTGCAGCCTCCTTGGCAGCACAAAGTGGTGCACTGTTTCCATATCCCTCACGTTGTCCAGCTCAGTACTTGGCAAACATTAGCTAACTGCAAGAATGCATCTTCAGGTTTCTAAGTCCAACCAGGGCTTCATAGCAGTTCTGCTGATATTTGGGCTGAACAATTGCTTGTGGTGGGGGCTGTTCTGTGCCTTGTGCATTGTTCAGCAGCATCCACGTGGCCTTTCTTCACTAGATGCCAATAGCAGCCTTCCATCTCTCCCATCCCCACCCCTGTTATGAAAACTAAAAATATCTCCAGACATTGCCAACTGTCTCTGTGGGGGAAACCACCCCCAATTGACAACACCTGCTCTACACCAATACTTCTCTACCTGGATACACATTTAGATTCACCTAGACATTTATACTCAGCCTGGAAGTCAGGGGGACCTAGGTCCAAATTCTGGCTCTGCCACTCCCTTTGCAACCCTGGGCAAGTTGCTTTACTCTTTTGAACCTCAGTTTTATCATCTTAAGAGGATTAAATACTCCTTCTTAGCCAGCTTTGGTGGCTCAAGCTTGTAACCCCAGCACTTTGGGAGGCTGAAACAGGAGGAGCACTTGAAGCTAGGCATTTGAGACCAGCCCTGGCAACAAAGTGAGACCCTGTCTCTAGAAAATTTTTTAAAAAATTAGCCAGGTGCGGTGGTGTGCCCTTGAGGTTCCAGCTACTGGAAGGCGGAGGCAGAGGGTTATATGAACTGGAGGTGGTTGAGGCTGCGGTGAGCATAGTTGCACCATTGCACTCCAGCCTGGATGACAGAGCGAGGCCCTGTCAAAATAAATTAATAAATAATAAATAAAATAAATGTTAAAAATACCACTTCTTACAGAGACATGTTGTGAAGATTAAAGGATCCACAATGTGAGCTAGAAAGCGTTCAAGGAATAGACTGAGTGGAATTTCTAAAGTCGCTCCTACCAACTTAAGTGCCCCTCAACCAACAAGTGGATAAAGAAAAGGTGGTATATATACAACATGGACTACTAACTCAGCCATAAAAAGGAAAGAAATTATGGTCTTTTGCAGCAACTCGAATGGAGCTGGAGGCCATTATTCTAAGAAACTCAGGAATGGAAAAACAAATATCACATGTTCTCAATTATAAGTGGGAACTAAACTATGAGAATGCAAAGGCATCGGGATAATGTAATGGACTTTGGGGACTTAGCGGGAAGGGGTGGGAGAAGGGTGAGGGATTAAAGACTACACATTGGGTACAGTGTACACAGCTTGGGTGATGGGTGCACCAAAATATCAGAAATGACCACTAAAGAACTTATCCATGTAACCAAAAACTATTGAACTAACAATATATAAAATAAAATAAAATAAAATAAAATATCGCTCCTAAAGCACGAGGTTGAGGAACCGGAAAGCTCGCTGCGCCGCCAGGGGGCGCCATCACAAACCGCGTGGGGTGGGTGGCAGCCTGGCTCAAGCTTTGTTTCTCAGCCAAGCAAAGTTTTGCAATCCGGCCTGAATTTCAGCTACTGTTAGTGGCTAAAGGAAATAATAGCTCCTCTATCCCTAAAATAATTCTCAAAATAAAATCTAATCTTATTTTATGTCTTTTTTTTTTGAAACGGAGCCTTGCTCTGTTGTCCAGGCTGGAGTGCAGAGGTGCCATCTCTGTTCACTGCAACCTCAGTCTCCCATGTTCAAGCGATTCTCCCTCCTCAGCCTCCCAAGTAGCTGGGATTACAGGTACGCGCCTACCACACCCGCTAATTTTTGTATTTTTAGTAGAGGCGAGGTTTCACCATGTTGGCCAGGCTGGTCTCCAACACCTGACCTCAAGTGATCCGCCTGCCTTGGCCTCCCAAAGCACTGGGATTACAGGTGTGAGCCACCACGTCAGACCTAATCTTATATCTTTTTTTTTTTTTTTTTTAAAGGACATATCATATTTATTCATACACATGCTGGAATTATTGGTGCAGACATTTAAATACATTTTCTTTGAGAAAGTCCTTTTTTTTTTTTTTTTTTTTGATGGAGTTTCCCTCTTGTTGCCCAGGCTGGAGTGCAATGGTGCAATCTCAGCTCACAACAACCTCTGCCTCCTGGGTTCAAGCAATTCTCCTGCCTCAGCCTCCCAAGTAGCTGGGATTACAGGCATGCACCACCACGCCCAGCTAATGTTTTTTATTTTTAGTAGAGACGGGGTTTCTCCGTGTTGGTCAGGCTGGTCTTGAACTCCTGATCTCAGGTGATCTGCCCGCCTTGGCCTGCCACAGTGCTGGGATTACAGTCGTGAGCCACCACAGCTGGCCTGGGAAAGTCCATTCTTTTTTTTTTTTTTTTTTTTTTTTAATTTATTTTTTTATTGATAATTCTTGGGTGTTTCTCACAGAGGGGGATTTGGCAGGGTCATGGGACAATAGTGGAGGGAAGGTCAGCAGATAAACAAGTGAACAAAGGTCTCTGGTTTTCCTAGGCAGAGGACCCTGCGGCCTTCCGCAGTGTTTGTGTCCCTGATTACTTGAGATTAGGGATTGGTGATGACTCTTAACGAGCATGCTGCCTTCAAGCATCTGTTTAACAAAGCACATCTTGCACCGCCCTTAATCCATTTAACCCTGAGTGGACACAGCACATGTTTCAGAGAGCACAGGGTTGGGGGTAAGGTCACAGATCAACAGGATCCCAAGGCAGAGGAATTTTTCTTAGTGCAGAACAAAATGAAAAGTCTCCCATGTCTACTTCTTTCTACACAGACACGGCAACCATCCGATTTCTCAATCTTTTCCCCACCTTTCCCGCCTTTCTATTCCACAAAGCCGCCATTGTCATCCTGGCCCGTTCTCAATGAGCTGTTGGGCACACCTCCCAGACGGGGTGGTGGCCGGGCAGAGGGGCTCCTCACTTCCCAGTAGGGGCGGCCGGGCAGAGGCGCCCCTCACCTCCCGGACGGGGCGGCTGGCCGGGCGGGGGGCCGACCCCCCCACCTCCCTCCCGGACGGGGCGGCTGGCCGGGCGGGGGGCCGACCCCCCCACCTCCCTCCCGGACGGGGCGGCTGGCTGGGCGGGGGGCCGACCCCCCCACCTCCCTCCCGGACGGGGCGGCTGGCCGGGCAGAGGGGCTCCTCACTTCCCAGTAGGGGCGGCCGGGCAGAGGCGCCCCTCACCTCCCGGACAGGGCGGCTGGCTGGGCGGGGGGGCTGACCCCCCCCTCATCCTCCCTCCCGGACGGGGCGGCTGGCCGGGCAGAGGGGCTCCTCACTTCCCAGTAGGGGCGGCTGGGCAGAGGCGCCCCTCACCTCCCAGACGGGGCGGCTGGCCGGGCGGAGGGCTGACCCCCCCACCTCCCTCCCGGACGGGGCGGCTGGCCAGGCGGGGGGCTGACCCCCCTACCTCCCTACCGGACGGGGCGGCTGGCCGGGTGGGGGGGGCCCCCCCCCACCTCCCTCCCAGATGGGGTGGCTGCTGGGCGGAGAGGCTCCTCACTTCTCAGACGGGGCAGCTGCCGGGCGGAGGGGCTCCTCACTTCTCAGACGGGGTGGTTGCCAGGCAGAGGGTCTCCTCACTTCTCAGACGGGGCGGCCAGGCAGAGACGCTCCTCACCTCCCAGACGGGGTCTCGGCCGGGCAGAGGCGCTCCTCACATCCCAGATGGGGCGGCGGGGCAGAGGCGCTCCCCACATCTCAGATGATGGGCGGCCGGGCAGAGACGCTCCTCACTTCCTAGATGTGATGGCGGCTGGGAAGAGGCGCTCCTCACTTCCTAGATGGGATGGCGGCCGGGCGGAGACGCTCCTCACTTTCCAGACTGGGCAGCCAGGCAGAGGGGCTCCTCACATCCCAGACGATGGGCAGCCAGGCAGAGACACTCCTCACTTCCCAGACGGGGTGGCAGCCGGGCAGAGGCTGCAATCTCGGCACTTTGGGAGGCCAAGGCAGGCGGCTGCTCCTTGCCCTCGGGCCCCGCGGGGCCCGTCCGCTCCTCCAGCCGCTGCCTCCCGGGCGGCGCTCGCCGGCGCGGCGGCAAAGACTGAGACAGCTCCGCTGCCCGCTGAACTCCATCCTCCCGGCGGTCGGGCGGCGGCGGCTGCGGTCGGTCGCGGCGGCGGCTGCGGTCGGTCGCGGCAGCGGCTGCGGTCGGTCGCGGCAGCGGCTCCGCTTCATATCTGCAGCTGGGGCCCGCGGGCGTCAGCGCCGCGACTGTCCTGGCTCCGCACTGCCCCGGGCCGCAGCGCAGCCGCGCCAACCACCAGCCGCGGCCACCATGGCCAGACGGGCTCCCTAAGCCACCGACCCCAGCCCGCGGCGCCTTCGACCCTTCTGGGGCCTCCGGCGCCGCGACCTCCTCTAATCTTATATCTTAAAATAACCAAGTACATGCTCTATATGGATTTAACAGCAGAGAGGAAAAAAATATGAGAATATATGAGGACATTAGGAAATAAATTACTTATAATAACAGATTACTCTTTCCTTATAACATTACTTATTAATTATAAAAGTACTTATAATAATAGCTGACATGTTAAGAACTCCTATGTCACAAGCATTGTTCTAAGCACTATACACTCATTTTGGCCTCACAGAAATCTAAAGCATTTTTAAAATTTTGACTTTTCATTTATCACGTTTATTTATTTAATCTAATTAAATTAATTAATTAATTAATTAATTATTTTGAGATGGAGTCCTGCTCTGTCGCCCAGGCTGGAGTGCAGTGGCGTGATCTCGGCTCACTGCAAGCTCTGCCTCCCGGGTTCACGTCATTCTCCTGCCTCAGCCTCCCGAGTAGCTGGGACTACAGGCGCCCGCCACCACGCCCGGCTAACTTTTTGTATATTTAGTAGAGATGGGGTTTCACCGTGTTAGCCAGGATGGTCTCGATCTCCTGAACTCGTGATCCGCCCACCTCGGCCTCCCAAAGTGCTGGGATTACAGGCGTGAGCCACCACACCCGGCCTCATTTATCATGTTTATTTTTAAACATTCAAAAATCTTTAAAAATAGGGTTCCAGTTTATCCTTTATCCAGCTTTTTTTTTCAAATAACATCTTCTATAACTAATATAATTGTTCATATCAGGGAACTAGCATTGGTGCAATAACATTAACCAAGGGGATCTACAAATATTCAAATTTTGCTAATCATCCCACTCATGTCCTTTTTCTGCTCCCAAATCCAATCCAAGATCTGACACTGAATAACACTGTCACATCTCCTAGGCCTCCTCCAACCTGGGGGAGTTTCCCACTCTTTCCCTCTCTCAGGACCTTGACACTTTTGAGGAGGTCTGGTCAGTTGTTTTGTAGAATGCCTCTCAATTTGGGTTTGTCTCCTGTTTCCTTGGGATGTTTTAGGTTATGCATTTTGGGTAAGATTAGCACAGAAGTGATGTGTCTTTCTCAGGACATCCCACCTGGAGCCCCAGGATGTCCATATCTCTCATTACCGATGAGGTTCACTTTAAGCGCTTGGTTCAGGTGGTGTTTGCCAGGTTTCTCTACTATAAAGTTACTATTCATCTCATTGTAATTAATAAGTATCTTGTGGACAGATACTTTGGGAACAAACCAGTAGCCTGTTTCTTCTCACCTTACTTCCCCTGACCCCTCCTTCATACTCAATAGTTACAGCATCATCTTACCTTTACCCATTAATTTTTAGAATCTGTGGATGGTTCTTGATTCTGGCCTATAAACAATTATTACTGTGGTGTTAGCCAAATAGTGATTTTTTATTTCCATAATTCCTTCTACATTTATTAATTGGAATTCTGCTATAAGAAAGAGCTATTTCTTCTTCCTTATTTATTTCTTTGTTCAATTATTTATATCAGCATGGACTCATGGATATTTATGGGTTGGAATCCATTGCTATCATTATTATGTTGCTCATGTTGTCCCAAAATTGGTAATTCTAAGCTCCCTGTAATCTTTTGAAACATTCCCATAATTTTTCGAGTGGTTCCTTACTTTCTGGCCTCACAAAAAGCTCCGGGCTTCTCTTGTGCTTTCCTGCCCCAGCCCTGGATCAGCTATTTCTCCAGGGAGCCCTGGTTCCTTTCATGGGAGAATGATGTTGGTAAACCATGGGCACCGACACATCCATTGCCAGTGGGTGCCGATGCTCCTACGCCCTCTAGTGGTCAGAGCTGGGAAATAACACTCACACTAGTGTACTGGTAAACCCCACATTTTACAAATTAGGTAAATGAGGAAAAGTTAGGCAACTTGATCAAAATCACAGAGCACATAGGTAGTGGAACTGGGAAATGAAAACAATGGCAGACGCACCACAAGTCCTAACAAGTGGAAGTAACTCTTTCTTTTCTCTCTCTCTTTCTTTTCTTTTTCATTGACAGAGTCTTGCTCCGTCATCCAAGCTGGAGTGCAGTGGTGCAATCATAGCTCACTGCAACCTCCACCTCCTGACTGAAGCAAATCTTATTCCTAACAGCTTGCAAAGTGGATTTTATCATCATCATTTTAAAAATTATGGAATCGAGGATCAAAGAAGCCAAGTGACTCGTGCAAGATGACACAGTTAAGTGACAGAACCAGTAGTGAGTCCCAGGTCTCTCTGGATATAAAAAGTCCATGGTTATTCCACTGTATCAGTGTTTCCCAAAACTGACTTTAGGTGGAACATAAATAAGCTTTTAAGAAACTTTAATAGTTATATGTTTATTTTAATGCATGTTAGAAACAATTTTAAGCAAATTCACAAAACCTTTAATTTCATGGACAATATTGCAAAGGACGGGGATGTTTTGTTTCAAACTCCTGGCTTCAAGTGATCCCCCCATCTTAGCCTCTCAAGTACCTGGGATTACAATGTAAGCCATTGCACGCTGCTGGGACAAGGGTGTTTTGTAAAGTAAATTTATTTAGAAAAAATGTATGAAGTCAATAATAATAAAGATGGTACAAACTGTAGAAAACATTATAGAGATGGTCTATAAATATCTGAGGCTTGGGAGACATAATACTATAGCACCAGGCAGCTTCATCTTCAGTTATGTCTATAAAATTAAAGTCTCATAGTGCTGCATAAAGGAAAACTAAGAATCTTAGACATGGGTTTTAGCCCCATGTGTGCATTTCTAGGAACCCTCTCCCTGGACATCTCTGTGACCTCCTTGTTGGGAGTAAATCCAACTTTCCCAGCCATTAGAGAACACTAGGAAGACTCTGAATGCACAGAGGGGTTTCTGTGTCATAGAGGAAAAAGCTGGGTTGGGGGACCCTAGGGACTCTCTGCGTGGTGCATAAGAGATCCACACCCAGGACACAGCAGAGGTCAGCGCAGAGGAACGCAGCTCATCCTGTTATGGTACAGCGGTCCAAATAAGAGTTGCTTCTCAAAGCATGTTCTGGGGGAGCCAAAATGTAGACAGAAGTGAAGGAAAAGGCAAAGAAAAAGGAGGCAAGTGTGAGAAGGGAGGGGACAGAGAAGCATCCTGGGCTGAGACCACACCTCAGGCCCACCTGGGAAGTGCCCTGGGAGGAGTTTCAGCACAAACAGCACAGCTGACAGTCAGAGCAGCCATGCTTGGGAGCATTTCTGGAGCCCAAGCTCTTCTCCACAGTGGAGGACAGAGCAGGCAGCAGAGACCCTGGGACCCCCTCAGCCCCTCCCCGCAGAGGATTCATTCCCTGGCAGGGGCTCTTGGTAATAGGTGAGGGGAAGATTCTCTGGGAGTGGGTGGGAGGAGGGAGAATAGAGACTGGCAGTGGTCTCCTGGGGAGGGCAGGGCTCTGAGAGGGATCGAGGGTTTCTGCTGAAGTGGGAATAAGGGAGAGGACACCAGCCTCCATCATAGCTGAGACTACAGACACTTGCTACCATGCTCTGCTAATTTTTTAAAAAATTGTTTTAGAGATGGGGTCTTGCTATGTTGCCCAGGGTGGTCTCCAACTCCTATCCTCTAGCAATCCTCCCTCTATGGCCTCCCAAAGGACTGGCATTACATGCCTGAACTATTGCACCTGGTGCCTTTATTTTTTATAAAATATTACAGCCTGCCTGCTGGCCATTCCTCAGGCTAGCAAGTGCAGCTTCCTGCAGAGACCAATAGCAGGCACTTGAAGGAGGGAGGGTGGAACAGGGTTTGACGCTGAACAGGTTGGCCAAGTAGACATTCAATAGGGTTTAGGAGGAGCTATTAATATTCATGAAGGTTTGACTTACACAAGTTTGATAAGAAAACGTGCATGCTATATGCGTTCCATGTTCACTATGGAGTAATCAGGGTGCCCCATAGGGCAGTCTTCTCTCTGTTATCTGCACAGTAGAGCTTACAAAGCCCTCCATCAAGGCAACAGGACCCCCGTGGAGGACAAAGACTCTGTAGGTTAAACTGTGAACCTGAGACTCAGGACACAACATACCTGTGGTGAGTAAGGGGTCAGAGCTTCCTGGCCAGTCCCAGGCTGAAGATGTCCAAGGGCAACAGGACCTTCACTTTACTCAGTGTCACAGGTAGTGACACAGGACTCTATGAGAGTGGAACCCAGAACCCAGTGAATGCCGACTGCAGCGACCCAGTTAGCCTGAATGTCCCGTGTATCTTCTCTTCTTCTGGGGCTCAGGCTGCCAGCTCAAATCCACATAGCCAGAGCTCAAACCATTCACTTCCCCTTGGGTCCAAGAACACAGACCCCTGCCCTTGGATACCCAGGCTGGCTGTGACTTCCTGCCCCAGGCAAACCCGGAAGGGCACAGCCCTGACCAAAAATAGGTGGAGAGGGACTGCTCCTGTCATGGGAGGCTTGGGGTCCACAGCCTGTAATGGGAGAAACAGGTGAATGTCTCAGACTCAGGCTCAGTGAACACAGCGGAAATTTGGTTGGTACTTTCTCAAACAATGTTGTGACTTGGCTTAGAGGGACACTGTGGCCCTTCCACAGACCAGGAGTTTTCCTTCCCTCTGATAACATGTTCTCACCCTCAAACACAATTATGGTCCATCCTCTGAGGGAAACGATGTTGCCACCACTGTGGAGATGGTGCAACTGAGACAAACAGTGGTATCTGGTGTTGAATGGGACCTTAAGCCAACAATGACAACGTCAGTCCACAGTGTTTAGTATTTATGGACTCAATGCAAGTCACCTGATTTCATTGACTATTCACAACAGCTCAATAAAGTAAATGCATCATCACCACCACTTTAAAAAGGAAAAAGGTGCTTGGGCAATTTGTGACTACTGTGGTCGCTGCTGCATTGCTCTCTGGTAAAGCCAAGTAGGTAGTGGGTGCGGCCTCTGGGCTGGGATGATCCACCCTCCTGGTGGAAGCAGGGGAGCCAGGCTGGAGCCATGGCCTGTGCAGTGGTAGCAGCTGTACCGACTGCTGCTGCAGGATTTGCAAGCTGTTATGTTTGGCAAGCCACGAAGCACAGAAAGCCTCAAGTAAAACAAGTTTTTCAAAGTCTACCAAAATATTTTTCAGAGGTTATTACGACAGAGGTGGGGTTGAACCCAAAATGACAAAACAGGAAGCAGCACTAATACTAGATGTAAGCCCTAACGCCAATAAAGGAAACAGTAAGAGGTTCTTATCAACATGTTATGCTCTTAAATCACCCAGACAAAAGAGGGTCTCTTTATATAATAGCCAAGATCAATGAAGCTAAAAATTTACTGTAAGGACAAGCTAAGAAATGTAAATGTATAGTAAATTTCAAGTTTATATTAGTTTATGTGTACGAGTACCAACTTTTTATAATAAAATGCCTCCAAGCAGAGAAAAATTTGATTTTAGATTTAATAACCTATAACAGAGGACTCAGATGTCTGCTATTTCACAGTCAGCCTGAAAGGATCATTTTGCTGGAGGTAAGCTGCTGGTTCAGAAGGAGGAGTGAGCCACTGACCCTGTGGACAAAGAGAGGAGATGAATGACTGAGAGTTTCCTGGGGCCTGGGGCCATGTTCCTTCCCAGAGATCCCAGCCAGCTCTCAGGTTCCACCATGAGGTGTGCAAAGGAAACCATCCAGGGGATGGCCCTGACCCTCTGCAGAAGATCAAGAGTCTTTGCTCAGGTGACAATCTGTAAGGATAAGGTGGCACCTCTCTTTCACCCCAGACCACCCTATGGTGACCTTGGAGTTCTCCCAGACATCTCTGTGGGACCCACAATAGGAACTCCTTCTCAGCTCGCAGATTTTGCAACCTCATCATCAGGTTGAATTTTTCTCCTGTGGACTTTTGTGAGATTCTTTCTTAGCACTCTTTGTGGCTTTATAAAGATCAGTCCCTGTTCCTCATATAAACTTCTATGTATTGGGGGGAAGGCAGGTGTATTAGGCCACTTTTGTGTTGCTATAAAGAAATACCTGAGACCAGATAATTTGCAAAAAAAGAAGTTAATTGGCTCATGTTTCTGCATGATGCACAAGAAACAGGGTGACAGCATTTATTTGGCTTCCAGTGAAGCTTTTACTTGTGGCAGAAAGGGAAGAGGAATAGATATAACACATGGTGAGAGTGGTAGTAAGTGGCAGGGGGGAGGTGTCACTCCATGACAGTCTCACCCTGTCATTCAGGCTGGAATGCAGTGGCACAATCTCAGCTCACCGCAACTTCTGCTTCCTGAGTTCAAGCTATTCTTCTACCTCAGCCTCCCAAGTAGCTGGGATTACAGGTGTGCACCATCAAGTCTGGCGAATTTTTGTATTTTTAGTACAGATGGAGTTTCACCATGTTGGCCAGGCTGGTCTTGAGTTCCTGACCTCAGGTAATCCTCCTCCCTCAGTCTCCCAAAGTTCTGGGATCACAAGCATGAGCCACTGTGCCTGGCACCACACACTTCTAAATAACCAGACCTTGTACAAAATCACTCACTATCATGAGGACAGGACCTAGCCATTCATGAGGGACCTGCCCTCATGACCCAGCCAGGCCCCACCTTTAACATTGGGGATTACATTTCAACATGAGATTTGGAGGGGAGAAACATCCAAACTACATGAGCAGGCTTGCCAGTTGTGTTCATCTCTGAGGCCAGGGCAGCTTTTCATAGAATAGGAAGGGCATGTACTTTTCAAAAAATGTATTATGGAATGAAGATTGCCCAGCTCAGTCCTCATAACTTCTGGATTTGAAGTGACTCCAATCTAAGGATTTCTCAATCTGAAGGGCCCATCAGACTAACAGCGGATCTCTCTGCAGAAACTCTACAAGCCAGAAGAGAGTAGGAGCCAATATTCAACATTCTTAAAGAAAACAGTTTTCAACCCAGAATTTTATATCCAGCGAAATAAAGCTTCATAAGCAAAGGAGAAATAAAATCCTTTATAGACAAGCAAATGCTGAGGGATTTTGTCACCACCAGGCCTGCCTTACAAAAGCTCCTGAAGGAAACATTAAATATGGAAAGAAAAAACCAGTACCAGCCACTGCAAAAACATACCAAAATGTAAAGACCATCGACACTATGAAGAAACTGCAACAACTAATGTGCAAAATAACCAGGTAACATCATAATGATGGCATCAAATTCACACATAACAATATTAACCTTAAATATAAATGGGCTAAGTGCCCCAATTAAAAGACACAGACTGATAAATTGGATAAAGCGTCAAGACTCATTGGTGCGTGAGACCCATCTCATGTGCAAAGACACACTTAGGCTCAAAATAAAGGGATGGAGGAATATTTACCAAGCAAATGGAAAGCAAGCAAACAAACAAACAAAAAGCAGGAGTTGCAATCCTAGTCTCTGATAAAACAGACTTTAAGCCAACAAAGATAAAAAAAAAGACAAAGAAGGGCATTATATAATAGTAAAGGCATCAATGCAAAAGAAGAGCTAACTGTCCTAAATATATATGCACCCAATACAGGAACATCCAGATTCATAAAGCAAGTTCTTAAAGACCTACAAAGAAACTTAGAATCCCACGCAATAATAGTGGGAGACTTTAACACCCCACTGTCAATATTAGACAGATCAACAAGACAGAAAATTAACAAGGATATTCAGGACTTGAACTCAGCTCTGCACCAAGCAGACCTAATAGACATCTACAGAACTCTCCACCACAAATCAATAGACTATACATTCTTCTCAGCACCACATAGCACTTATTCTAGAATTGACCTCATAACTGGAAATAAAACACTCCTCAGCAAATGCAAGAGAATGGAAATCATAACGAACAGTCTCTCAGACCACAGTGCAATCAAATTAGAACTCAGGATTAAGAAACTCACTCAAAACTGCACAACTACATGGAAACTGAATAATCTGCTCCTGAATGACTACTGGGTAAATAACAAAATTAAGGCAGAAATAAATAAGTTCTTTGAAACCAATGAGAACAAAGACACAACCTATGAGAATCTCTGGGATACAGATAAAGCAGTGTTTAGAGGGGAATTTATAGCACTAAATGCCCACATGAGAAAGTGGGAAAGATCTAAAATCGACACCCTGAAATCACAATTAAAAGAACTAGAGAAGCAAGAGAAAACACATTCAAAAGCTAGAAGAAGACAAGAAATAACTAAGATCAGAGCAGAAATGAAGGAGATAGAGACACAAAAAGCCCTTCAAAAAATCAATGAATCCAGGAGCTGGTTTTTAAAAAAGATTAGCAAAATAGATAGACCACTATCCAGACTAATAAAGAAGAAAAGAGAGAAGAATCAAATAAACACAATAAAGAAGGATAAAGGGGATATCACCACTGATCCCACAGAAATACAAACTACCATCAGAGAATACTATAAACACCTCTATGCAAATAAAGTAGAAAATCTAGAAGAAATAGATACATTCCTGGACACATACACCCTCCCAAGACTAAACCAGGAAGAAGTCAAATCCTGGAATAGACCAATAACAAGTTCTGAAACTGATTCAGTAATTAATAGCCTACCAACCAACAAAAGCCCAGGACCAGACAGATTCACAGCTGAATTCTACCAGAGGTACAAAGAGGAACTGGTACCATTCCTTCTGAAACTCTTTCAATCAATAGAGAAAGAGGGAGTCCTCTCTAACTCATTTTATGTGGCCAGCATCATCCTGATACCAAAACCTGGCAGAGACACAACAAGAAAAGAAAATTTCGGGCCAATATCCCTGATGAACATCGATGCGAAAATCCTCAATAAAATAGTGGCAAACCACATCCAGCAGCACATCAAAAAGCTTATCCACCATGATCAAGTCAGCTTCATCCCTGGGATGCAAGGCTGGTTCAACATATGCAAATCAACAAACGTAATCCATCGCATAAAGAGAACCAATGACAAAAACCACATGATTATCTCAACAGACGCAGAAAAGGCCTTTGATAAAATTCAACACATCTTCATGCTAAAAACACTCAATAAACTAGGTATCGATGGGATGTATCTCAAAATAATAAGAGCTATTTTTATCAAACCCACAGCCAATATCATACTGAATGGGCATAATCTGGAAGAATTCCCTTTGAAAACTGGCATAAGACAAAGATGCCCTCTGTCACCACTCCTATTCAACATAGTATTGGAAGTTCTGGCCGAGGCAATCAGGCAAGAGAAAGAAATAAAGGTATTCAAATAAGAAGAGAGGAAGTCAAATTGTCTCTGTCTGCAGATGACATGATTGTATATTTATAAAACCCCATCATCTCAGCCCCAAAATTCCTTAAACTGATAAACAACTTCAGCAAAGTCTCAGGATACTAAATCAATATGCAAAAATCACAAGCATTCCTATACACCAATAATAGACAAACAGAGAGCCAAATCATGAGTGAACTCCCATTCACAATTGCTACAAAGAGAATAAAATACCTAGGAATACAACTTACAAGGGATGTGAAGGACCTCTTCGAGGAGAATTACAAACCACTGCTCAAGCAAATAAGAGAGGACACAAACAAATGGAAAAACATTCCGTGTTCATGGATAGGAAAAATCAATATTGTGAAAATGGCCATACTGCCCAAAGTAATGTATAGATTCAATGCTATTCTCGTCAAGCTACCATTGACTTTCTTCATGGAATTAGAAAAAACTACTCTAAAGTTCATACGGAACCAAAAAAGAGCCCATATTGCCAAGAGAATGCTAAGCAAAAAGATCAAAGCTGGAGGCATCATGCTACCTGACTTCAAACTATACTACAAGGCTACAGTAACCAAAAGAGCATGGTACTGGTACCAAAACAGATAGACCAATGGAACAGAACAGAGGTCTCTCAGTGAATATTGAGAACACATAGACACAGGGAGGGGAACATCACACACCGAGGCCTGTTGGGGGGCTCAGGGGTAAGGGGAGGAACAGCATTAGAGAAATACCTAATGTAGATGACAGGTTGACAGGTGCAGCAAATCACCATGGCACATGTACACCTATGTAACAAAACTGCACATTCTGCACATGTATTCCAGACCTTCAAGTATAATTTGAAAAAAAAAAAAAAAAAGAGCTAGGTCCACAGGTGAGGGTGTGTCCTCCTGAGTTATTGAGAAAATAAGAAAAATGGCTGCTATCAGGATAGGGAGAGGCTGCAGGTGCTGAGGGCACCCACTCTGCACAGGTCATGGGGTCGTTGTGGGGAGGAGGGGGTTCCAGGCAACTGGGTGCTAACTCAGGGATGGACAGATTCCGAGTGTGAGAGCTCGGCTCCTCCAGGACACATACTGGGGGGCCTCCATACTGCCCCTGGGGTCTGCCCCAGCCCTGCCCTTTGACCACTCTAAAGCAACCTCGACTTCCCAAGCCCAAGAACAAAAGGACAGAGGGTACACCCTTTACAACCCCACCTTTTTCTGCATTGCAGATGAGAAATGGAAAGTACTTCTGATTGGTTCCCTCCTGCAACAATCAGACTGGTCAAGGGTCTAGTCTTCATTTGCATAGGGATGTAACTTTGTAACTTCACTTCAGCCTCTGATTGGTTGCCTTCCACGACCAATCAGACTGATTGCAGGCCACTACTTTATTTACATAGGGAGTAAGCCAAGTAGCCAATGGGAAACCTCTAGAGCATATTTAAACTCCAGAAAATTCTATAACCAGCACTCTTGAGCTGCTTGCTTGAGGCCACTTCTACTCTGTGGAGTGTACTTTCATTTAAATGAATCTGTGTTTTTTGCTTCATTCTTTTATTGCCTTGTTTGTGCGTTTTGTCCAATACACCAAGAACCTGGACACCTTCCACTGGTAACAATATTATCCTCTCTGCAATTGTATTCATGGAAAACAATTAAAATTCACCCCATGGGTCCAGTTTGTGGTCTGTGATATGATTTATTTTCTAATTCTTATTTTTATTAGACGAGCCAGTGCTCCTGGAGGCACAGGTGAATCCATATCTTGGAGTAGGAGAAATCTGTACTAGCTCAAAATATCCATAAATGTCAATATAAAGGAAGCTTTGAAAACATTTCAGGGAGTGCTGAAAACAGGGAGAGATCTCGAAGAATCCTCACTGTGCAAGAGTCATAATTTGGGAACCAGAAGGTAATTGTGAAGTATACATAAATGTTTGTGATGAGATGTAGGAGATAACATTAAAGGAAAAAGATACTATATCATGGGGCTGGGCACGGTGGCTCACGCCTGTAATCTGAGCACTTTGGGAGTCTGAGGCGGGTGGATCATGAGGTTGGCAGTTCGAGACCAGCCTGGCCAACATGGTGAAACCCCCATCTTTACTAAAAATACAAAAATTAGCTGGGCGTGGAGGCACGTACCTGTAATCCCAGCTACTCAGGAGGCTGAGGCAGGAGAATCACTTGAACCCGAGAAGCGGAGGTTGCAGTGAGCCGAGATGGCATCATTGCACTCCAGCCTGAGTGACAGGGCAAGACTCTGTCAAAAAAAGAAAAAAAAATATATATATATACCATATCATTAAGTCAAAGAAGTGAATCAGTCAAAAACAATGGATGGAAACACACCAGAAAAGTGGACAATAGAAAAAAATACCCCAAATACAGAAGTATTAAGTTAAAAAACAAAAGTTATAGAATAAATACATATGAACTC
Organism: Homo sapiens; assembly: GCF_000001405.40. NCBI lineage: Eukaryota > Metazoa > Chordata > Mammalia > Primates > Hominidae > Homo > Homo sapiens. The sequence continues at coordinate 41,632,218 of NC_000019.10, read as the reverse complement.
AACTCTAAAGTTTAAAAAGATTAGGCCGGACACGATGACTCACGCCTGTAATCCCAGCACTTTGGGAGGCCAAGGCTGGAGGATCACTTGAGCTGAGGAGTTCAAGAACAGCCTGGGCAACATGGTGAAACCCTGTCTTTACAAAAAAGTACAAAAATTAGCCAGGCATGGTGGTACATGCCTGTAGTCCCAGCTACTTGGGGGGCGGGGGCTGAGGCAGGAGGATCACTTGAGCCTGGGAGATTGAGGCTGCAGTGAGCCAAGATCATGCCACTGCACTCCAGCCTGGGAACAAGATGAGACCCTGTCTCAAAAAAAAAAAAAAAATTAAGATCACATTCAATGTGAAAACCACACATAGGCTATATGTTGTTTATGCCATATAATTTAAAAACACTACGGAGGAGTTTCCGCATCAGTGGCTAAAACAATTCCCTGTTGGTTACATATCTGCCTCATATTCCATTGTGTAAATGTATATAACCTGTTTAACTATGCTAATGTAAATGTAGGTTGTTTTCAGTATTTTGCTGTTAAGCCATCACTGCCATGAGAAACCGTGATTAGGTGTCATTTTTCATGAGTGTGTGATAAATTCCTTGCAGTGCAGTTTGGGAGGCAAAGAGAATGCATATGTTAAATTTTGATAAGTGTTGACAAATTTGATGCCACACAGTTGGTACAAATTTTCATGTCACCCAACAAAGTTAGGAAGTACAATTTTTACCAAAGTTCTTCCCACACGTTGTGTTATCAAATGGAATTTTTCAGCATTTAAAACCACTGGGCCATATTATGATCCTCACCTTTCCAGGATAATATCAATGTCCGTTTCTCCTGCATGTGTGCGGGTATTTTGTTCATATGTCTACGAATCATTCAAATTGTTTTTTCTTCTGTAAACTGTTTATATATTTGCCTACTTTTCTACTAGACTTCAGTCTTTTTAATTTTATTTATTCTTTAAGTATTAACAGATGTGAAAGTTGTCAGAGTCAAAATGAGTCACTAGTGTGAAAAAAAACTCTGACAAATAGAGCCAGAGAAGACCATGAAGAGAGGATCCTCATGCCTGATAACAAAACTATCACAAAAGACTCTGCAAAAGCCACAAGTTTATACAAAGGCCATCACAACCTTATATGAAAACTACTTCTGCAAGGACATCTGCCCAGCAACTGCCTATAGAACCTCACAGTGGCATCATTCTGGCTATTGATCTTTGTAGCTAGTTTTTTTTTTTTTTTTTCAAAATGACTAGATAATAATCCCAATTTTTTCCTTTAAAAACTCGAATATGTAGATCATTTTACTATGGCACATGCATTTCCATTGAAATGTGCTACTCCCAAATAAACATCAGTTTCTCATAGAAAGCCTCACTCTGTTTGTTACCATATATGGTGTCAGAAGTGGGATCTGGGAAAGATCACTATCAGAAGAAATCTGTGATCTTTGAACCAGTGTGCACTACTCACTTGAGAAGTTTGAGCTCTCTGCTTCCACACTCACCTTTCCTGCCCTGACAAGTCTTTGCTCAAGCAGAGCCTCTTTTTGGTAGAAGCTCTTGACTTTATTTGGAATCTGATTTGGATAAGGCTGCCTTAGTAAAAGACCATACATTTCTCCTGGGATGATAAAAAAAAAAAAAACTTTTTGTCTTTTCTAGCAAGTCCTTTCTGAGAGAAAGGCGTATATCTTTCTAGATCACGTACTCTGGATTCTACAAAATTTACATTCTGCCTGTGAGGCAAGTCTATTCTGGTGAATTTACTTCCATTTTGGCCTGTGTGCCTAATTTAAATACTTTAAAAATCTGCATGCCTGGGTTAAAATTCTTGTGAATGCTCTTATCTGGATTTCTTTTTATTTGGTTTGACTCTTTTCCCCTTGCTTGCTTCTGAAAATCATCCCAGAACACAAAAAAATAGACATTCTAAATGACGGGCACAAAATGGCTAATTAACAGCCACTAGCGTGGTTGCCACCATCTAAAACACTGGTACAAATGCCTGACATTCTCTGGCAGGATTTGTAAAATTTTCTTCACTTTCAAGAGATTAATAAGAAATGGAATGGGGCTCTCAAGCATTAAGGCATGCCAGGTTTTCTGGGGCTCCAGCTGGCTACATTTTATGGTTCTTTCTTGTGCACATTTTAAAGTTTATGAGCAAAATTACATCAAGGAAAATTCAGTACTCAATGATCATCATTCAACCTGTTTTAAAAAGCCCTGCATCTATAGGGTGGAAATGTAGAGTCTTCTAAATTCTCTATTTTTTTTTCTCTACCTACTTTGAATCTGCTGACTTTTCTACTGGTGTTGAGATAAAACTCACTGCTTATGGCATTCTAGCCCAGAGTTTTAAAAAAGAAATCTTGAAGGGCTTTAAAATTAATGGCTTTACAAATTAAACAACTCCATGATAAGAAACAACTTAGACACCTTTAGGAAATGTAAATTTAAGTTTGTCTAACTAATAATTGCTTATAATGGAGCACAATTAAAAATCAATAATTAAAAAAATACATGGTTATAAAAGTTAGGCTCTCAGATCATACAGGTCAAAATCTTGAACTCAGAGCAATAATTTAAGGTGTCTCTGTCCGACATAAACTTTTTTCTTCTTTTGCCATGCAGAGGCAAAAAAGAAAAAGCCAGGAAAAAAAGCTAAAATCCTTCCTCATCCACATTTGTTAATCAAGCAAACCACATCACCACCACCCGCCCCCCTCCAACCCACACAAAAAATCTAGTTTAAGGCTAGTTGGAGATTTTTTTTTCTTATACAATTCAGCCAGTTCTAGCTAAAGTGTAAGCAATTGAAAATTTAATCCTAAACTCATGTGAAACAGAAAAAAAAAAGATGCTGAAACTGTAGAGGTTTCATTTGTTTATTTGTTTATAAGTTACACTGCCATTAGAAACTGCTTTACCCAAAATATTTCCCCCAGCCTTCATTATATTACCTATAGGGGCAAATAAAGTTTATCCATGTTAACGATTCCAATTTGTCAGAAATACAATTGGATCCAGTTGACTTTAATCAACTAGTGAGTTTGTATTACTATCTCATCACTAAAATTCTAAAATGAAAGCTGTAAGATTTTTATTTGTTTGTGGATATGTGTTTAGGTGTGTTTTTGCATATGTACATGTATTATGGTCTATATTGTGTCTACATGACAAAATCCACCTTAGTTGGCCAGAAACGCCTTAATAAACTCTATTTGCATTTCCTTAGAGAAATGAGCATAAGAACATGGCTTTTACCCTAGTAGCATCGGGAGGGAATTCAGGGTCTTTCTAACAGTGAGGGGCAAACCCAATTCATTCCCTGACATCATTCACTGACATTCCCTCCAGGCTCTAACATATGTCTTTCTCACAAACACACCAAAACTGACACAAACTCCGGATATTCGATCCCAGGTGGATCTTCCACCAGGGCAGAATGACCACAAGAAAGTCAGGGAGTGATTCCCCAGCCTCGAGATCCCCAGTATTTGGGACATCTGCCTATGGTCCCTGCAGACATTTCACCAGGGGATCCAGGGGAACTTCTCCTGCAGGAGGGGACAGGATAACCCAGGATCTGCCTTTGTTTCCATCTCAGAGGGACTGAGGGTCACGGGGCCTCCCCTGCTCTAATACAGGAACCAGGTATCCCTTGCAGCCTGCAGGTAGGAGCTGCCCCAGCTCCTGGGCCCTGTGGAGAGGCCTGGGGCAGGTGACAGACAGGGACACAGATGACCTGGAGGCGGAACTCCCAGTGTTGTGATGGAGGAACACAGAACACACCGAGGACCACCTCCCAGGCCAGTGCCCTCTCTCTAAACCCCCAGAGACACCTCCCTGGGCCCTTCTTTTGAAACCTTGGGGACGGATGGCTCTTTCTGAGGCAGCCCATCCGCCTGCAGGACAGTTCTCCCAAATCAGGACCAGGAGTGCTCTGGACAACTCTCGTCCTCTCCCTGAGCTCATCCTGCACTGCATGGAGTTGGACATCCTGGGGACCCACAGTGAACAGGACCAAGGATGACCTGACCCTGCAGTCTGGAGGTCAGAGCCCACCTCTGCCCAGGGGCCAGGGCCAACTCATACCACGTGGACCCTGGTCAGCATCCCTGGGGAAGCCCCTGACTTTTACCACAGGGTTCCTCTTGCTCTCCAGGGGCAACATTGCACGCAGACAACACAGGAAATGGATTCCCCTGGACAGGAATCTGGCTTTGCTAAGGAGGTGGAGGTGAAGCCTGGTTTCCATACTTTGCTCCAGCAGGCCCTTCCAGTCCCTCCCATGTGCCTGCTCTGTCTCTCCTGATCCTTCCTGGAGCCTCTGAGGATCCTGCTCTGCCAGGATTCTCTGCTCAGTTCTCCACTTTCTCCTGGTATCATGCATGGGGAAGGTACAGTGACAACAGGACAATCACCTTCACAGAGGACAGAGGCCACCCGGGATGGTAAGGGAGAACATGCACAGGCCCTAAGCCACAGCTCAGCCAACAGAAACGGAGAGGGAGGATCTCCCTGAATCCCTCCTCAAGGACAGCAGAACCCAGAGCCACCCACCTCCCTCCACCACAGTCCTCTCTTCCCAGGACATGCAGGACACCTCCCTCCACATCCAGGAGCTGGGGATCCTCCTGAGACCCCCAGGCCTGGATCTCTGTCCCTGGGTCAGAGGCAAGGCTGGTGACACTGGAGAGAGAGGACTGGTCCCCCCCGTAGTCGCCCCCCATTTTCTATCCCACAGAGCCACCTCTGTCACCTTCCTGCTGGGTATCATCTCACACTCCCTGAGTATTGGGGAGCATGAGGAGACCTGGGGGCCCAGCTGGGTCTCTGTGTCACAAAAGGAAACAGTTCCCCAAGTTTGGGAGACCCCAGAGTACCTCTGTTTGTGGTGACATTCCCAAAGGGTCAGTGCAGGGGTGACAAGTCACCCTCTCTGGGGACAGGGGACTCCACCAACCCTGCTTCTCAAAGTGTGGTTAGGAAACTGTAATGTACACAGAAGAGAAAGGGGAAGGAGGGACAAAAAAGGCAGAAATGAGAGGGGAGGGGCAGAGGGGTGACCTGGGAAGAGCCCCGCCTCTGCCCCTGGCCCTGGGAAGTGCTTCTGCCCGGGAGGAGGCTCAGCACAGAAGGAGGAAGGTCAGCAGCCCCGACAGCCGACAGTCACAGCAGCTCTGACAAGAGCGTTCCTGGAGCCCAGCTCCTCTCCACAGAGGACAAGCAGGCAGCAGAGACCATGGGCCCCCCCTCAGCCGCTCCCCGTGGAGGGCACAGGCCCTGGCAGGGGCTCCTGATCACAGGTGAGGGGAGGACTCTCTGGGAGTGGTGGGAAGAGGGAGCACAGAGACTGACTGGGGTCTCTTGGGTAGGAGGGGATAGAGGGCTTCTGGCTGGGGTCTCCTGGGGCTCTGAGAGGGGACTGAGGGCCTCTGTTGGAGGCTGGATAAGGGAGAGAACATCAGAGAGGGGCAGGGGTCACAACAGGAAAATCTCAGTGAACTGGAATTGGTAAAAGGCAGGAAAATCTCAAGTGTTCTCTCGTCCTGGTTAATCATCACTGGCCACTACATTTTGAAAAATGATAATAACTATACCAGATGACACTTCAAATAAAAACATAACCAGGGCATAAAACACTGCTCTTAGCCAACAACCTCAGACACTGGGAAATAAACCTCAGGACTTGGAGGCCCTGAGAATGCTCATGAACTCATCTACAGGAGTCTGCAGCCTGTGCCAGGCACTGGGGTGCAACCAAGATCACACAAGTCCCCGCCCTCACAGAGCTCACGCTCTCATGGGGAGGAAGACAAACACCTAAAGAGATCTAGAATGTGAGGTCAGGTGCTGACAAGAGCCCTGGAGGGAACAGAGCTGGGAAAGGTCAGAAAGGGAAGACCCAGGGTCTCTAGAGGAGGTGTCAGGGGAGGGGTCTCCCAAAAACACCCTGATGTGAGCAGGATCTGAGGGCAGTGGGGAGGGAGCCGTGCAGACCCCTGGGGAAGAAGATTCCACCAGGGAAATGCCAAGGTCCAAGCTGTTGAAGGAATGGGGGTCATGCTGCTGACCCAGGGACACACACACACACACACACACACACACACACACACACACACACACACACACACACACACACTCCAAGGCTGAGGGATGAGGAGACCTGCTGAGGACCCAGGGCCTTATCTTTCCATCCCACTCCATAGGTCCCAGTATTGACTGATGCTGTCTTCACCTCCTAGCCTCACTTTTAACCTTCTGGCACCCGCCCACCACTGTCCAGTTCACTATTGAAGCCCTGCCGTCCAGTGCTGCAGAGGGAAAGGATGTTCTTCTACTGGCCTGCAATATTTCAGAAACTATTCAAGCCTATTATTGGCACAAGGGGAAAACGGCAGAAGGGAGCCCTCTCATTGCTGGTTATATAACAGACATTCAAGCAAATATCCCAGGGGCCGCATACAGTGGTCGAGAGACAGTATACCCCAATGGATCCCTGCTGTTCCAAAACATCACCCTGGAGGACGCAGGATCCTACACCCTACGAACCATAAATGCCAGTTACGACTCTGACCAAGCAACTGGCCAGCTCCACGTACACCGTGAGTGATTCCCCCATACCTCTGGGTGCTGGCGGTCAGTTCTGCTTCACACACATGAGATTGTCAGGCCTGGGCTGTGCCTGCATCCCCCTCTGCATTTTGTCCCGTGTTGAGATTTGGGCATTTAGTGCAGGACACACACATGGTAGGTAAACTTCAACAGATCAGAATTCCTTTCCTGCATCCAGGCCCTGCAGACACTGATGGCGGGGGCGGGGGGGCCTCAGCAGGGGGAGGTCAGTCTCAGCCAAGCACCCCATGCCCTCCCCATGAACCTGACCCTGAGAAAGACCCTGGAGAACTGGGTCAGGGCCTGGCCTGAGGGCGTCCTGGGAACCTCACAAAAGCCCAGCCTCAGGACTCCTGACTCCGTGTGACCCCGGGAAGCCTGTGTCAGGGCTGGGGTGTGGTCTCCTGGGCAGGGCTTACTGGGAGCAAGGATTTACCAGATGTCTGCGGGCTGTGGTTCCTGAAGCTTCTCATCAGTGAGGGCTCAGCTCCCAGAGTCTCATCTAGACAAGGACAGAGCCTACCACTTTCCCTGGGACTCAGCCTGGAGAGGGCAGGGGGACAGGATTACTAGGGCATTGGCCCCCTGAATGAGGAGCTTAAGAGATGCCCTTGGGCAGTCAGTGGCCCAGGGGTAGGAACAGAGGGGAGAAAATGTTCCTGGCAGCTTCTTGTCCACCGGGGATCATGCCCAGGGGTGCTCTCCCATGGAGGCAAATAACAGATGCTGTTGATGTGAACACCTCCTCTGTGCCAAGCTTCATGTCAGATCCTGTGAATAATTTAAAGTTCATTCACAGACAAAGTGGCAAGCCTCAGACCATTTTCCATTTACATATTGTATGGAGGGGAAACTGAGGCACAGAGAGATACAGACACCGGCCACGGTGGGCAGATCGCAGCTGGCAGAGTCACATGAGGGCTGTCTGCAGCTGCTGCCACGTCCTCTCCTTCATCCCTGGTGCCTTACTAGGTGTCTGTGGACCTCAGAACAGCCACTGGTTCGGATGTTTTCTTCTTAGGTGTCTACAGCTCGGAGGGGGAGATTCTGGTCTGGAGAGTTATGAGTAAATACAGAATTAATCAGTTTTTTCTTAACTAAATCACCTGCCTCAACAATCAGTCAGTGCTGGGGAAGTTCAGGCCTCCTCGCTCAGGTCCACACCCCGCATCTCTGGACATGAAATGGTTTCGTGTGTTTTCTGATGTGTGGGTATCATTCCAACAGGAGGATAAAGGGGAGGACTTTGCTTTCTCTCCCCATTCACACCCTGCACCAGCCAGGGCCCAGTGTGAGACACATACTCCGTAGTTCTCTCATGAAGGAGGGAGGGAATGAATGAAGGAATGATCTATAACCTCTTCAGAGACAGAGACCTGGATACAAGATCCTAGGAGGTTCTGGGCCCAACGTGAGACACACACTCTGTAGTTCTCTTATGAAGGAGGGAGGGATTGAATGTAGGAATGATCTATAACCTCTTCAGAGACAGAGATGTGGATACAAGATCCTAGGAGGTTCTGGCCACACCTGTTTTCTGTCCCTCTAGAGCCTAAGACCCATGTCTCATTCATCTGGCCCGTTTCTCCTAAATCTGCCCCTGGGAGCTGAGTCTCATCTGACCCTGGGGCTGCAGGGCTGTGGGAAGGTTTTCAGGGGAGGGATCAGGCTTGCGGGTAGTCCCACACGTTTGCCTTACACCCTGGAGCTCTACCTGGTTCTCACTATGAATATCCCATAATAATCCCCCCTATCCTTTCTGGGGAGTAGAAAAAAAGTAAATATTTAAAAATATGCCAGAGCATCTGTTCTTCTTAGCAAGTTCAGATAGTTATTAGTTAGCAGGAATAAATCGTTATTTTACCAGAGCCTCACCTGCTGGGGGTTTATGGGAGCCTAACTGACTGAGGGGGGTGGGAAATATCCAACTCCAGCCCCCTCTAGCCATCATGTCCCACCTAAAGGAGAGAAAAAACTGAGAGGCACTTGTGACATTCACAGCCCAGGGCACAGACTCTATCCAGGACCACAGAACCCCTCCCTCCCCCCACTCACCACCGCATCACTGAACGCCTGCTCACCCAAGTTCCTGTTGCCCAGTACATCATGTCCTGGCTTTCAACAAAAACTACAAGACAGACTAGAGGCAAAAAAAAAAAAAAAAAAAAAAATGCAGTTCGAAAGACAGAACAAGCATCAGAACCAGATGCAGATGTGGCAGGGATGTGGCAGGGATGTTGAAATTATCAGACCAGGAATTTAAAACAACTCTGGGGCCAGGAGCGGTGGCTCATGCCTGTAATCCCAGCATTTGGGAGGCCGAGGCAGGCAGATCACCTGAGGTCAGGAGTTCGATACCAGCCTGGCCAACATGGCAAAACCCCGTCTCTACTAAAAATACAAAAAATTAGGCAGGCATGGTGGTGGGTGCCTGTAATCCTAGATACTCGGAAGGCTGAGGCAGGAGAATTGCTTGAACCTGTGAAGCGGAGGTTGCGGTGAGCCTAGATTGTGCCACTGCACTCCAGCCTGGGCAACAGAGCGAGATTCCATCTCTAAAACAAACAAACAAAAAACAATACTGGCTAATATGCTAAAGGCTGCAATGGAAAGCATAGACAATGTGCAGAACAGACGGATGCTGTGAGCAGAGAGATGGACAGGCTAAGAAAGAATAACAACAGCTACTATATCTATCTATCTATCTATCTATCTATCTATCTATCTATCTATCTATATATATGTATATATATGCTAGAGATCAAACTCACTGTAACACCTGGATCTCAGAGTGGTTGTGAGGATGTTTATTAGGAGATTAAAGAGATTAAAGCAGAGTTATACACAGGGCGAGAGCTCAACTGATGCTATCAACTAGTATTCTTATTTTTTTGATGTTGTTATTGGCAATAAAATCAGGAACAATGCAGTAAAAATTTGGTTTTATCATGTACGAGTTCTGTGACCTTCCTTGACTTACTGAGGTACTGTAAGTCTCAGATTCTAACTCTGCAGATGGCGGTGATGCCCCTCTCCCTCAAGGTGATGTGAGGATGAGATGAGCTGTAGGTAGGTTGGTGCCCACTGTGCCTGGCACATGGAAGACCCCTGAAAATAGTCAATGAACATCATCCCCGCTCATCAGCATGGAGTTGACAGTGAGGGCTCGCTCTCTGTGACAATCATGGAATGGAAAAGAAGAAACAAGAGGAAGACTGGGCGCAGTGGCTCATGCCTGTAATCCCAGCACTTTGGGAGGCCGAGGCGGGCAGATCATCTGAGGTCAGGAGTTCAAGACCAGCCTGGACAACATGGCGAAATTTCATCTCTACTAAAAATATAAAAATTAGCCTGGCATGGTGGCACAAACCTGTAATCCCAGCTACTTGGGAGGCTGAGGCAAGAGAATCGCTTGAACTTGGGAGATGGAGGTTGCAGTGAGCCGAGATTGCGTCAGTGCACTCCAGTCTGGGTGACAGAGCAAGACTCCATCCAAAAAAAAAAGAAAAAGAAAAAAGCAACAGAGGGAAGAGGTGTGACATGAGAGGAAGAAGGGATTTAAAGGTACAGGAGCAGGGCGAGGTGCAAGCACCTGTGGGAGAATGTAGGAGTTGGTACATCCCAGTGTGTCAAGTCTGAGACACAGAAAATGGTGCAACCGTGGAGAGCAAGGGAGTCAGCTATGAGGACAGCCCAACAGACCACACTCAGGCTCTGGAGCATTTCCTTCCTCCCTGACTATGCCCCTGCCCTGCAATGCCTCTTATGGTTTCCCTTGGAACAAACTTGGGCCTTGTCCCCTTTGCCTTCCCCTTTCTGCAGAAAACAACGTCCCAGGCCTTCCTGTGGGGGCCGTCGCTGGCATCGTGACTGGGGTCCTGGTTGGGGTGGCTCTGGTGGCCGCCCTGGTGTGTTTTCTGCTTCTCTCCAGGACTGGAAGGTACCGCAGCTTTTCCCCAGCCTCCTCCCACCCCTAGGCTGACCCCAGTCAGGGAGGAGGGAGACCCCGCCCTGTATTCAGGGCCAGGCTTTCCGCATCCTCCCAAGGAATCCTTCTCTCTCATTCCATGGCTCCTCCCTTGCCAGCTGCTGATCCTAGGCTGCCTCTTCCTTTATGAATGTGGCACAGTTAAGGTTGCACCCCTGAGTGCTGTCCTAGTTCCCTAACACAGCAAAGCCACAGCTGCCTGGAGGGAGGAAGGGAGGGAGGGAGGGAGGGAGATAAGACGGGAGTGCTCAGAACCTGGTACCTTCTGCTGTTCATTGAATTTACCCACCCAGTGAGGAGGGATTTGCAGGCTTGAGATCCATGGTGGGGGTCCTGGGCATGGTCACGCAGTGGGGAGTGGCAAAGCCTGGACAGGCTGGGTAGGGTCAGCACCCCATCGTGATTGATGTCCCTGAGGTGTGAGATGGGAGAACCTGGACCTCAGGACCTGCTGTCCTTTATGTCTCTTGCCAAGGGGTGGAGAGAGAGAGGACAAGGCCATTGCCCCATTTCAGCATCTCCAGGCCTGAAAGGAGGGTCTGGCCATGGCAGGGATACTGAGTTCTGGGAGAATATGATACATGCTCCTTGCCTCCCCATGCCCCCAGCTCCCCCAGTGTCCTGCACACACAGCCGGCCCTGCTTTCCCTCTGGGGCCTTGACCCTTCCTCTCAGGCAAACGCAGGTGGTCTGATTCCCTCCCTGAGTCCTCAGTCCCTTTCCTGGGTCCCTGGGTCAATGTTCTCCTCACCCGGCATCTGCCTGGGGGGGTCCTTCCTCTCTGGCCAGGACAGACGTGACTGCTTAAGGCCTATCCTCAGCTCCCCGTCCTCGGCCGCTCCTACCACGAAACTGATGGAGACAGGAGGCCTTCACTCCAGTCCTTGAAAATGGAGTCCCTTCCTTGTCCTTTATTCTGCCCCTAAACCTGTGATTTCTCCCTGCACCCTCATGAATAATCCTGACCTTTCCTAGGGCCAGCATCCAGCGTGACCTCAGGGAGCAGCCGCCCCCAGCCTCCACCCCTGGTGAGTGTCCCTTCAGCCCAGGTGTGGGAGCCCCTAGGCCTGCCCTACGGTGTCCACTCCTGCCAGTCACCCCCTGGGGGCCTCTGACCCTTTCTTTGGGGCTGCAAGGAGGATGTCAGGAAACATGACACAGGGGACCCCGACTGTCTTGTTCAGACTGATCTGTGGGCTCTGGGTCGTGGGTCACCTCCTCGACCTCAGCTGCTCAGGTCTCCCCTGGGAAGAGGCTCCCTCTCCCTGATTCTCTGGGAGCTGAGGACCCCTACACTCTCCTGCAGGAGGGGCCCAGGCTCTCCTCCCACCCTGCTGCTCACTCCTGTCTCTGTCCCCAGGCCATGGTCCCTCTCACAGATCCACCTTCTCGGTAAGCCTGTTCCCTCCCCAGCCCTTTTCTACTGGGGTCCCAACAGTGCAGGCTCAGGGCAGGGGGACCATCAACCCCACAGCACAGCACTGACCCACCTTTCCCCAGAACAGTCAGGTCAAAGTGAGTGCCTCCGGCCAGGATCCGGGCCTCTCTACAGGGCCAGGACCACCCACGCCATGTGCTGACCCCTCCCCGGGACCCTCTACACCTGAGGAGAACCCTGGAGTCCAGCAGGTGCAGAGTGGACACTGGGACCATCAGTCAGAGGCCCACATTAACAAGGGTGCGGGGTGGGCCCAGCCAGGACAGGGGTCAGGGTGTTGTGTCCACACTGGGAGGCTGAGCTCAGGGGCAGAGCTGGTCAATCCTGAGGGGAAATGAGTGGAAGTGGAGGCAGGGAAGTAAGTCCTGGCCGATCAGAGACAGGAACCTTCCAGGCTGGGCTTCCGTGACCCTCCCTCCCTGTCCCCTGACATCTCCTCTCTCCCCTGCCCAGGCCCCTCTACCCAGCCCCAGAACAGCCACTCCCATCTATGAGGTGAGTGTGGGCCATGGATGTTCTGGTCCCGCAGGCTCCAGGGGACCCAGGATCTGCCCCCACCAGCACCTGGCTGAGCTCAGATTCAGGAAAATGCAGTGAAAATGAGAACAGGTGGTGGTGAGCAGAGGAGGGAGGGGCCTGGGAACAGGGACCCCCTGAGCACAGCCAGGTTCAGCCCCAGAGAAGCCCTGGGTGGGCCCAGAGCCTGGGAGATGCCAGACACTGTTCTGAGAAGGCTACAGGGGTTGAGGCCTCTTCTCTGTTTTTACAGGAATTGCTATACTCTGATGCAAACATTTACTGCCAGATCGACCACAAAGCAGATGTGGTCTCTTAGGTTCCTCTGGGAGCTGCTCTTGTGGGTTGATGGAGCGTCCCCGAAGCTCCCAGCCCTGGGGACGGGGAAGGACATGGAGCCTGAGCCAGAGAACCAGCTCTGAGTCCTGAGGAGACACAGGCCTGGGGACAGGGAGGGATGGGAGTCCCTGCTGAATATCTGGAGACCCTGACAGGTTGCCCTGGGCTCTGGGTGGGCCGGGACAAAGGCCTCTCATCACCACAGGAAGCGGGGGCTTGCAAGGAAAGTGAATGGGCCTGTGGCCCACCCGGGGTCACCAGGAAAGGATCTGAATAAAGAGGACCCTTCCTCTCATTGGCTCTTTTTCTGCTCACGGGAACTTAGCAGAAACTCACCTGAAACTCCGTGTCCATTCTCTCCCGGGTCACACAGGGAAAATATCTCCACCTTGTCTCAACCACAGTCTCTCTTCCCTGGGAGGCAGAAATAGGGGTTGGGAGTCAGGCTGGGGTGGGCCCTACACAGGAAAGGGCAAGATTCACATGAGCCCTGCCCAGCCAGCCGAGCGCTCAGCTGTCCTCACACTACCCCAGGGACCAAGGCCATGCACAGCCCCAGCCTGGGTCCCTCTGTGAATGCATGTGGGGTCTCAGGAGCACAGAAGATGGGGCCATCTGATGTCCACAAAAGGTGAGCAATGCGGGAGCAACCATGGGTGGTATAGGTTGCGGCTGTGGCCCCTACGCAGCCTCCAGTGTCCTGACCCCTGCTGCCCTCTTCACCCAGGCCCTGGAGGCCCAGTCTATCACTGTCCTCCACAAATGAACTTACCTGTCCCCAAATCCAGGATCCTGTGTGCTTATACCTGGCCACTAGGTTCTCCTCTGTCCCAGTGGCTACTGCTCAGGACATCTTTATCCCTGGTGGGGCACAGAGAGGGGCTGTCAGAGCAACCAAGATTAATACAGACGCATAATTCAGTCCTTGAGCACTACCCAGGACTCTGGCCCCTCATTGCTCATCAGTTCCCACTTTACCCCCTGGCATGGATCTCACTGAGCAAGCCAACTCTTTACACAGGAGCATCCAGGTCAGAGGTGCAGGACTCCCCCATCTAAAGCTCATGCAGGCTCCCATGGCGATGGGACAACCTGTCTGCTCCTCTCCCTGGCCCACAGCCCTATCTCGCCTGCAGCTCCTCCACACACCTGGGACAGCAGTTCTCAGCCCTTCCCTGAGGGCCCCTGGAAGGGTGATGATCTCATATAGGTTCACTTGAACCAGGTGCCACCTTCCCACAAGTGAGCTGGTGCCTGCACTAAAGCACAGAGCCACAGTTCCCAAGAGTGTTCTGCCACTGCCACAGGTTGTTCGTCCTGAGATGAGAGGTAAGAAAACAACCCGCAATGGGTTGTTTTATATCGGGATTTGCATCAGGATTTAGCTCTAAATGACCCCTGATCCCACCTGCACACAGCGTCAGATGAGACAAGGTGAGGCCTCTTTAGTTTTCTGTTGAGGCTGTGACAAATTACCACAAGCTTAGTGACATAGAAACCTGAACCAAAGTGCCCACATGGCTGTGTTCTTTCTAGAGGCTCCAGGGAAGAGTGCATTTCCTCTCCTTTTCCACCTCCTAGAGGCCTCCTGCAACCTTGGCTGTGTCCTCTTTCTCCATCTTCAAAGCCAGCAGCACAGCATCTTGAAACTATTCTGTGCCCTGCTTCCATCCCCACATCTCCACCTCCTCCCACCTCCCTCTCTCACTTAAAAGGAAGGAGCCTTGTGGTTATTTTGGACGCACCTGGGATAAACCACAACAACCTCCCCATCTCATGATCCTTCCTTTAATCTGTAAAGTGTCCTTTACCACGTGACATGTCCACAGATCTGGGGATGAGGATGTACACATCTTTGAGAGGCCCTTGTTCTGTCCATCACTCCTCTCAAGGCCATCTTCTCATCATCGTTCACTACAAACTACACATGGGCACCTGGATGGGTTCATCATGACTGTGGCGTCAGTTCCTGCATTAACATCCCCAGCACCCTCCAGATCCTGAGAGAGGGAGACGGAGGGCTCTCCATGCCCCTAGTACCTCTCCACCTTCTTCTTGGTGACATGCTTAGTTGCTAAGAATAACAGAAAGCAGAGGTGACTGAAAGATCACAACTCACCGGCCCTTCAATAGTTCATGGACATCAGCACCACGGACAGTGACTCAGTGAGGCTAATTTCCAGGTGGCAGCAGGGAGCATGCAGATAGGAGGGAACTGCAGGAAAAGCTGCCCATTCTATTCTATATGAGAAAGAGTGTAAGAAAGAGGAAGCTATTACAGGGATAATGCTATTCTTCTCTAATCCATAAATTGCGAAACCTTTGCATGTCTGGATATCATGGTTTTTAGCACATCTGCTGCCACTCCCTGCAGGGCTGCTTGCTGCATCCAGGATGTGGTCTCTTGGGGGGCTCACAGCCTGCTTTGGCCTCATGGTGAGTCTCCCTGCCCCTGACACTCAGGCCACTGTCTCTGCCTACAACATGGTGGGAACCTTCCATGATTAACGTCTGATTCTCTGTGCCTGACCTTTGAAGCACATCCATCACTCAGCCTGGAGCATCCGCTGAGCTCAGCATCCTGCTCCTCCATCCCCAGCTGAGCCCTTGAGGAGATGCTTGAGAGGATCTCCTGGGCTCCTCTGTGAGCTCCTCCAGGCTGAGCCTTGTGCTTGGTGTCAGAGGCCTTTGCCATCTGCTTGTTCTTTCCATAGGCAAATAATCCTCCTCAGGGACAAGTGGGGCCTGAAGATCTGTCTGAATATCTATCTATCTATCTATCTATCTATCTATCTATCTATCTATCTATCTATCTATCTATCATCTATCTATATGTATGTATATATGAGAATGCTTTATTAGGCAAAACTGCATACTATGAACATGCTTTAAAATGCAACAGGATGAGATGTGAAGACATAAAGAACAAGTGTGTAGTGACACATGGCTATCAGAACACACTGAAGAATCCACACCGCGGCCGAGAGCAGTGGCTCACGCCTGTAGTCCCAGCACTTTTGGAGGCTGAGGCAGGCAGATCACTTGAGGACAGGTGTTCGAGACCAGCCTGACCAACATGGTGAAACCCCATCTCTACTAAAAATACAAAAAATTTAGCCGGGCCTGGTGGCTCATGCCTGTAGTCCTGGCTGTTCGGGAGGCTGAGGCAGGAGAATTGCCTGAACCTGGGAGACACAAGTTGCAGTGAGCTGAGATCGCACCACTGCACTCCAGCCTGGGAGATAGAGTGAGGCTCCATCTAAAAACAAAACAAAACAAAAAGAATCCACACTGCTTCCCCGCTTCACTTTACCCAGAAAAGGAATGTTCTAGGCCACTTCCTCTTCAGCACACATCCCCAGGGAACTAAAATAGGTTCACAGTCACCCCCATCTTCCTCATTCCCATCACCTCTTACCCACAGAGGCATCTCTGGTCCTACAGATCCAGCCCTGCCTTCAAGAGGCACAGGTCCAACCCATCCAGTGTCCCTGCTAGTCACACACAGCACTCAGGGTACAATGGAGGGCTTCTGTGCTTTGGATGGGAACAAACCCCACCTCACATTCCCACACCTGAGAAGCCACCAGGGTCCTCTCTGTCCTGTCCTCACACTCAATGTCTGTCCTGGGTCACCCTTGTCATCTCTCCTGGAAATAGGCATGGCTCCTGACAGGTAGGATTGAGGCTTTGTCTTTTCAGGAGTCCCTCCCACTCTGAGCACATGAAACTGCTCAGCTCCATGCAACCCTCTCTCACCAGGGGCCTTGTTCTCTGGGTCCCTGAATACCTGGGTCCATGCCATGTACATTTTAAGAAAAATGACAGTGACTCTCACCCTGACATCCTCACCCAAGGCACGTGTCTGACAAGAATCACCAGGTGAGATACCTGTGGCTCCACACACCTGAGGCTTCACTGCGCAGGGGTGTCCTCATCCCTCTCCTCCCACCCCTAGGGACAGTAAGCACCACAGGCTGCCTTGGACCACCAGCTCCCCCTCCCAGACACAGCCTCAGATCTATACTGACATGCTACATGGAGAGGCTCTGATGAACAGCAGGTATTAGGAAATCCCACCGAACCAGGTGCCACTTGCGGCCCCACTCCTCCTCATATCTGTGACTGGGACAGACACACATAACACACCTCTGTTCACCGCCCAGCCCCCAAGGTCAATCACAGTCTGCTTCTCCCCTAGATCCACTGCTCCCCATGTCTTCCGTCCTCAGCTGCATCCTGGGTGGCCTCCTTGCTGTTCTTGTACCCCAGAGGCAGGTTCCAACCTTTGTGATGTTGCCTGCAATGCCCAAACTTTCCCTTCCCCTTCCCCTTCCCTTTTCCCCTCCCCCTTCCCCTCCCCTTCCCCTCCCCACCCCTATCCCTTCGTCTTCCCTTGTCTTCCCTTCCCTTCCCTATAAAGCCAAACATACCCATCCACCTACCTTGTGGTCAAAGTCATCAGCCTCCTGCTCCACTCAGTGTTCTCTGACCCTGCATATGGAGGTGGTGGCCCCTCCTAGAACACCCACCACTCACTGTCAGCCTTGCGTGGTAATCACAGATTTTGCAGGGGTTACCTGTGTTCAGGTGTGTCACCTGTGGAACCAGAACTCTTGGAAGGACTGGCAGAGGGAGCTGCTTAGGATATCTCAGGGCTCCTGGCATCTGGTCTACCACAGGGCTATTAACAACAGCACTTAGGGACAAGGTGGAGGATGGACGGTTAAGAGGGTAAATATGGATGATGTGTGGGCAAAGAATAGGACACAGGAACACATGCAGTACTCAAATAATTATGCCAAGAAAGGTGAGGACATGGAGATGGACATTCCCATATACTTCTGATGGGACTGCAGTTTAGTCCCTACAGCAACATTGACCTCACCATGTTTAACGCGCACACGCTCTGACCACTATCCTACTTCTGAAGGCCTCCCTGTGCTGTGAGCTCTGAGAAGGCCAAGCTTGCCTGTTCTGTCTCTGCTAAAGCCAGAGACCAGCCAATAGCCCAGCACAGGGTACTTCATAAATACATGTTGAAGGAATGAGCTCCAGGAACAGTACTCCACATGGTAGAGATGTGTGTATGAGGATGTTCACTGCAGAAGGTCATGTCAATGTGACAAGTGACGAGCAGCCTCAAATCCAGCAACAGGGGTGTGGGTAAAAGATCATAGTGTAGCCATGCAATGGAACCAATGAAAAAACCACAATTAGAGCAAATCCACATGTATTAATAAAGGAGGTGCCCTCCATACATGCTGCACCTAACAGAATGTTGCCAAATAAGAATGAAAAATGATGATATTTGGGCTGTAAAAACTAGAAGTCAGCTAAATAAGAATGCATCGAAAGTATTTGTGAATGCTTACAATTTTACAATGCCTTGGCATCCGTTTTGGATGGAAGTTGGACTTTCTCATACCAGAAGCAGGGCTCAGTCACCTTTGAAATAGTTTCCAGTTCTCCACCTCCTTCCAGTTCCTCAGTGTGATTGATCAGATATCTGATTTATACAACTGCCTCCTGGTGACCTCCTCCCTATGGGACTTCCGGATACAGCCCGTATGACTGCCCCACTGACCCCACACCCTGCCTGCTGCAGTGACCACCTCTAATTACCTGGATCTCATGTCTGCTTGCATTAAATCCACCAATTAAAACTCCCTGAGGACAATCTGTTTGAATAATATTCTGTACCCTAATAAAGGCCTTGACCCATGGGTTCCCCCTCTGTCCTCCCCATACTGCCCCTGACCTCTGTGTGTGTGTGTGGGTGTGGGTGTATGTGTGTGTGTGTGTGTGTGTGTCCTCCAGACAGGGCCTGTATCCCCCAGGACCTGTAAGTAATAAATCTTTATTTTCATCTTATGTCTCTCGCAATCATTGGCAAGAGCTCTGCATCTTAAAGATCGCAAATTTAAGAAATTGGTGTAGTCGGCACAATAGACTACCTCTTCTGTTTAGCACAAGATATCTCGGAGCTGCTGAGGCTTTTAACATCCTCGCCGGTGTGGCTGCCTCACTGGTGAGGCCGTTCTGTTCAGTGCAATTCAGTTGCTCCACTGTGTGCTGCTGTGTTGCTGCTGTAGAGTGCTGCCATGTTGTTCTCCCCAAATTGTTACCGAGTAGGAACCTGTAATGTGCTCCCAAGGTGGTCTACCCCATGAGAAGGGGGATTCTCCATCTAGGGCAAGGGCTAGGTGTGTTTCTGGAATCCTAATAGGGAAGGCATCCACAGAGGGTGAACTCCACTCCTCCTTAGAGTGAGGAGTGACATTTCCCATTTATTTTCCCCATGGAGGTGCCATGTATTGACTTTTTCTTTCACTGTCCCAAGGTTGAGCCAAGGTGAGCTATGGAGACCAGGGCAAGATACCATTTCTGTTAGCAAAGCAAATGGGTGACAACGTGTGGAGAAGCTGTGGTTCTCCTGATGGATATAGCAGAGTGCCATTTAGTAAAATCTTGTCAGGAGGCTGCCCCTGGTTAGACCGGCAGTGTCTGTAGTCACTAAGGTGGATGCGAATTTTAGGCCCTGGGCCATGGATAATCCCTGCAGACACAGCCGTGGCTTCATGTGATGGGGCAATCCCGGGCTAGTGGCTCCCTTGTTTCTGCATTTCTTGCTGTGGTTGCACAATCAACACCTCAGGGGTTGATTGGGTCACCTTGGAAAGAGAAACAGCTGCCTAGGAGGCTGGTGCACATGGAGGCCACCCTCAATTTTATTCTGCTAACAAGTTGTAAGATTAAAACAACAGGGGGCTTTGGGTACCATCAGGAACTTGTCAAGTAAACATCCAAAGACAGAAAGAAGAAAAAGAAAAAGACATTAACCGTCTAGAAATACAAGCCATTTTAAAGATTTTGCTTAAAAGATGCGCTTGGGCTGGGAGCGGTGGCTCACACCTGTAATCCCAGCACTTTGGGAGGCCAAGGTGGGTGGATCGACTGAGGTCAGGAGTTCAAGACCAGCCTGACCAACATGGTGAAACCTCGCCTCTACTAAAAATACAAAAAATTAGCAGGGCATGGTGGCAGGTGCCTGTAATCCCAGCTACTTGGGTGGAGAATCGCTTGAACCCGGGAGGCAGAGACGGCAGTGAGCCAAGATCGCACCACTGTACTCCAGTCTGGGCGACAGAGTGAGACTTCATCTCAAAAAAAAAAAAAAAAAAAAAAAAGACGGGCTTGTTTCGTCGTTGTGGAGTCATCCCAGAGAGAGGCTACTCCCTAGAGTCACTGACCACCTTTCCTCCTCCATCTTTTCCTCTTATCATTCTAGAGACAGAAAACAAGAATCTCAGCTTTAGGTGGCTAACCTCACCCCCCAAGAAAAGAAACTACCACTTTGATTGACTACAAATCCAAGAAAAATAAAAGAGAAACTTTAAACTTTAAGTACTGAGCAAACCACAGGTCTAGCAAACATAATGCTAGCCCTAGGTTACTTATTCATTTACAACAAACCCCTAGATATAGGAGGAAAAAATAAAAGGTAATTAAATATATACACATACAATATTTTAATATAAATATATAATAAATAGTTAAATTATGTATGTATAATATGTAACTAAATCAAAGTAAAATTTCATACTTTGATTCTATTGGAAATTCAAAATTCATTTATTAACTTATATATTAAGGAATTTATGTAAAAAAAGATTTTTAAAAGGGCACCAATTTGCTTTTGTGTCTCTACAACATAGGATCTAATTTAACTTTACATTTGCTAAATACACTAATTGACAAATATTCATGGATTTAATCAATACTGGGGCTCAAATTGTAGCCACACGTGGGAATCCCATAAATTTAAACACTCTGTCCCTATTATCTTGAGAAGAAAACTAAATATAAAATTGAAAAAAACAGGTATGTCTCAATTTACCTGTAACTTTGCCTAAATTTCCCGGAGTCATATACCCATTGCTGTAAAACATTCTCTATTGGACATAGGTGCTCTGAGACAATAAATAAAATAGAAGTGTTTTTGGTACTTAGACATTGGCTTGACAAAATGGGATCCCATGAAACCTCAGTTAAGATAGTGAATATGGCCCAATGTGAGTTGAAATGGGGCCTTTAAGGATTAAAACTTATTACATGAAACCTAGTAAGTAATGGGGTGATTATCCATACTGCTTCTCCATTTCATAGCCCAATTTTGACAGTTGTCAAATCTGGAAAAAACAAACAAACAAACAAAAAAACCCCTGGGAATCTGTTGCCTCACAGAGACACAAAGTAGACATCAAAATTGTATATCTCAGTTCCAGTTCCAAAATGGTGGCATAGAAGCAAGCTGGCTTTACTCCTTCACACAGAAAACCAAAAACAAATATACAGCACCAAAATTATTACCAGATATATTCCAGAACTCAAATATGAAAATGAAACAGTTTTCAGAGCCACAGAGAAGTGAAAAAAACTCCAGACAGATGACAAAAGAATCAGATTTCCCCATCTGTAATGTCCCTCCCTGCCCCATTCTGCCTGGTACCAGGTGTGTGGAAAATTTTACCCCAACTCATGGTTTCTACACTGGGAAATGTAAGATCAATGCGGGCAACCAGTTTCTGCACAATCTTGGGTTCCCTGTCCCTGCCTTAACCCACAAGAAGCATTGTGAGTGCCCGAAGGGAGAAATTTCCCTGAGGACAGTCAAAGAGTGGGGAGGCAGGACTACCATCTCCTTCCCTGGAAACTCTGCTGTGTAACTCAGCCAAGGGAGACATGAAATCAGACTGGTGTTTCAGCAGCTCCATGTTGTAGTAGGTTTGTTTCACAGGTATCCTGGGCATGGACATCTAGCCAGCTTTCCCACACTGCCAGGATATCCCCTTTGGGACCTCCCTCAGTTAGGAAGGGCACACTCTGATCATTTACTAGGGCCAAGGTAAACCCTAAAGGTAACTTAGAGATGAAAAGGAGGTAGTGACCTAGCAGTAAAGAACTCTAAGAAAATCTATCCAATAAAAATCAAAACAAGCCAGACAAAGACTAAAATAAATAATGAATCCTTCAATGTAAAGACCTGGACTTACATCCACAAGAAACAGTAAGCAGGTAACCATGATCTCCCCACATGGACAAAGTGAGGAACAAGTGACTGATCCTGATGAGATGGTGATGTGTGAGCTCTCTAATCAAGAATTCAAAACTGCAGTTTTAAGGAAACTCAATGATCTTCAAGAAAACATGGAAAAGCAGTTCAGAAATTTATCAGAGAAATTTAACGAAGGGATTGAAATAATTTAAAGAAAACAAACAGGAATCTTGGAATTGAGAAATATATTTGCTGAACAGGAAAATTTATTAGAGTCTCTCAACAGCAGAATGGATCAGAGGAAAGAATCAACCCAAATAAGACTCCCCCAAGGCATAAAATAATCGAATTCTCAAAAGTCAAGGGCAAAGAGAAGATTTTAAAACAGAAAGAGAAAAGAAGCAAATGGCATAAAGAAGCTCCAATTCTGTGGCAAGAGATTTTCAGTGGAAATCATACAGACCAGGAGGGAGTGACATGACATTTTCAAAATGCTGAAAAAATATTGACATTTGAGAATACTTTATCCAGTGAAGTTATCCTTCAATATAAAGGAGAGAGAAAGTTTCCTAGACAAACAAAAGCTGAGATAATTCACACCATCAGACTAGTCTTCCTGTAAATACTAAAGGGTAAATACTAAATACTTCAATGTGAAAGTAAAAAAAAAACACTAACATGCAAAATAACCACAACAACAATAACAACATTTGAAGGTATAAAATCCACTGGTGAAATTAAGTACGTAGACAAACCCAGAATACTCAAATAGTAATTGTGGAAAGTAATCCAATCATAACTCTAGCATGAGTCTCAAAATATAAATCTATCAAAAACAATAATACATTTTAGGAGGCCAAGGTTGGCAGATTCCTTGAGGTCAAGAGTTCAAGACCAGCCTGGTCAAAATGGTGAAACCCCATCTCTACCAAAAAATACAAAAATTTGCAGGGTATGGTAGCACATGCCTGTCGTTTCAGCTATTTGGGAGGCTGAGGCAGGAGAATTGCTTGAACCCAGGAGGTGGAGGTTGCAGTGAGCTGAGATTGCACTACTGCACTCCAGCCTGGGTGACAGAGGGAGACTCTGTCTTAAAAAAAAATAGCTACCTGTTTGGAGAAAGGTAATATAAAATATGTAAATAGAGACAAAGTCAAAATTTGCAAAGGATGAAATTAAAGAGTAGAGTTTTTTTGGGGGGTTTTCTGTTTCTATTATTTTATTTGTGATCTAAGATAAGTTGTTACCTTTTCTTCTCTTGAAGATACTTTGTTATATCTATGTTTTTGGAAGTCTTATGGTAACTGCAACGCAAAAAATCTATGATAGATCCACTGAAAATAAAAAACAATGACTTAAAACATACTACCAGAGACAATCAACCACAAGGAAGACAGTAAAAAATGAAGAAAGGAAGAGGGGAGTTACAAAACAACCAGAAAACAGGCAACAAAGTGGCAGTAGTAAGTTCTTACTTAAAAATATTGAACACTGAATATAAATGGACTCTATTCTCCAATTAAAAGGCATAGAGTGGCTGAATGCTGCCTATATGCTGCCTACAAGAAACCACTTCATGTAAAAAGATACAAATAGACTGAAAGTGAAGGGGGTGGAAAAAGATATTTCATGCAAGTGGAAACCAAAAGAGAGCAGGAGTAGCTATACTGATATAAGATAAACTACAAATCAAAGACTATAAAAAGAGACAAAGAAAGTCACTATGTAATGATAAAGCGCTCAGTTCAGCAAGAGGAGATGCCAATTATAAATATCTATGCATCCAACACTTGAGCTCCCAAGTCTCCCAAGTATTTAAAGCAAACAATAGTGGATCTAAAAGGAGAGATAGACTGAATACAATATTAATTAGGGGACTTTAACACCCTGCTCTCAGCAATGGCCAGATCTTTCAGACAGAAAATCAACAAGGAAACTTCAAAGTTAAACTACACACTAGATCAAATAGGCCTAACTGGCATTTACGGGACATTTCACTAACTATCTAACTGTTACAGAATTCACATTATTTTCATCAGCACATAGAACATTCTTCAGAACAGACCACATCTTAAGTCCCAAAACCAGTCAGAATAAATTCAAAAAAGTTTATATCACATCAAGCATTTGTTCTGACCACAATGGAATAAAACTACAATAAATGAATAACTTTCTGGACACATACAACCTACCAAGATGGAAGCATGAAAAGGCAGAAAAACCCAACAAACCAACATGAAACTGTAACAAAAGGAAAACCCAGGACCGAATGACTTCACTGCTGAATTCTACCAAACATTTAATAAGAACTAAAACCAATTCTACTCAAAATGCTTTAAAAAATTGAAGAGGATGGAACACTTTCAAACTCATTCTACAAGGTCAGCATTATCCTGATACCAAAACCAGACAAGGACAGGACAAAAACAAACAAACAAACAAACAAACAAACAAAAAAACACTACAGGATTGCTTGAGGCCAGGAGTTTGAGATCAGCCTGGGCAACATAGTCAGAACCAATCTCTTAAAAAAAAAAAAAAAGAAAAAAATTAGCCAGGCATGGTGGCATGTGCCTTTAGTCCTAGCTACTCGGGAGGCTGAGGTGAGAGGACCAATTGAGCCCAGGAGGTTGAGGCCGCAGTGAGCCATGTTTGTGTCACTGTACTCCAGCCTGGGGAACAGAGCAAGATGCTCTCTCAAAAACAAAAAGCAAGCTGGGTGTGGTGGCTCCTGCCTGTAATCACAGCACTTTGGAAGGCTGAGGTGGGAGAACTGCTTAAGCCCAGGAGTTCAAGACCAGTCTGGACAACATAGGGGGACTCCATCTCTCAAAAACAACCAACCAAAACAAAGCCAAAAAAGAACATAGGCCAACATCACTAACAAACATAGATGTAAAAGTCCTCAATAAAATATTAACAAACCATGTTTAGCAACACATCAAAAGAGATCATTCACTATGATTAAGTGAGATTCATCCCAGGGATGCCAGTATGGCTCAACATATGCAAATCAATAAATGTGATCCATCACATTAAAGAGAACCAAGAACAAAAACCATATAATCACTCCAGCAGGTGCAGAAAAGGCATTTAATAAAAGAATGGGTTGAGGGAGTGGAGCCCATAGTCAGAGCAGCAGTGGTCTGGGATTTTGGAAGTAGAAAGAAGGGCAGCACCACTGGCCAGGACCACCAGGGAACACCCCCATAGGCCCTGGGTGTTGTGCTCCAGGGAGGGTTCCCTCTGGAGTTATTAATCTTGGTGTCCACTTTGCCCAGCTGCCCCTCACAGGGTCAGGGAGGATGAAGGGAAAGCTTCCTTCTAATGAAAGTTCAGGGACTCACAGTTCCTAGAGCCTGTAGGGAGAGGAAGATCTTCGAGGAAGAGCACCTGGGCATTGGGGCGTTTGAGAGGAAGATCTATGCCAGGTCCAAGTGGACAACCTGTGGACTCTCTCTCCAGGGACATACGGGTATCTGGGAATCTCCTGTAGCTTAAAGAGGTAAAGACCTCTCCCTTTAGCCTGAGGACTGGAGGATGCTGGTTCAGGTGAATGAGTCCTGCAGGGGCTGGTACAGGCCTGGAGGGTGGTGGTGTCCAGGGCCTTGGGTTCACCCTTAGCATGATTCAGGCCGGGCGGTGTTTCACATGAGCAAGAGGGCCTGGGTTCATTGCTTCAGGACAATGGTGAAATCTCATGGTGGAAGAAATCTTGTCCTTGCCAGTGCCCAGCTTTCATTTGGTCTTGGCCCAGAGTGTCCTCCCTAGAGAAGACTCTTGTCCCTTCTTCACACTGCCCTTCAGGGATATGCCAGCCTTATGGGATAAGATGGGGTGGAGACTGTAGATGTGGGTGGGAATCTCTCCACAGAGTGCTCCTTCTCTCAGCGGTTGCACCTTGTCTCAGGGCTTCAGCTTGAAATCTGGGATCTCCAAGCCCTTCCCTCCCCAGTCCTGGCCAGGACCACATGGGCAGATGCATTGTGTGAAGTGCATTTCATTTGGGGTGTCCTCTCTGCATGGCACCCTCCCGTTGATTCTCTTTGCCCATGTCAGAGTGCAGGCACCATCCACACCTCCTGCTGGAGGAGGGACGGAGCTGTTGACTCCTGAGAGCTGATCATGTGTTCCCACCCTCACACACAATCATGGTCCATCCTCTGAGGGACATGTGTTGCCACCACTGTGGAGATGGTGCAACTGACAGTAACAAACAGTAAAATCTGGTACTGAATGGGACCTTAAGCCAACAATGACAATGTCATTCCAAGGTGTTTCATTTTTATTGATTCAATGCAAGTCACCTGATTTCATTGACTATTCACAATAGCTCGATAAAGTAAATGCATCATCACCACCACTTTAAAGAGGAAAAAGGTGCTTGGGCAGTTTGTGACTACTGTGGTGGCTGCTGCATTGCTCTCTGGTAAAGCCAAGTAGGTGGTGGGTGCGGCCTCTGGGCTGGGATGATCCACCCTCCTGGTGGTGGCAGGGGAGCCAAGCTGGAGCCATGGCCTGTGCAGTGGTAGCAGCTGAACTGACCGCTGCTGCAGGATTTGCAAGCTGTTACATTTTGCGAAGCCATGAAGCACATAAAACCTCAAGTAGAACAAGTGTTTCAAAGTCTACCAAAATCTGCCTTCAGAGATTATTACTACAGAGGTGGATATGAACCCAAAATGACAAAACGGGAAGCAGCATTAATACTAGATAATGAATGAACACTAGTAATAGTAGGGTAAGCCCTACTGCCAATAAAGAAAAAAATAAGAGATGCTCATTAACATGTTATGCTCTTAAATCACGCAGACAAAAGAGGGTCTCCTTATATAGTAGCCACAATCAATGAAGCTAAAGATTTACTGCAAGATCAAGCTAAAAACAGTAGGTGTATAATGAATTTTTAACTTCATATTAGTTTATGTATATGAATATCAAGTTTTTATAATAAAATGCCTCCAAACAAAGAATATTTGATTTAGGGTTTAATAACTTCTAAGAGGGGACTCAGATGTTTCCTGTTTCACAGTCAGTCTGAGAGGGTCATTTTTCCTGGAGCTGACCTGGGTGGAGGCCTCACACTGATACTCCCCAGCATCCTCTCTCCTGATGGGGTTTATGCTGAGCATACAGTGGCCCTGGGACAGCTCCATTCTCTCCATGAGTCACAGACGCTGGTCATGGAAGATCCACTGGATAAGGTTCCAGAGTCATCTGTGGGGCAGGTCAGGATCACAACATCCTTTTCTTCTGTGACTCTGGTGTTGCTGACTCAGATGGGGTCGGAGCCACTGACCCTGTGGACAATCAGTGGAGGTGCTCAACTGAAAGTGGGCTGAGGGCACGTCTTCTCCTCCATCCCTGGGTCCTTAAGGTATCTGTGGACCCCAGACCAACTGACACAGGAGCTAGAAAGAAATTATTTAGGAAGTTAGTGAGGGTAAGAGCGTCCTTGGCAAGGTTTCCCCTTTAACAAAAAGCAGCCCAAGATAATTCCTTTTCTAACAAAGAGCAGCCTGAAAAATTGAGCTACAGATGTAGATGAGCAAGATGGAAGCTTGCACAGGTGAATTCCAGTAGGTGTGCCAATAGAAAAGGGCTGCCTGGAAGCCAGGTATGTTCAACATGGAGACTCCATCCTCCCTTTTCTCCATTACCACATGTACAGTAAAAAACCAGGCAACATGGCACCGGCCAGGTAGACAATCCATCTGCATGACAAAAGATCAGAGTGGGGCAGCCAGCAAATGGCACAGCTGGTCTAAACAATCTTTCACCCCCTGTATAAATCAGACACTGCCTCCTGAAGCTCATCTATAAAACCTTCTGCATTTCACTATGGAAGTGGCAACCCATTTTCCCCAGGACCCCTCTCTCTGTGCAGAGAGCTCTTCTCTTTCTTTCCCCTATGAAACTTCCACTCTTAACTTCACTCTGGGTGCCTGCATCCTAGTTTTCCATGGCCATGGGACAATGAACCTCGAGTATTACCCCAGATGAATGATGCTGTTTCACAATCACTGGTTCAGCTCCCTTCTTCTTAGGGTTTCACAGCTCGGTGGGGAGAATACCACGCCTCAGTGGTCTGGGGAGTGAGGAACAAATGAAGAATTAATCAGATTTTACTTAGAACGCTATCACCTGCCTCAACCATCAGATCCATGTTGGGAATGTCCAGGCCTCCTCTCTTAGATCTATACCCACTTCACTGGACCTGAAATCCTGTGTTTCCCGATGTGTTGGTGTCACTCCTATGAGAGGATAAAGGAGAGAACTTTGCTTTCTCTCCCCACTCACACCCTGCACAAGACAGGGCCCAATATGAGACACACACTCGCTCAGTAGTTCTCTCATGAAGGAGGGAGGGAGTGACCTCGAGTGACTCTGCCATCTGTAGTCTGTGTACCCTGGCCAGTGGCTGTATCTTCATATGCCTCAGTTTCCCCTCAGTAAAATAGGACACACAATGAGAACTAAAAATAAAATTCTAATTCCCCAGTGAACTGAAAGGATGGCCTCTTGGCCAAGCGGATCCCAGAGTTCCTGATCATGACAGGATGGGAGGTTACACCTCATTACAGCCCCTCCCTTTGGAAGTTTAGAGGTGACAACTGACTAGCATTAACGCTAAAATCGAGATCATGAGACTGACAGAACAGACTCTCTGTGGCCATAAGATACCAAATTATAAACTCAACCTAAGGTCATGCAGGCAAGGGCTAAGCCACACTTTCCTACATTTAAAGAATAAGCTATGTTCTAACACAGAATTTTCTTTCTCTCTAGCGGCTAAAGTAACACTAGCCTTCGAGATAAGCAATATTGAAATGATCGCGGCTCATCCACCAACACTGGCTAACTGACCCCTGTTCCAACAGCCACAACTACACTTCAATTGGACAGGAGACTGATTTCAGTAACTTTCTCCTAATAAGAGACCACTGAGCATGGCCTGGTTCTGCTGGTATACAGACACGGTGCACTGAGTACCATAATGCTTGTTTCATCTTTTGATGTATAAGACCTAACTTAATACATTTAAATCTGAATTCTCCACCCCAAAGTGAACATGGGGTGCATGTAGCATGCATGTTTGTTGATCACGCATGTGCGTGTACTTCCTTTGTGAGTATCCATAGCTCCACCTATAACCTGTTGAATATGTATACCTGGCCAACTCATTCAGCATAAATCTATCTTCCACATTCCCCTCCCTTGAAGTGCCTGCTATTGGTCTCTGCTGGAGGCTGCATCTTCTACCCTGGGGAATGGCCAGCCTGCAGGCTGTAACCCTGTGTAAGAAATAACCTGGTTGGGTGCAGTGGCTCACACCTGTAATCCCAGTGGTTTGGGAGGTTGAAGTGGTAGAATAGTTTGAGCTCAGGAGCCAGAGACTAGCCTGGGCAGCATAGCAAGATCCTGTCTCTTAAAAAAATTTTAGGGAGGAGAGTGAGGATCAGAAAAAATACCTATTGGCTATTATGCTTAGTACTTGGATCATGAAATAATCTGTATACCAAACCCCTGATTACATATATAACAAACCTGCATGCGTATCTTTGAACCTAAGATAAAAGTTTGTTTTAAAAACTATCTGGGTGCAGTGGTGCATGCCTATAGTTCCAGCTACTCGAGACTGAGGTGTGAGGAGTGCTTGAGCTCGGGGGATTGAGGCTGCAGTGAATTATGGTCCCACCTGTGAGTAGCCACTTCACTCAAACCTGGGAGACAGAGCAAGAACCGGTCTCTAAAAAAAAATAAAAATAGAAAAATAAAATGAAAAATATATGAAATAAAGTCTCCTTTCCAAACGTACAGATCTCCGATTTTTCTGCCAACAATGATAAATGGTCAGTGGCTTGCCATGTTGTCTGTGAATTACTTTTAAAATATTCACGATCACCTGACCTAAAGGTTGGTACCAAGGAACCGCCTGAATACACCGTCTCTGATTATTTGCCTCCAACAGAGTGTTCCCTGGGCCTGATCTCTGGTGGACAATGAGCTGCTGGGAACATCCTCTCTTCTCTATTCCTCCCCTGGGGATGCTGACCTTCCCTTGGAGTCTCCTAAGTTCCCCAGGGCAGTCGGCTAATGTCCTAGGGAGCTTACCTGTCTTCTCCATACCAAGTCTCATGTGAAGGACGAGGCTTTGCCCTTGCCCAGATGAGGCTCTGGGGGCTGAGCCCTGGCTGGCTACCAGCTGCAAGAGCCATGGCCCTTGGACAGCTGGTAAATCCTTGTTCCCAGTCAGCCCTGCCCAAGATGCCTCAACCCAGCCCCGGCACAGGCTTCCCAGGGTCACATGGAGTCAGGATCCTGGGACAGGGGACTGGACAGGGGTTTCCAGGGCTGAGTTTCTGAACAGGGGCTTCCCAGGGGTCCCCTCACTCCAGGATCTGACATGGTCCTACAAGGAACGTCCATGGGGAGGGGACCCAGGAGGGGGAACTGACACTGACCTCCCCTTACTGAGCCTCCCCCCAACCCCATCAGACTGTCCTTCCTCTGTAGCAAGTGCCTGCAGGGTCTGGATGCAGGAAAGAAATTCTGATCTGTGGAAGTTTGTCTCCCCTGTGTGTGTCTTGCACTAAATGTCCAAACCCC
Source organism: Homo sapiens (assembly GCF_000001405.40). Lineage (NCBI taxonomy): Eukaryota > Metazoa > Chordata > Mammalia > Primates > Hominidae > Homo > Homo sapiens. Next base: position 41,601,641 of record NC_000019.10, on the reverse strand, counting down.
CAAATGGGATGTAATGTAGAGGGGGACACAGGCACAGCCCAGGCCTGAAAATCCTGTGTGTGTGAAGCAGAACTGACCCCCAACACCCAGAGCTCATGAGACATCACTGTGTACGTGAAACTGGCCAGTTACTTCTTCATTCACAAGATCTGTTTTTATGACTTGTAGGGTGTAGGATCCTGTGTCATTGTTGGTGACATTCTGTATCAGCAGACATGTATTGGGGTATATTGTCTCTCAGCCTCTGTGGCAGGTCCTGGGGTAATTACTTGAGTTCCTAGTACATATCCTGTAATTCCCCTTTGTACCAGTTGTAGCCAAGCCTAAGGCAGATTGTGGGTGAGTGGAAGAATCTCCTTGCCTTCTGCAGCTTCAACAGTGACTTGGGCAGTGGTAGGCAAGTTCCAGAAAGTTAAAAGTGAGGCTAGGAGTGGGGAGAGAGCATCAGTTAATACTGGGCCCTATGCATTGAGGTGGAAAGATGGGGCCCTAGGTCCTGGACAGGTCTCTTCATCCCTCAGCCTTGGAGTGTGTGTGTGTGTGTGTGTGTGTGTGTGTGTGTGTGTGTGCGCGCGCGCGCGCGCGTGCGTGTCCTACTGGGCCAAGGTCAGCAGCATGACCTCCCTTCCTTCAGTGCCTCTGACCTTGGCATTTCCCTGTTTGGAGTCCTTTTCCCCAGGGGTCTGCCTGGCTCCCTCCCTACTGCCTTCAGGTCCTGCTCACATTAGGGCATCCTTGGGAGACCCCTTCCCTGACACCTCTAGAGACCCTGGGTCTTCCCTTTCTGACATTTCGCTGCTGTGTTCCCTCCAGGGCTCTTGTCAATACTTGACCTCACATTCTAGATACCCTTGCATGTCTGTCTTCCTCCCTATGAGAGCATGAGCTCTGTGAGAACAGGGACTTGTGTGATCTTGGTTGCACCCCAGTGCCTGGGACAGGCTGCGGACTCCTGTGGATGAGCTCATGAGTGTTCCCAGGGCCCTTCACAACGTGGGATTTATTTTCCAATGGCTGAGGTTGTTGGCTAAGAGCTCTGTTGGAGTTCAATCAGGCTGGTGGGAAAAATATTAGAGATAGTTATAGAGATAGACACAAATCTTCTTGGAAGACCAAAAACTTTGCATAACTTTGGTAATAGATCTGACTGAAGGTGGTCCCTTTACCTTTAGTTAAACAAATTAAAGTAGTAACAAAGGAAGGCAGAGTAGTTTGTCTAGCCAGCTTGTTTACTCATGTGATCTTAAGACTAACCATTGATGTGCCACAGGTGCTTAATTGCTTTCTACTTGGGAAGTCCACAATGTCAATTACCCTCTAACGGTGTTGACTCAAGCCTTTGTTAATTAATCTTACTGAATAAATATGAGTCTCACTAGCTGATCAAGGCCATGGTCACAACTGTTTATAGGACTCAGCAGGGAGTCTGTAAGCGGCCCTGACAGACTCAGCTGGACTGGCAAAGCAAAATATGTGTGTGTCAGTGTACACTATTCACCCGTCCCCCACAGCTGGTGCCCCTATATGAGGAGTGCTGCCACAGAGCTCTGTTTAGTGTCCCTTGTTTTTTTTCTTGAGTATTACCCCAACTTAAATTGTGATTATTGTCATCTGTTTTCAACATTAACTGCTCAGTGATGATTCACTTGGAAAACATTAACAATCGAGATTGTTTCTTCACTAACAACCTCAGATTATTTAGATTTTCCTGTTGTAATCCCTTCTTCCTGTTTAGTGTCCAACAGAAGCCCTCTGTCCCTCTCAGGTCCCCGTTCTCTCCAAGAAACCCCAGCCAGTCTCTGTGCTCCCTCCTCCCATCCACTCCCAGGGAGCCCTCCCCTCACCTGTGAGCAGAAGCGCCTGCCAGGGATGTGCACTCTGTGAGGAGGGGCTGAGGGAGGCCCCATGGGCTCTGCTGTCTGCTTTGTCCTCCTCTGTGGAGAGGAGCTTGGGCTTCAGAAAATAAGGAGGCCAGAAAGTAAGGAACAGGCTGAGAAATAATGGGGATGTGTCGAAAGGTCACAGATGCCAACATCTTTGTCCTATGCAATATTATCCATAAAATTACAGGTTTGAGATATGCTTAAATTTTCTTCTAACATGCATTAAAATAAACATATAACTTTTAATAGTTATATTAAATTGTATTTAATATAAATTAAATGCTCTTGTCAGAGCTACTGTGACTGTCAGCTCTGCTGTCCTTCCTCTCTCTGTGCTAAGCCTCCTCCCAGGGCAGAAGCACTTCCCAGGGCCAGGGGTGGGGGCGGGGAAAGGTAAGTGGCAATGAGGATCTGCACAGGTAGCCTTTCCGCCTCCTCCCCTCTCAGTCCTGCCTCCTTGTCTTCTTTTCCTCTTTTTCTCCAATCTACATTTCAGTTCCTTAGACCACGCTGTGAGAAGCAAGGCTTATTGGGACCCCCATCCCTTAACAGGATGACCTGTGCTCCCCATAAGTGACCTCTGCTGTGTCTAGGGATTGGCTCTGTCAGCACCTCACAGAGAGTCCCTGGGACCCCCAAACTCAGTGTTATTTTCTCTATGACACAGAAACCCCTCTGGGTATGCAAGGTTTTCCTCATGTTTTCTAATGTCTGGGAAGGTTGGATTTACTCCCAGCAGGGAGGTCACAGAGATGTCCAGGGAGTGGGGTCCTAGAAATGGACAAATCTAGAGCTAAAGCCCAGGTCTACGATTTTCAGTTGTTTTTTTCTGCAGTGCTATGTGACCCTAATTTCCTAGGAGTAACTAAAATGCAAACCTCAGACATTTGTAGACATTTTATGATTTTTCTCTACAGCTTGTACCACTGTTATTATTATTTGCTTTATGCTTTTTCCTAAATAAATTTACTTTACAAAACATCCTTGTCCTAGTAGGGTGCAGGGGCTCACGTCTGTGATCTCAGCTGCTTGAGAGGTTGAGGTGGGTGGATTGCTTGAGGACGGGAATTTGAGACAAAACATCTTTGTCCTATGCAATATTATCCATAAAATTACAGGTTTGAGATATGCTTAAATTTTCTTCTAACATGTATTAAAATAAACATATAACTTTTAATCATCATATTAAATTGTATTTAATATAAATTTATATACAATACATTTTTATATAATAAATTATATATATAAATGTATATATAATAGTTTTTCTTTTTTGAGATGGAGTCTGGCTCTGTCTCCCAGGCTGGAGTGCAGTGGCACGATCTCAGCTCACTGCAGCCTCCGCCTTCTGGGTTCAAACGATTCTCCTACCTCAGCCTCCCGAGTAGCTGGGATTACAGGCGCCTGCCGCCACGCCCAGCTAATTTTTGTACTTTTTTAGTAGAGATGGGGTTTCGCCATGTTGGCCAGGCTGGTCTCAAACACCTGACTTCAGGTGATATGCTGCCTCGGCCTCCCAAAGTGCTGGGATTACAGGCATGAGCCACCATGCCTGGCCTATATATTTTATATAATTATATAAAGTTTTCTATAATAAATTTTATATAATAATATATAAAATGGATATTTATTTAAGATAAAGTTATTAGTTTTATATATTTACATATATTTAGGAATAAATGTGTTACTGTGGGAGCCCAGTGCCCAGGCAGGTAGTCAGTACATGATGGTTGTCATTAGGGTTAATACTTTGGAATTCTGGATTTTTTCCCAAGAGAGTGTCTACGCTGGAATATTGGGCTTGTGGCTTTCTGCTGATGTGCATGTGTGAAGAAGCTACTTCCACTTATTAGGACTTGTGTATCTGTCTCGCAGTTTCACTACCTATTTTCTCGTGATGTTGGTCAAGTCGCCTAACTTTTCTGTGCCTCATTTACCTAATTTGTAGAATATGGGTAACAGTACACAAGTGTGAGTGTGTATTTCCCAGGACTGACCACTAGAGGGCGTGAAGGCACCGGCACTTACTATTACAGCAATGGGTGTAGTAGTGCTCGTGGTCGTAAACATCATTCTCCCATGAAAGGAACCAGGGCTTCCTGGGAGAAATAACTGATTCCAGGGCTGGGGCCGGAAAGCACAAGCGGAGCCTGGAGCATCTCGTGAGGCCAGAAAGTAAGGAGCCGGCTGAAAAATAATGGAGATCTGTCGAAAGGTCACAGATGCCAACCAGAAGGAGCTTTGAATGACCAATTTTGAGACAAAATGAGCACTATAAGAAATAATGATAGTAATAAATTCCAACCCATAAATACCCATGAGTTCCTACTAATATAAATAAATAATTGAATACATAAATATATAAGGATGAAGAAACAGCTTTTTCTTACAGCAGGATTCCAATTAATGAATGTAGAAGGAATGATCAAATAGAAAATCACTATTTGGCTAACAGCACAGTCAATTGTTTGTAGGCAAGAATTATCAATGGACTTTAAATATGAATGGGTAAAAGTATGATGATGCTACAACTAGTGAGTACCAAGGGGGAAAAAAAAGTATGTTGAGAAGAAACAGGCTACTTCCATATTCCCAAAGTATCACTTCAGGAGATACTTATTGATTATAATGGGACAAATAGTAACTTACAGTAGAGAAACCTGGCAACAGAGTCTCTCCGAGGTACAAAGGCTCTCTTCAGGAAGGAGGTAAGGGGAAGGAAGAAGAAAACACTGTCCTGCCTCAATTATTTGCTTTCCCCATTCTCAAGTGTACTTCATAGACATTCAAAGATATGTGTTGATAGTGTCCACGATCCACATGGCTCTATTATAGTCATTTATTCACACATACATTCAGTGAGGCTTTGAGTGCCTAATGTGTGCCTGATATTTGCTAGATGGTGGATGCTGAGAAGATCAGGTGTGCTGCTGTCTCTAGGGTGACTGAATCCACCTGCCCCACTTTACAGATGTGGAAATTAAAGTGAAAAGGATTTATAGGATTAGTTCACTGTCACAAGGTCACTAGCCTTAAAGTTACAGGAGTAAAGCAAGTTTCCTGACTTGCTAGATTTTCTGCTGCAGGTGCTGACAATGGTGAGCTCCAATAGGAGAGAGGACACTCAGAGTGAAGTGGGAGCCCTGAACACCCTGGATTAGCCAAGAGGACATGCCGGGTCCAGCTGTGACCGCACAAAGGACCATTGGGGATATTTGTATTCTCTTTTTCACTTAGAGCTTGAAATGAGGAAAACTAAGTGCAGAAAACCAAGAGTGGAAGATTTTTCACAAAGCACTGGTAACATGCATCAGAAAACCCTGTGCTGATGTCTGTCACGGTGTTTCTCACTGAACGGTAATAGTCTGGCTTTGAGTGTGTTCCCTCTACAGCCTGGAGTTCTGCGAGGCAGGGACCAGGTGTGATTCATCTTTGTCTCTCCAGTGACAGTACACAGCAGGCTCTGATAAATATTTCTTACAAAATAAAATGGAATAAAAAGTAGACATCTGCACAGGTGTGGGATGACTGAGCAGCAGCAGAAGCAGGAAAAGTCAGCGTCCCCAGATCAGCTGATGTGGTGTTCGGATTCTAGATAGGGGTGAGGTGCCAGGATGGGGATGGGGGTCCTGTGGCTCTGCTGCCCTGGGGGACACCCCTAGGTTTCACAGTGCCTGCTGTGGTTGCTGCACTTTGCTTCCCCATGGGAAAGTGATCAGAGGGTGTGGGGCTTCAGGTGACCCCATGTGGGAAATGGCCAAGGGAAGGTGGGGTGGGCGGCACATGGTTTTTTTTAACCAATATTTGAAGGTAGGTTGTATGAAAAGGTGTTAGGCTTATTTCAGCTTATGGGGAGTAGGACAGGGATTGGTGAGTGTGTATCAGGTATATTTTGGCTCAGGATGGAAAAGAACTGTCACAGTAACATAAGGTCTTTTGGGAAATTACATGTTTACTGGCAGAGTTCAGGCCAGGGCTGGGTGTCTGAAAATACCTGTCAGGGTCACTTTTATGGTTACAAGGGCAGAGCTTGGCTTGGAACCAGGTTTCTTACTAATACCACATATTAAGTATTATAAAAACTGTCCTTTGCAATAGGACATTGCTCTATGATGCAGGTTGAGGTCCCTCTGTTTAAGTAATTGTGGGTGGCTGTGATTCTCTCATCTAGTCTGCGACTTGGACTTCACCTCCATCTGCAGTCCCTCTCCTTTGCTGTTGACACTGGTCAGAGTTAAGCGCATTTACTGACGATGGTCACAGGGTGGCAGCACTGCCTCTCTGGTATTTTCTAAAACCTCTTCCTGGAACTGAGCCAGTCTAAGAGGATGTCATGACTAAGAAAAGGGCACTAATGAGGTGAACAGATAATTTTTTTTTTCTTGTTTCTCCTGTGAAGTAACAGAGTGGAGGTGAGCATGGAATAATTGCCTTTTAGAAATGGAAGACAATGGAGAGAAGTGTTTCGCAAACCTTAATGTGTTCACAGATCCCACACAGATCTTTTTATTCAATACAGATTCTGATTTTTCTGGTGAGGCCTGAGATTGTGCATGTCTAAGGAGCTTTTGGATGATGCCATTGCTGCTGGTTGGCGGACCACACTTTGAGTAGCAAGGCTCGAAGATCATTTAGAGGTTAATTCTCACTGCATCTAATTTATGGATGAAAACAAACCAAGGTCCAGAGAGAGCATATACAGCTTGCCTAACAAAGCCATTCCCTAAGTGCCTGACTTCTTGCATTTAAACCCAGGGCTTCAGCCTTTGTCCAGTTCTCACTCCACACATCACACGGTTTGTTCACTGTTGTGAACGACAGTTGTGGCAGCATCTCTTTAGTTTAGGAATCCAGAGCCCCAATTTCACTACCCTCTTTGGTCTTGGCTCATGCTGTGACTTCGAATAGTTTTGCCCTTACTTAAAATCTTCAGTGGCTCTTTTGTAATCACAAGATCAAGTTCGAATATCTCTGTCTAGTGTTCATGGCTTTATAACATATGGTATCTCTTTAGTAACCTTACCTAACTTCCCTGTTTTAAAATTGTCTCTTGCTGCCATAGCCCTCCTTGCTCCTTCCTGCTCCCTAACAAACTGTGTTCACTTCTCTCTCAGTGGTAGTGATGATGGCATGGCCTCTGATGTTAGACTCATGTAACTTCTAATCCCAGATCCACCACCAACATTGGCAAGTTGATTCATCTTTCTGAGGATAAGCATCCTCCTCTGAAATAAACTTAGATGGCGGTTGAGAGGGGTAAATAAAATAACACACAAACCCACTCTCATCCCTGAGACCCTCTTCAAAACTAGCATATAAAAATAGCTATTTGAAGAGGTTCAGTGAAATTCAAGGTAACACAGAGAAGGAATTCAGAATCCTATCAGATAAATTTAATAGACTGAAATAATTTTTAAAAATCAGGCAGAAATTCTGTAGCTGAAAAATTCAATTGACAAACCGAAGAATGCACTAAATCTTTCAACAGCAGAATTGATCAAGCAGAAGAAAGAATTTGTGAGCTTGAAGAGATAATATATGAAAACTCAGAGTCAGAGAGACAAAAGAAAAAAGAATTAAAAGAATAATGCATGCCTACAAGGTTTGATTATTAAGCTACTCAAAGAGATACAAGAGAAGGGTGAAAACCAACATAAAGAAATGTAAAAAACAATCAGAATATAAATGAAAAATTTTCTAAAATGCTAGCTAGTTTTTTTTTGAGACAGGCTCTTACTCTCATCACCCATGCTGGAGTGAAGTGGCACAGTCATGGCTCACTGCAGCCTCAACTTCCTGGGCTCAGATGATTCTCCCACATTAGCCTTCCAAGTAGCTAGGACTAAAGGCGTGTGCCACCAGGCCAGGCTAATTTTTTGTATTTTTAGTAGAGATGGGGTTTTGCCATCTTACCCAGGGCTGGTCTTGAACTCCTGGGCTCAAGTGATCCAGGAGATTCACTGCCAAAAAGGATATAACCAAGTCATATAGTCATAGGTTATCTAAAGTCAATGTGAAGGCAAGAATTCTAAGAGCAGTGAGACAAAAGCATCAATTAACTTATAAAGGAAAACCTATCAGTCTAACACCAGATTTCTCATCAGAAACCTTACAAACCAGAAGGTATTGGGGTCCTAATCTTTTGGCTTCTTAAACAGAATAGCTCTCAGCCAAGAATCTTGTGTAGAGTGAAATTATATTTCAAAATGAAAGAGAGAAATACAGTCTTTTTCAGGCAAGCAAATGCTTCAGGATTTGTCACGGCTAGACCATCCTACATGGAATGTTAAAGGGACTTCTAAATCACAAAACAAAAGATTTAAATAGAACAGAATAGAACCTCTTGAAACCAAAAAATTCAAATGGCCTATAAAACAATAACACAATAAGAAAACAAAGTAGATAACGATCAACATGATGACTGGAACAAATATTAACATTGAATGTAAATGACCTAACACTCCACTTAAAAGACACAGATTGGCAAGATAAATAAAAAATCACAAACCAAATATCAGCTGTCTTCAAGAGACTCACTTAACATGTAAGGATTCTTATAGACTCAAGGTAAAGAGATGATAAAAGATATTCCATGCAAATGGAAACCATAAGTGAGAAGGAATAGCTATCCTTATATCATATAAAACAGACTTTAAGCAACAACAGTAAGAAAAAGACAAATAAGGCAACTATATAATGATAAAAGGATCAATCAAACAAGAAGATATTACAATCCTAAATATATATGCACCTAACTTTGGAGCTCCCACATTCATAAAACGGTTATGATGAGACCTAAGAAAAAAGATCAACACAAAACAGTGAGGGTGTCCTGGGTTTTCTTTTTATTGGACAGCAGTGTACTAGCCTATCACTTTCCCAGTCAGGGGATTTTTGGTCTCCCCATTCCCCTACCATGGGTTCATGCCAAAGTCCATATTTTTTATTAGTGTTTGGAATTGGATTTTTTTTTTTTGAGGTGGAGTCTCGCTCTGTTGCCCAGGCTGGAGTGTAGTGGCACGATCTCGGCTCACTAACCTCTGCCTCCTGGGTTCAAGCAATTCTTCTGCCTCAGCCTCCTGAGTACCTGGGACTACAGGTGCATGCCACCACACCCAGCTAATTTTTGTATTTTTAGTAGAAACGGGATTTCACCATATTGTCCAGGCTTGTATAGAACTCCTGACCTCATGTGACAGGGAAACAGGCACTCAGTGAACTTCATGCGATTGAGGAGTTAATGATAATGAGAGAAGGGCTGTGAGGGGACAGCACTGGGGACACCAGAGCCTGTGACGGGCTGAGTTGCTGTGCCTTGGGAGATGCCCTTTTGACTGAGCCCTGGGAAGGAGGGGGTGTGGGGGCAGGAGCTGCCTGCAGAGGGAGTGGCCTCAGGTGGGCGGCCACCTGGCTGCAGGGAAGAGGTGACAGAGTTCGTGTGCAGAGCTTGGAGGGTGAGGAGGAGGTGGGTTGAGGTGACCTTGGTGAGGGTGAACCATGGGGGGCTGTGGGCCCTGCTGAGGGAGGCCAGCCATCCCTGGACCTACAGGGTGGTTTGGTCTTTTTTGTCCCATTCCCAGCATCCACTGAGTGGTGAAACTCTGCAGGCCAGGGACCATCCCACTGGCCAGAAGGAGCGCACAGTAGGTGCCCACTCAGTGCATGTTGGGCTGGACAGAACCTCACTCTGCCCCCTGCCCCCAGCTTTGGGAGCTGCAGCAAGGTCCCTCCCCCTAGGGATCTCCATGCCTCTGTCTCTGAGGGGTGAGATGGGGAGACTTCAAAGGGCCATCTCAGAGTGTGGGGGATAGAGACGCAGAAGTGTGGGGGATAGAGGGAGGCCTGGGCTCTAGACCCAAAGGACCTTACACACCTCCTGAGTCTTTTCAAATGGTTTCTTCTGTTACTTTAAAAATGATGTAAGTCATCATATTTATTGTAAATCCCAGGAATCTAATCATGCGTAAAATAAGGTGTCTTATCCTTGACCCCACCCCTTCCCCAATTAAATTTCCAGGATGTTACCACTGTTTGCAGTTGGTGTGAATCTCTCTTTAATAATACTCTGTTTATCTCACTTGTCGTTTTACGCCAAAATACCCATTGAATTATATTATTGCTGAAGACCATTCTTTTTTTTTTTTTTTTTTTTGAGATGGATTCTTGCTCTGTTGCCCAGGCTGGAGTGCAATGGTGTGATCTCGGCTCACTGCAACCTCTGCCTCCTGGGTTCAAGTGATTCTCCTGCCTCAGCCTCCTGAGTTTCTGGGATTACAGGTGCACACCACCACACCTGGCTAATTTTTGTATTTTTAGTAAAGACAGGGTTTCACCATGTTGGTCAGGCTGGTCTCGAACTCCTGACCTCATGATCCACCCTCCTTGGCCTCCCAAAATGCTGGGATTACAGGCATGAGCCACCACACCTGCCCAGACCATTCTGTTCTACTGAATCATGTGTGGTGGGCACCTCTTATATCAATACATATGGATTTTATCTTGTGTTTGTTATTGGCTCCCCTTTTTCTCATTGCATGGCTACACTCAATGCTTTGTCCACACCCCTGTTCCTGGGTTGGAATCTTGTGACAGAAAATGAAGTAACAAAGGCTAAAGCTTTCTAAAGTGGAGTCAGGAGATTGCAAGACAATTGCACTTTCACCAGCAAGAGCTCAAACCACAGAATGTTCCAATAGATTTGGATAAACAGCTGAAGTCAGTATTCACCAGCCTTCAACATCTCAACTAGGAGAACCCTAAAATTAACTAAGCACATAGAATGGAATGGACTTGTGATTTAGGATTCCTTCTCAGCCAATGAGCTGCTTCTGAAAACAACTTTTTGTGGAAATTACCTGTAAAGAAAACCCTCTCCTGTGCTTGTCTTACAGAACACTAGTCAGGGCTGCCCTGATTCAGTGGACCCGAATTGCTATTATTTGTTTCCTAAACATATGGTATTTTCTGTGACCTTCATCTCAATCTTTTTTTTAAGTTACTGGGCTGTTTCCCAGTTTTCATAATGACGAGACATTCTGCAGTGTTTCATACACATGTCTTTTCCCCATGTGGAGTATTGATCCAGGAGCTCATTCAGTCAACGCATGTTTATGAAGCATCCTGTGCCAGGCTGTGGGCTGGTCACTGTCTTCAGCAGAGAGAGGACAGGCACAGTCTTGCCTTCACAGAGCTCACAGCTCAGGGAGGCTCTTAGAAGTGGGATACTGGTCGGAGCATGTGCACATTAAACATGATGAGGTCAAGGTTGCTATAGGGACTAAACCACAGTCCCACCAAGATCGCATTGAGTTCCTGTGGTAGACCAGAGGTCAGGGCCCCTAAGATGTCCTGAGCAGCTCCCTCTGCTCAGAAGTTTTGGTTCCACAGGTGACACACCTGAGCACAGGTGACCCCTGCAGAACCTGTGATTACCACCCAAAGCCAAGAGTGAGTGGTGGGTGTTCTAGGAGGAACCGTCACCTCCATGGGCAGGGTTGGGGAAGACTGAGGGGAGCAGGTGGCTGATGACTTTGGCCAGAAGGTAGGGGGATGGGCAGGTGTGCGCTCATAGGGAAGGGAAGAGAAGGGAGGGCATTGCAGGCAACAACACAAAGGTTGGAACCTGCCTTCATGGACTGAGAAAAGCAGGGAGTCCACCCAGGCTGCAGCTGGGGAGGGAAGACATGGGGAGCAGTGGATCTAGGGGAGAAGCAGACTGCGATTGACCTTGGGGACTGGGCAGTGAGCAGAGGTGTGTTATGTGTGTCTGTCCCCATCATAGATATGAGGAGGGGTGAGGCCGCGGGTGGCACCTGGGTCGGTGGGATTTCATAGTGCCTGCTGTTCCCTAGAGCCTCTCTGTATAGAGGGTCAGAATAGATCTGAGGCTGTGGTCTGGGGGAAGGGGCTGGTGGTGCTTACCATCTCTAGGGGTGGGAGGAGAGGGATGAGGATGCCCCTGAGCAGTGAAGCCTCAAGGTGTGTGGAGCCAGTTGTCTCTCATTAGACATGTGCTTTGCGTGAGGATGCCAGGGCCTGGTGGTTATTACTGTTGTCAAGTTTGCATGACAAGGACCCAGGTATCCAGGGATCCAGAGCACAGGGCCCCTGGTGAGGGGATGAGGCTCAGATGGGGCTGACCAGGTTCATGTGGTCAGAGTGGGAGGGACTGATGGAGAGACAGAGCCTCAACCCCTCCTGTCAGGAGCTGTGGCTATGTCCAGGAGAGATGACAAGGATGACCCAGGACATTGAGTGAGTCATTGAGACATTGAAGGTGAGGACAGGGCAGAGAGGACCCTGGTGACTGCTGAAATGTAGGATGTGAGGAGGGCTCTGACCCATGCAAGTTACAGGACCTCCCCACCCCCGAGCCCACAGATGACCCTTAAATTGGGCATCCTGAGTGCTGTGTGTGCCCAGCAGGGACACTGGATAGGCTGGACCTGAGTCTCTGTAAGGGCAGCGCTGGTCTGTAGGACCAGAGTCTTCTCTGTGGGTGTGACGTGGGCAGGAATTAGCAAGATGGGGGTGACAAGGCTTGGCTTGGAGGATCTGGTACAGAAGCCCATGGGCTTGGTCAGCTCAGCTTCTCAGGGGCTCAGCTGGGGCTGGAGGAGCAGGATGCTGTGCTCAGGGCATGCTCCAGGCAGCGTGATGTGTGTGGTTCCAGGGTCAGGCACGGGGGTCAAAAATTAACCATGAAAAGTTCCCACCTTCTGTAGGCAGAGAAAATGGCCTGATTGTCAGGGTCAGGGAGACTTACCATGTGGCCAAAGCAGGCTCTCAGCCTCCCAGAGACCACACCCTGGGTGCAGCACTCAGCTCTGCAGGGTATGGCAATAGATGTGCCAAGAACCCCAACATCCAGATGCATGCAAAAATTTTGCGATATATAAAATAGAGCAGATCAAGTTTCCCTGCAATAACGTTGTTCCTGGTTGTGTCTTTTTCTTGTAAACTAGACATGGACATCTTTCCAGCAGTCTGTTCTCATCTGCCACCTTCCTGCTGCAGCACCTCAGAATGAACATTCCTGAGACACTGTCCGTGGTGCTGACGACCAAGAGCTATGGAACAGAGTGTGATGTAGAATCTTCTAGTTACCTCTGCTCTCCTTTCACTTTTAACAACAGAGCATCATTAACAATGAGAAGGTGGAGAGGTGTTCAGGATCTTGAAGTGACTTCTGTCTTGCTCTCCCATAACCCTGAAGCTGCTGTAGACATTATTGCAGAAACTGACACCACAGTCAGGATGGCCTTGTCCAGGAGCCCATGTGCAGTTTGTAGTGAGCAAGGATGAGAAAATGGTCTTGAAAGGGGTGATGGACAGAACAGGGGCTTTTCAAAAATGTCACATCATCACCCCCAGCATCTGTGAATCTGTCACATGGTAAGAGACCTTACAGATTAAATGAAGGATTATGAGTTTGGAAGATTATTGTAGTTTATCCAGATGGGTCCAACATAATCACAGAATCCCTTCCTTACAAATGAGAGAGGGAGGTGGGAGAGTCAGAGAAGGAGGAGGAGATGTGGGGATAGATGCAGAAGACAGAGCGGTGTCAAGATGCTGCACTGCTGGCTTTGAAGATGGAGAAAGAGGACACAGCCAAGGATGCAGGAGGCCTCTAGGAGGTGGAAAAGGAGAGGAAACGCACTCTGCCCTGGAGCCTCCAGAAAGAACGCAGCCATGTGGGCACCTTGGTTCAAGTTTCTGTGTCACTTAGCTTGTGGGAATTTGTCACAGCCTCAACAGGAACCTACAGAGGAGTCACCTTGTGTGCAGGTGGGATCCAGGGTCATTTACAGCTAAATCCTGATGTAAATATTGCAGGTTGCTTTTCCTACTTCCTATCTCATGGCCAACAACCCTGGACAATGGCAGAACACCCTTGGAAACCACGGCTCTGTGCTTTAGTGGAGGGACCGGCTTGTTTGTGGGAAGGTAGCACCTGGTCCAAGTGAACCTACATGAGATCGTTACTCTCCCCAGGGCCCTCAGGGAAGGGCTGAGAACAGCTGGCCCAGGTGTGTGGAGGAGCTGCAGGTGAGGCAGGGCTGGAGGGGCCTGTGGGTCCAGGTAGAGGGGCAGACAGGTTGTCCCATCGCCATGGGAGCCTGCACGAGCTTTAGGTTGGGGAACCCTGCTCCTCTGACCTGGACGCTCCTGTGTGGAGAGGAGGCTTGCTCAGTGAGATCCACGCCAGGGGGTAAATTGGGAACTGATGGGAAATGAGGGGCTAGAGTCCTGGGTAGTGCCTGGGAGGACCTTGCTCAAGGACTGAATTCTTGGTCTGTTCCCACCTTGGTTACTCTGACAACCCCTCTCTGTGTCCCACGGGGATAAAGATCTCCTGAGCAGTGGCCATTGGGACAGAGGAGAACCTGGTGGCCAGAGCTAAGCATCCAGGATCCTGGATTTGGGGACAGGCAAGCTCATTGCTGGGGGACAGTGATAGATACGGCCTCCAGGGCCTGGGTGAAGAGAGCAGGAGGGCTCAGGACACTGGAGGCTGTGTGGAGGTCACACCCACGATCTGTACCACCCATGGATGCTCCTGCATTGCTCACCTTTGTGTGGACATCAGATGGCCCCAACTTTTGCACTCCTGAGACATCTCATGCATTCACAGAGGGACCCAGGCTGGGGCTGTGCATGGCCTTGGTCTCTAGGGTAGTGTGAGGACAGCTGAGCACTCAGCTGGCTGGGCAGGACTCCTGCGAATCCTGCCCTTTCCTGTGTAGGGTCCACCCCAGCCTGACTCCTAACCCCCTACTCCTGTCTTTCCAGGGAAGAGAGACTGGGGTTGAGATAAGGTGGAGATATTTTTCCTGTGTGACCCAGGAGAGAATGGACATGGAGTTTCAGGTGAGTTTCTGCTAAGTTCCCATGAGCAGAAAAAGAGCCAATGAGAGGAAGTTTCCCCTTTATTCAGATCCTTTCCAGGTGACCCCGGGTGGGCCATAGGCCCATTCACTTTCCCTGCAAGCCCCCACTTCCTGTGGTGATGGGAAGCCTTCGCCTTGGCCCACCCAGAGCCCGGGGCAGTCTGTTGAGGTCTCTATATATTCAGCAGGGACCCCCATCCCTTCCTGTCCCCAGGCCTGTGTCTCCTCAGGACTCAGAGCTGGTTCTCTGGCTCAGGCTCCATGTCCTTCCCCATCCCCAGGGCTGGGGGCTTCAGGGACGCTCCATCAACCCACAGGAGCAGCTCCCAGAGGAACCTAAGAAGCCACATCTGCTTTGTGGTCGATCCAGCAGTAAATGTTTGTGTCAGAGTGTAGCAATTCCTGTAAAAACAGAGAAGAGGTCTTGACCCCTGAGGCCTTCTCAGAACAGGGTCTGGCATCTCTCTCTGGGCCCACCCAGGGCTACTCTGGGACTGAACCTGGCTGTGCTCAGGGGGTTCCTGCTCCCAGGCCCCTCCCTCCTCTGCTCACCACCTCCTGTTATTTTCACTGCAGTTTCCTGAACTTCAGCTCAGCCAGATGCCAGTGGGGACAGATCCTGGGTCTCCCTGGGGCCCAAGGGACCAGAATATCTGTGGCCCCCACTCACCTCATAGATGAGAGCAGCTGCCCTGGTGCTGGGTAGGGGAATCTGGGCAGGGGAGAGAGGGGTGTCAGGGGACAGGGAAGGATTCCTGCTGTGTAGGAATTCCAGGGCTCTCCTCAGGTGATGGAGGGTCCCAGGGTGGGGTTAGCACAGGGAGTGGATGATCCTGGCCCTGAACAGAGGCCCAGCTCATGGCCAGGGCAGGTCTAACCTTATCCAAGTCATTCTGGGTAGGGTGGGTTTGTGCTGGGGATTGACAGTCCCCCTGCCCTGAGCCTGCACAGCTGGGGCCCCAGTGGAAATGGGATTGGGAACGGACAGTCTTACCTAGGAGATGGAGCTGTCAGAGGGTCCATGGCCTGGGGACAGAGACAAAAGTGAGCACGAGAGTGTTAGGATAGCTGGGCCCCTCCTGCAAGAGTGTGTGGGGGTCCTCAGTTCTTAGAGAATTGGGGAGAGGGAGCCTTTCTCAGGTTATTTTAGGGGTCAAGTAAGCAAGTGAGGTTGAGGAAGTGACCCATGACCCAGAGCCCGGAGGTTAGGGCTGACCCGGCCAGTTGGGGTTTCCTGTGTGATGTTTTATGGGATCCTCTTTGCAGCCCCAGGGATAGGGTCAGAGGCCCCTGGGTGTAACTGGCAGGAGTGGACAACTTGGGGCTGGCTTAGTAGTTCCCAGCCACACCCAGACTGAAGGGACACTCACCGGGGGTGGAGGCTGGGGGCTGCTGCTCCCTGAAGTCACTCTGATCGCTGGCCCTAGGAAAGGTCAGGGTTATTTGTGAAGGTGCAAGGTTAAAAGTCACAAATTGGAGTTAAAATAGGGGACCAGGAAAGGAGCCTATTTCCAAGAGGGGTATGGAGACCTCCTTTCTTTATGGAGTTCTGTGGTAGGAGGGGCCCAGGTGAGGGGAGTTGAGGAAAGGCCTTACAAAGCCACATCTGTCCTGGCCAGAGGGGAAGGACTCTCAGGCAGATGCTGGGCCAGGAGAACATTGATCCAGTGACACAGGAAAGGGACTGAGGACCCAGGGAAGGAATCAGACCACCAGGGGTTGCCTGAGAGGAAGGGTCAAGGCACCAGGGGGAAAGCAGGGCCAGGCACATGTGCAGGACACTGAGGGGACTGCATGCATCTTGGATTCTCCTGGAACTCAGTGTCCCTGCTGTGACCAGACACTCCACTCAGGGCTGGAGATGCTGAAATGGGACAATGATCTTGTCTTCTGTCTCTGCCCTTTGGCAAGAGACATAAACGACATTCCAGGATATGCCATATTGGGGCCCCGGTTCTCCCTTCTCACAGCTCAGTGTCTGCAGTTACCATGTCAGTCAAAGGGGTGCTGACCCCACCCAGCCCGTCCAGGCTGTTCCAGTCTCCACTATGTGATGATGCCCAGGATCCCCCCTCAGATGCCCTCTCACTGGGTGGATGGATTCAGTGAACAGGGGGAGGTACCAGGTATTGAGCACCGCTCCCCCCTGCTCCAGGCAGCTGTGGCTTTGCTGTGCTAGGAAACTAGGACCATGCTCAGGGGCATGGCCTTAATTGGACTGAATTCACTGAGGACAAAGCTGTTGAGGAAGCAGCCCAGGGTCAGCAGCTGGTGAGGAAGGTGCCATGGAATGAGAGGGAAGGATCCCTGGGGAGTCGGGAGGCTGGGGAGAGCCTGGCACTGAATACAAGACAGGGTCTCCTTCCTTCTCGCCTGGGGTCAGCGTGAAGGATGGGAGCAGAATGGGGAAAAGCTGTGGTACCTGCCAGTTTTTCGGAGGAGCAGGAAACACACAAGTGCAGCCACCAGAAGACTCCCAACCAGGACCCCGATCAGGATGCCTAGAGTGTTGTCATCTGCTGAAAGAAGAAGGCAAAGGGGATGAGGTCCAAATCTGTTCCAGGGGGAACCATGAGGGGCCTTGCAGGGCAGGGGCATGGTCAGGGAGGAAGGAAATGCCATGGAGCCTGAGTGTGGTCTGTTGTGCTGTCCTCATAGCTGGCTCCCTTGCTCTCCGTGGTTGCACCATTTTCTGTGTCTTAGGCTTGAATTACTGGGATGCATCAACTCCTACATTCTCCCACAGGAAGCCTGCACCTCATCCTGCTCCTGTGTTTTTTAGTCCCTCCTTCCTCTCACATCACTCCTCTTCCCCCTGTTTCTTTTTTTCCATCCCATGGCAGTCGTAAAGGGCAGGCCCTTGCTGCCAACTCAATGCTGATGAGCAGGGATGATGTTCATTGACTGTTTTCAGGGGCCTTCCACATGGAAGGCACAGTGGGAATCAATCTACCTGCAGCTTTTCTCACCCTCCCATTGCCTTGAGGGAGAAGGGTATGTGATATTGTGAAATACGTATTTGGTGTTCATCACCATTGATATGGTTAGGCTCTGTATCCCCACCCAAATCTCACCTTGAATTGTAATAATCCCCATGTGTTATGGGAGGGACCTTGTGGGAGGTAATTGAATCATGAGGGTGGGTTTTTTCCATCCTGTTCTTGTGATAGTGAATAAGTCTCAGGAGATCAGATGGTTTCATAAAGGGAAGCTTCCCTACACATGTCCTCTTGCCTGCTGCCATGTAAGACATGCCTTTCACCTTCCATCATGATTGTGAGACCTCTCCAGCCATGTGGAATTGTGAATCAATTAAACCTCTTTCTTCATACATTACCAAGTCTCAGGTATGTCTTCATTAGCAGTGTGAGAATGGACTAATACAGTAAATTGGTACCAGCTAGTGGAGTGCTGCTATAAAGATACCTGAAAATGTGGAAGTGACTTTGGAACTGGGTAACAGGCAGAGGTTGGAACAGTTTGGAGGGCTCAGAAGAAGACACAGGAAAAAAGTTTGAAACTTCCTAGAGACTTGTTGAATGGTTTTGATTAAAACGCTGATAGTGATATGGACAATAAAGTCCAAGCTGAGGTGGTCTCAGACAGAGATGAGGAACTTCTTGGGAACTGGAACAAAGGTGACTCTTGTTATACTCTAGAAAAGAGATTGGTGGTATTTTGCCCCTGCCCTAGAGATCTGCAGAACTTTGAACTTGAGGGAAATGATTTAGGGCAACTGGTGGAAAAAAAATTCTAAGCAGCAAAGTGTTCAAGATGTGACTTGGGTACTGTTAAAAACACTCAGTTTTATGTATTTACAAAGGTATGGTTTGGAATTGGAACTTATGTTTAAAAGGGAAGCAGAGCATAAAAGTTTGGAAAATTTGCAGCCTGATGATGCAATAGAAAAGAAAAATCCATTTTCTGAGGAGAAATTCAAGCCAGCTGCAGAAATGTGCATAAACAATGAAGAGCAAAATGTTAATCCCCAAGACAATGGCAAAAATGTCTCCAGGGCATGTCAGAGACCTTCCTGGAAGCCCCTTCCATCACAGGACTGGAGGCCTAGGAGGAAAAAATGTTTCCTGGGCCAGGCCCAGGGCTCCCCTGCTGTGTGCGGCCTAGAGACTTGGTGCCCTGCATCCCAGCCACTCCAGCCATGGCTAAAGAGGGCCAAGGTACAGCTGGGGCCATGGCTTCAGAGGGTGCAAGCCCCAAACCTTGGCAGCTTCCATGTGGTGTTGAGCCTGCAGGTGCACAGAAGTCAAGGATTGAGGTTTGGGAACCTTCGCCTAGATTTCAGAGGATGTATGAAAATGCTTGGATGTCCAGGTGGAAGTTTGCTGCAGAAGCAGAGCCCTCATGGAGAACCTCTGCTAGGGAAGTGTTGAAGGGAAATGTGGGGTTGGAACCCCGACACAGAGTCCCTACTGGGGCACTGCCTAATGGAGCTGTGAGAAGAAGACCACAATCCTCCAGACCCCAGAATGGTAGATCCACTAACAGCTTGCACCATGCACCTAGAAAAGCTGCAGACACTCAACGCCAGCCTATGAAAGCAGCCAGGAGTGGGGCTGTACCCTGCAAAGCCACAGGGGTGGAGCCCAAGGCTATGGGAGTTCAGCTCTTGCATCAGTGTGACCTGGATGTGAGACATGGATACAAAGGAGATCATTTCAGAGCATTAAGATTTGGCTGCCCTGCTGGATTTTGGGCTTGCATGGGGCCTGTAGCCCCTTTGTTTTGGCCAGTTTCTCCCATTTGGAATGGTTGTATTTACCCAGTGCCTGTACACCCATTATATCTAGGAAGTAACTAAGCTTGCTTTTGATTTTACAGGCTTATAGGTGGAAGGGACTTGCCTTGTCTCAGATGAAACTTTGGACTTGGACTTTTGGGTTAATGCTGGAATGAGTTAAGACTTTGGGGAACTGTTGGAAGGCATGATTAGTTTTGAAATGTGAGGACATGAGATTTGGGAGGGGTCGGGTGGAATGACATGGTTTGGCTCTTCTTCACCCAAATATCACCTTGAATTTTAATAATCCCCACGTGTTGGGGGAAGGACCCAGTGGGAGGTAATTGAATCATGGGGGTGGATTCTTCCCATGCTGTTCTCATGATAGTGAATAAGTCTCACAAGATCTGATGGTTTTAGAAAGGGGAGTTCCTCTACACATGCCCTCTTGCCTGCCGCCATGTAAGACATGCCTTTTGCCTTCTGCCATGATTTCAAGGCCTCCCCAGCTATGTGGAACTGTAAGTCAATTAAACCTCATTTTTAAAAAAATTACCCAGTCTCAGG
Source organism: Homo sapiens (assembly GCF_000001405.40). Classification (NCBI taxonomy): domain Eukaryota; kingdom Metazoa; phylum Chordata; class Mammalia; order Primates; family Hominidae; genus Homo; species Homo sapiens. The sequence goes on along the minus strand of NC_000019.10, from coordinate 41,581,560 downwards.
TATGTCTTTATCAGCAGCCAAGACCAGCTCGGTCGCGGAGATCCTAACCCAGCAGTGCTAGAGGAATTAAAGACACACATAGAAATATAGAGGTGTGAAGTGGGAAATCAGGGTTCTCACAGGCTTCAGAGCTGAGAGCCCCAAACAGAGATTTACCCACATATTTAATAACAGCAAACCAGTCATTAGCATTGTTTCTATAGATATTAAATTAACTAAAAGTATCCCTTATGGGAAACCAAGGGATGGGCCGAATTAAAGGAATAGGTTGGGCTAGTTAACTGCAACAGGAACACGCCCTTAAGATGCAGATTGCTCATGCTATTGTTTGTGGCTTAAGAACGCCTTTAAGCGGTTTTCCACCCTGGGTGGGACAGGTATTCCTTGCCCTCATTCCTGTAAACCCATAACCTTCCAGCTTGGGCATTAGGGCCATTATGAACATGTTACAGTGCTGCAGAGATTTTGTTTATGACCAGTTTTGGGGCCAGTTTATGGCCAGATTTTGGGGGGCTTGCTCCCAACAGACTAATACACCCATTTTCTGGTATGTGACTCTAAAGTCCTTAGAATCTTCAAAGTGATGTCTTTTTCAAGCTAATAATTGACTGATGACTGGCAGCCCCTAGGCAACTTCAGAATGAGGCTGGTCACTGACCCAGGTAGGATTAGAGGGTTGGGACTTTCAGCCTCACCCCTAATCCCTGGGGAGGGACCTGGAGTTTGAATTAATCACCAATGACCAATGAATCAATTAATGGCCAATGATTGAATCAATTAATGGCCAATGATTAAATCAATCATATCTATGTCATGAACCCCAAAAGGACTGGGTTTGAAGAGCTGAACCCATGGAAGTTTCTGGAGTGTGGTGCATCTGGGGAGGGCATGGAAGCTCCACACCCCTTCCCACATGCCATGCTCTGTGCATCTCTTCATCTGCATCCTTTGTAAAGTCCTTTATTACAAACCGGTAAGCCTAAGTATGTGTTTCCCTGAGTCCTGAGAGCTGTTTGAGCAAACTAATCCAACCCAAACAGGGAGTCATGGAAACCTCAATGTGAAGCCAGTCATAAGAAGCTCTGGAGGCCCAGACTTGTGACTGGTGGGAAGGTGGTGGCAATTTTGTGGGACTGAGCCCTCTGCTGATATGTCCAGGTAGATAGTGTCAGGATGGAATTGGAGGACACCTAGCTGATGTACGGTGCAGAACTGATTGGCTGCTGGGTGTGTGGGAGAAACCCCCCCCCATCACATTTGGTCACAGAAGTGTGTCTGTGTTGATGATTGTTATTGTGGAGTGAGAGCAGAGGAAAAACACAGTTTGAGTTTTTCCAAACAGGGTGGAATCCCATCTGCCAATTTAGAATCTGAAACTTATAGTTTCAGTACTTCAATTAAGATTGAAGTACTTCAATTCAGTACTTCAATTAAGATTCAGTACTTCAATTAAGATTCAGTACTTCAATTAAGATTACAGAACTGGTAAGTGAAAGTGATACAACAAAAATGTAACCAAAGTCTGCTCAACTTAACAGCTAATAACAACAAAGTTCATAAAAATAATACCAGTCGATATTGATAGCACTGATTGAGCCCTGGCTCTGTGCATGACCTTGTTAAGGGCTTTAATCGCATTAATCTCTGAATAAATATCCTCACAACCACCCTGAGGTCCAGGTGTTTGTAACAATTCTACAGATGAGGAAACTGAGGCCCAGGAGGTTGAGTGTCTTGCCCAAGGTCAAATACCTGGTACCTATTGTAACCAGGATGATAACTGGATGAGTCTAATCCCTGAGTTCTTACCCACATTGCTCCCCAGGCTCTGAAGGAATCTCATCCTTCTCATTCCGTGTATCATTTTACACCCCCCCTCCCTCCTAGGAAAATATACAAGGAAAGGAGTGAGAGGGGCCGAGGGTCACTCACATTTTACAGTCAGCTTGAGGGGGTCGCTCCTGTTGGAGCTGACTGGGTTGGAGACCTCACACTGATACTCCCCAGCGTCCTCCTGCCTGATGGGGTCTATGGTGAGCACATGGTTAAACCAGGACAGCTTCATCCTCTTCGTGACCTGCAGACGCTGGTTGTTGAAAATCCACTGGAAAGAGGTTCCAGTGTTATTTGTGTGGCAGGTCAGGACCACGGAGCCCTTCTCTGTGACTGTGGTGCTGCTGGCTTGGATGGAGGGCTGAGCCACTGACTCTGTGGATAGAGTGACCAACAGAAAGTGTCTTGGGGCCATGCTGCATCCTCAGAGATCTCAGAGTCAAATTTAGAACATTCTCCTGTGAATAAAGGAGAAAGATGAAGGACAGGGAGGAGCAGAGAGAACCAGAGACACCCATAGCAGCGAGCAGTAGGGACTACAGTGACCTCAGAGACCCCAGGGACCAGGAGGACCCAGCTGCCTCAGACCAGGACCAGGGAGCCCTGAAAACCCTCCCACAGATGAGCGGCCCCAGAGTCACATGAGATGCAATACCTGGGGTGGCTTTAGGAGCAGGCAGTCAGAGAAATGGAACATGGGTCTCAGCCCCTAAGGGACAAGGAAGAGGTGTGGCCAGCTCCTCCTAGGATCCTACATCCAGGACCCAGTCTGTAAAGAGGTTATGATTATTCCTTTCTTTTTTCATTAATTCCCTCCCTCCTTCATCAGAGAACTACTGAGTGTGTGTCTCAGTTGGGCCTTGTGCAGGTACAGGGTGTAGTGGGAAGAGAAAGCTGAGTCCTTTCCTTCATCCTCCCATGGGAGTGACATCAACAAATCAAGAAATTCATGATTTCACGTCCAGTGAGGGAAGGAATGTGGATCTGATGGGAGAGGCTTGGACAATCCTGGCATTGAGTCTGATAGTTGAGACAGGTGATTTCGTTCTAAGTAAAAACTGACTAATTCTCCATTTGCCCGTCATTCCTCAGACCAGAATCTCCCTCTCTGAGCTGAGGATGCCCAAGAAGAAAGGAGCTGAACCAACATCTGGTCCTGGGGTCCACAGATGCCCCACGGTGGTGGCCACGACCAGATTCTGGGCTGCAGACACACGGTGGTGTGACGTTGAGCACTGACAGCCTGTGTGATGCTGATGCAATTTCTCTTTAATAAAATGGGGTACATGTCAATGGTCCCTGGCTTGCCATCCTCTCTGTAAATTAACATTAAAATATTTACAATTACCTGACCTAAAGCTTGGCACAGAATAGCTCCAAATAAACATCATCTATTATTATTTTACTCCAAAAAAAAAAAAAAAGAGTTCTCTGGGCCTGATTCCTGGTGGAGAAGGAGCGGTCCAGAGTGTCTTTTCTCTGCTTTCCCTCCTCCTGAGGACAGTGCACTTCCCGGGACATCTTTTAAGTTTCCCATCCAGTTTAATGGCCTGGGAAGTTTGTTTGTCTGTCCTCTCCACTCTGACTCTCAGGTGAAAGATGAGGCTCTGCCCTTGCCCAGATGGGGCTCTGGGGGCTGAGCCCTGCCTGGTGACCAGCTCTAGGAACCACGGCCCTGGGACAGCTGGTAAATCCTTGCTCACAATCAGCCCTGCCCAGGAAGCCACAACCCAGCCCTGGCACAGGCTCCCCAGGGTCATCTGGAGTCAGGATCTTGGGACAGGGGCCTGGGGCAGGGGCTTCAAGGGCTGAGCTTCTCTCAGAGGATCCTCAGGCCAGGCCCTGACTGAGTCCTATAAGATCTTTCTCAGGTCATGTCTATGAGGAGGAGGCCAAGGGGGGTTGGACTGAGACTGATTTTCCCCCGCTGCATCTCCCGCATCAGACTATCCTTCTTGCTGTAGGGAATTTCCACGGAGTCCGGATAAGGGAAAGGAATTCTGATCTGTTATAGTTTGTCTCCCCTGGGTGTGTCCTGCACTAAATGCCCAAACCCCAACATGGGACGTAATGCAGAGGGGGATGCAGGCACAGCCCAGGCCTGACAATCCTGCGTATGTGAAGCAGAACTGACCCCCAACACCCAGAGGCACGGAGGAATCACTCACCGTATACACGGAGATGGTGAGATGCCTGTTCAATCTGAGAATTTCTGTATGTGACTTGTAGGTTGTAGTATCCCGTGTCCTCTAGGGTGACGTTCTGGAAATGCAGATCTCCACTGGGTGATATTGTCTCTCGACCGCTGTATGCAGGCCCTGGAGTCCTAACGTGAGTGTCTATTACATATGCTGCGATTAGCTGGTTGGGCTCCACCGTTTTCCCTTTGTACCAGCCATAGCTGTAAAGATTCTCGGGCAGATAAACCACAGAGAGATGAACATTCTCCCCTTCAGCAACTTCAAAGGGCGCTGATGCAATAAAGAGCCAGGCAGTGGTGGGTGCGTTCCAGAAAGTTAAAAGTGAGGCTAGGAAAGGGAGAGAATATCAGTCAATATTTGACCTATGCATTGGCATGGAAAGACGGGGTCCTGGGTGCAGGTCTCTTCACCCCTCAGCCTTAGAGGGTGTGTGTGTGTGTGTGTGTCCTACTGGGTCAAAGTCAGCAGCATGACCCTCATTCCTTCAGTACCTCTGACCTTGGCATTTCCTTGTGTGAACCCTCTTTCCCAGGGGTCTGCATGGTTCCCTCCCCACTGCCTTCAGTTCCTACTCACACAAGGGAATCCCTGGGAGACTTCTTTCGTGAAGCCTCCTCTAGAGACCCTGGGTCTTCCCTTTCTGACCTTTCCCAGCTCTGTTCCCTCCAGGGCTCTTGTCAGCACCTGACCTCACATTCTAGATCTCTTTGGGTGTCTGTCTTCCCCCCCATGAGATTGTGAGCTCTGTGAGGGCATGGACTTGAGTGATGTTAGTTGCACCCCAGTGCCTGGGACAGGCTGCAGACTCCTGTGGATGAGTTCATGAGCGTTCCCAGGGCCTTCCATATCCTGGGGTTTATTTGCTAATGTCTGAGGTTGGCAGATGAAGACAGAGTTTCATGCCCTGGTGGTGTTTTTATTTAAATTGTCACTGTGATATAGTTTTACTATCATTTTCAAAGTGTAGTGGCCACTGACAATGAACTTGAAAACATGGACCAACTGAGATTGTTTTGCCCCTTGGCAATTCCAGTTCACTTAGATTTTTTGGTTCTCCTTAGACGCTCTCTCCCCTGAGTCTCTAACAAAAGCCCTCTGTCTCCTCTCAGAGCCCCATCCTCCCCAGGAGACCCCAGCCAGTCTCTGTGCTCCCTCCTCCCACCCACTCCCAGGGAGTCCTCCCCTCACCTGTGAGCAAGAGCCCCTGCCAGGGGATGCATTCTCTGTGGGGACAAGCTGAGGGGGGCCCCATGGTCTCTGCTGCCTGCTCTGTCCTCCTCTGTGGAGAGGAGCTTGGGCTCCAGGAACGCTCTAGACAGGGTTACTGTGACTGTTGTCTCTGCTGTCCTTCCTTCCTCTATGCTGAGCTTCCTCTCAGGCAGGAGCACTTCCCGTTTATGGGCAAGGGCGGGGCTCTGCCTACAATGTCTCTCTGTCCCCTCCCCTCTCAGTCCTGCCTCCCTTGTCCCTCCTTTCTCCTTCCTTTTTGCCTATATTTGGTTCCCTAGGCAAAACTTTGAGAAGCAACGCTGATGGGGTCCTCATAACAGGACGACCCACTCTCCCCAGTACTGACCTCTGCTGTGTTCTGGCCTTGGTTCTGTCACAGCCGGTAGATTATTTCCCTTTGTGACACACAAAACCAGCTGGGCCCTGGGTCTCCTCATGCTCTCCAGTGCTCCAGGAAGGCAGAATGATGCCCAGCAGGAAAGTGACAGAGGTGGCTCTGGGGGCTAGAAAGGGGCTCACTGGGTGATGGCTGGGAAGGACCCACCCGCTATCTTCAGTGTCACCAGCCTGGCCTCTGACCCAGGGACAGAGACCCAGGCCTGGAGGTCTCGGGAGGATCCCCAGCTCCTAGGTGTGGAGGGAGGTGTCCTGTGTGTCCTGGGAAGAGAGGACTTTGATGGAAGGAGGTGGGAGGCTCTGGGTTCTGCTGTCCTTGGTGAAGGTTTCAGGGGGACCCTCTCCGTGTCTGGGGTCTGTGCCCCCAGCTTAACTCTCATTCTCTTTGCAAATACATATATTTTGTGGATCTGCAGTTGCCTGAACTGTCTCATGTCCCTAAATCTTTGTATCCCTTTTTACAGAAGGTCAGGAAGGGTGTGTACATGAGTATGAGGACTATCTGATCAGGGCGAGTGTTTGTTTCCCAAAGATCTCTTTAGATATGGTATAATACATAAGATAAATGTACTGAATTAGCAATTTTAAGTGTAGAATTAAATGATACTAATTCTATTCACAATGTTGTACAACCATCACCATAATTTTTTACCAGAAAATCTTCATTATACCAAATGGAAACTTCATACTTTTAATCAATAACTCCCCACTTCCCCCTGCCCCACCCACTGGTAGCCTCTGATACTATCAATCTCTGTGAATTTGCCTAGTTTACATGTCTCATATAATAAGGAATTATATACGTGTATTATTTTTTTCTGGATTATTTCTCTTAGGGTAACACTTTTAAGATTCATCCACGTCGTAGCATATATTACAGCTTCTTTCCTATTTATGGCTGAGTAATATCCCAATATATGTTTATACCTCAATTTTAATTCATTCATCTCTTAATGGACATGTGGGTGGTTTCCACATTTTTGCTATTGTGAAAACCGCTGCAATGAACTTACACTTGGAAGTATCTGTTTGGGTTTCTGTGTTCATTTCTTTGGGGGTACATATAGGAGTATAAATATGGGGTCATGTGGTAGTTCTATGTTTAAGTTTTTGAGAAACAGCCAAACTGTTTTCCAGTTTGCTGTGCTATTTTATATTCCCATCAGCAATATACGAGGGTTCCATTTTCTCTACATTCTTGTAAACACTTACTATTTAATATTTTTTAAAACTTATAGCCATTCTAGTAGGTGTGAAGTGATAGCTCATTGCAGTTTTGATTTTCATTTCCCTGGTGGCTGATGAAGTTGAGCATTTTTTCATGTATTTGCTGACAATTTTAATATTTTTTAGAGAACTATTTATTCAAATCATTTGCTGTTTAAAAAAAATGGGTTATCTTTTTATTATTCAGTTGTAATAGTTCTTTATATATTTTAGATACAAGTCCCTTATGGGGTACATGATTTGCAAAATTTTTCTCATATTCTGTGTCTTCTCACTTTCTTCATGGTGTTCTTTGAAGCACAAACATTTTTAACTTTGATGAAGTTCACTTATCTATTTTTAATTTTGTTACTTATGCTCTTGATGTCATATTGAAGAAACCATTGCCCAATCCAAGATCATTAAGTTTTACTCCTATATGTTCTTCTAATGGTTTGATAAGTTTTGCTATTCCATTTAGGTTTTTGAAACATTTTGAGTTAACTTTTGTATGGGCTGTGAGGTAGGGGTCTAACTACACTATCTCGCATGTGGTTATCCAGTTGTTCCAGCACAATATGAAGAGGCTACCATTCTTTCCCCATTGAGGAATCTTGGCACCCATGTCAAAAACCAATGGGCTGTAATGGTGAGGGTTTATTTCTGGACTCTTGATTCTATTCCATTGATCTCTATGTGCATTCTTGTGCCAGAAGCACACTGTTTTAATGATTGTAGTGTTTTAGTAAGTTTTCAAATTAGGAAGTGAGTCCTCCAATTTTTTTTTCCAGATTGTTTTGGCCATTCTGGGGTGACTTTTAAAAAAGATGTAGTTCAATGGTTCTCAAAGCAGGAGTGGTTCAGCTCTCCTTTTTTGGCAGTCTGGAGACCTTTTTAGGACCTTAATCTAAGTAGATAAATTATTCCCACTTTCTTTTCTGAGTTGCTATGTTACAGTGTATATTGACACCCATGAAATAATTGAGAGACCCTGGAAGTGCTTGCCTACATAGTGAGGGACAATTAGTTCCATGATCATGGGCACAGAAGATTTTGTTTTGGGAAACAATTTTGTTGGTGGAGTTATATTCATGCTTACTCTTTTATTTGTCTTCATAGCCTGCATCTCCTTCAGACTTCATATCTGTTTATTTTCTTGTTTGTCCTCTGGGGTTTGGGTGTTGGGTGACCAGTCAGCTGGAGCTGGAGGAGGTGCTTAGCAAGGCAGTGACCCTGGTTGGGAGGAGCAGGGCTCAGCAGGGTGAAAGTAGCTGGGCCTTGAGTCAGGAGTGGCATCTGGAAGGCCTGACTGTAAGGGTCAGAAGGGCCAGCAGGTGGGTGTCCTAGGCACAAACGGTGGCTGCTGCTGTGGACTGGAGGAAGGTAAGAGGCCCCGAGTATTCCATGTTCTTACTGGCTCCCCAACTGAGGATTCCTCTCCTGGGCTGGTGCTGTCCTGCAGCAGGGAGGGGTTAGACAGGGACGGCTGCACATCAGGCCGGAGTCCATGTCATCCTCTTAGGCACTGTCACTACAGATTGAGGATTCTGTTCATAAGCCAAGCCTTTGCACAAGGAAGGGACCCGGGCTCTCAAGGAAGAGCAGCTCCTGGTCAGACCTCCATCTCCTTCTCTCTCATTGCCTGAGGCCTCAAGCTTGGTCTACCTGGCACAGGGGTCTGGATCCTCCTCCCAGGGTTGGGGTCTTACTGAGCTGGGCACCTGCAGGTGGGAGAAGATCTGGAGGGGCCCCATCTGCCTTCACCAGATTGATGTTGAGGGTCCCTGAGTCCTGCACCACTATCAGGTGCTGAGCAACTTCCAGTGTCAGTGACAACCACCCCATGGTGGAAGCAGAACCACCTCGTGAGAAAGCACCTCCAAGCCTCAGTGCTTGCCATGTGTGGGAATTTGCTGGTTTCAGTTGGGGGCATGTTGGTGGGTGGTCATGAATTCAGGGCCGGATTCTATGCTCACAGTGCACATGCTGGATGTGGTACAGACCCCAGGCAGGGCTCAGTGGGGTGGTTTTGGGTGTGCACAGGTATCTTTTCTGGAGGAGCTGGTGGTGATTTGGCTCCCAGAAGTTCCTGAGCTCTGCAGACTCACCAAGCACTCAATATTTGAGTGAACATTGGGCGAGAGAGCAGAAGGTAAGTGTCAGGGCATCGGGGTTGGTGCCTCTGGGAAGAGGAGGAACATTCTGGGAACAAAGCTCTCCCCCGGCTTACAGGGAGCTTCCCATCGCTCCTGCCTTGAGGATCAGGGAAACTAGGGCCTCTGCTCTTCCAGGGGCTGCTTGCAGGCAGTTTGCTCTGGGAGGGGGTGACCCAGGAGTTGCCTCTCATTTTGCATTTGAGATTTAAAAGGAGAAGGGACAGTATATCTTGCCAGGTCACAAAAATTACAGGCATCATATTGACTGAAGGGCACTCCTGTCATCATTGCAATATACCAGAATGGTCTTTTAAAAAAATAAGTGATTTAGGTTTACCAGCAACTGTAATGCTTGTTTTATTCTTCTAGTTCACCGTTAATGTCACTTTTGTAGTTTTAGCACTGGCAATGTTGATTTTATGTTGACTCTGATGATTTTAAGCTTTCATTTGTTCACATAGAGATCATCTTCTTTCTGAATATTAATGCATTTTTTCTCTATTTCTACTGGTTATTCCTGTACATAGAGTAGAGAATCACTTTTCCCAAGGAGGTGGAAAGCTTCTGACTACCAAAAAAAAAAAAAAGTGTCAAAATGCTTTAAAGTCAGTAACTTAAAGATCAAATCCAAGAGTGGGCAACAGATTCTGCCCAGGGTCTGAAAGGTGGAGAGGTGACTGGTGAGGATGTTTAAAAGACCTCTCCTCTCTACTCCCTAAATGGGGGCCATCCAGTGTTCTTGAGGTTCAGAGAAGGCCCAGGGCTGGGGCAGCAGGGCACTGTCAGCTCCCAGCTCCCAGGGGCCAGGAGTAAGACCCCAACACTGTCCAGACACTGATTGCATTCATTTTGGGGGAGAGTAGATTCTTATTTAAAGAATAATACAAAAGTCTACAAATTTGAACATAAACAGAAATTCCTTTGCTACAATTTTCCCCTTAATAAGACATTCCTTCCTAATGACATATGTGACTGCATTCATGGCTGAGATGTTTTCTAGGATGGTGAGAGCATCAGAGTGGACTATCTGGTGCCTTGGGGTCATGCATTTTCTTCTTTCAATGTCTACAGGATCCCCCATGTCCCACTTTGTAGTGTAACTCAGTGTGTGTCATTCTGGTTTTTGTTGTATAGATCCTTGGAAAGCCCATGTCATTCCTGCTGTGAGGTACAGGCAGCCAAATGGCATCATCTCTAAACATGCCTTCTCCTGGTACATCAAATTATGGAATAAATGAAAGCCATTTTGACAGATATTGAAGATATAAGTTTCTACTCTTCCCACACATGCGATTCTTCTCCCAAGTGAAGGATTTTACTGGTGAATTGTTATTAGAGATTAGTGTGGATCAGTGACTCTGCCAGGGGAAATTTTGCCCTCTAGGGGACATTTGGCAAAGTCTGGAAACATTGTTGGTTGTCAGAGCTGGGGGAGGGAGTCCTGCTGGCATTGAGTGGGTGGATGGTGCTGAACACCCTGCAGTTCACAGAGCCCCACCAGTTTGACCACCCAAATGTCAATGCTGAGGAGTGGAGAGCCCTGCTGTGCCCTCCCGCAGCTTCCCTGAAGCTTCCCCTCACCTGCTCCTCCCATGTCTCCCCACCACTTCCCCACTTCACCCGCCTCCTTACACCTCAGTCCCCTCCACCTGAACTCACCCCTTAGTCCAAGGCCAGCCCTGATCTCCGCTCTCCTGGTCTCCTTGCTCCTTAGCAGGAGGCGCCCACTAGATGGCGCCCTTGCCCTTACTGGAGCTCACCGTCTCCCTTTCCACCCTGAGACAAATGTGGCTGCTTTTACTGCCACAACCCCAGCCCTCCACGCTCTAGATTTGCTCAGGGAGCAGCTCCTGGACAGACCTCAGGGACCCCAGGGAGGAGCCTCACTCTGGAGATTTTGATGGCATGGTCTTTGAACTTCACTGTTACCCCCAGTCAGGATCCAGGATGTTGGGAGTGCATGATTCTGCCCGGTCCCACTTCAGCAGGACCCCACTGCTGAGTTGTCTGTGGGGACCCGGGCCTCTCATCTCCTTCTTGCATTGCAGGAGAGGGATCTTAGCACTGCTTTCACATAAAGTCAGATAATGGAGGAGTGCAGGTGAGTTTGGGAAGGTGGACATGAAGAGAGGTTGTGTCCCTAGAGGTGGCAGCAGTGAGAGGATGGGCAGGTGGGAGGAACACAGCCCATCCAGGGTTGCCAGCCATATTAGGAGCGACAGCCTTTCCTCTAAGCCTCCAGCCTTTTTCCTGAAACATTCCAGAACTTTCCACTTCAGCACTTCCCACTGAGGCTCCTCAGGTCTGTCCCTGAGCTCCCAGCTGAGCCTACCTACCCATCTGAAATCCTGAGTCCTGTGTCACCCTCGTTCCCCATTATTCTGTGCAGTTCTGTGGGACGCCCAGCTCTCCTGACACCCCCAGTCTTCAGAATGGCCATCAGCGCTGTCGCTGTGGCACCAGGGTGACTGCCGCCTGGAGGCTGAGTCCTGGCTTCCTGACAGCTGTGGGGCCCGCTCTAGGCTCCCTTGTCCTGATCATTCATCACCTCCAGGATGCACAGCAGCTGGGCCAGGGGGAGGAGCAGGGACAGGTGTCAGCCACCCTGTGTGTCTGCAAGTCAGGCTGGGGGTGTGGGAGGACGCCAGGAATGACTGAACTTTCTGATTTAGAGGGTGAGAGCTTGCACTGATGGAATTTGGGATTTAATAGGAAAAGCATAGCGTTTTCCTATTTTGTAGGCGGGGTGGCTGGAGTTTGGAATCATAGATTCCCCTGGGATGTCACTGTGGACCTCAGTCCCACCCGTTAGGGGCACAGATTTCAGAATCCACACCCTGGGGCAAAGCAGGCATGGGAGGCTCCATCAGCCTGGCCAGGGCTCTCTATTTGTGCAGCTGCTGCAAGGAGATGTGCACTCTGATGGGAACAGTGCTCCCTCCTCCTTGGGGGGCAGTATCTAGCTCCCTGCAGCCCCTCTCCCTGCAGGCCCTGCCCTCTCTGAACCTCACCTTCCCCAACCCGCCCCCCGCAATCCCATCTCAGCTGTAATCCCAACACTTTCTCATCCATTATGGGTGGACTGCTTGAGCCCAGGGGTTCAAGACTATGCTGGCTGGACAATATAGCGAGTTGTTGTCTCTACAAAAAGACAAAAATTAGCTGTGCATGGTGGCATACACCTGTAGTCCCAGTCACTCAGGAGGCTGAGGTGGGAGGATTGCTTGAGCTGGGGAGGCTGAGTTGGCAGTGAGTTGAGATTGTGCCACTGTATACTTCAGTGTAGGTAACAGAGCGAGACCCTGTCTCAAAAAATAAAAGTAAAAAAAAAAAAAGAAATATGGAATACATTATTGTTAACTCTAATCAACCATGCTATGCAATAGTCCACCAGTAATACCAGTAATAGCCAATAATGAATTATCTGAAAAAGAATACAATTTATTCTTAGCTATCTACTGCTAAAATTTTTAAGCTATCTTTTATGATAGCTGAAACAAAAGAAGTAAATTTAACCAAGGAAGTAAAAGACCTTTATAATGAAAACTGTAAAACATTGATGAAATAAATTGAAAAAGACACACGCACAAATAGAAGATATTCCATGTTCATGAATTGGAAGAACTGATATTGCTAAAATGTCCTTACCACCCAAAGTGGTCTACAGATTCAATGCAATTTCTGTCAAAACACCAATGATATTCTTCGAAGAAGTAGAAGATCCTAAAATTAGAAACCACAAAAATTCCTAAAACCTGCACAAAACACCCTGAGTTGCCAAAGCAATCTTAAACAAATAGAACAAAGCTAGTGGCATTACACTTCCTGACAATCAAAGCATACTGCAAAGCTATAGTAACCAAATCAGCATGGTCCTGGCATAAAAACAAGCACATAGATCAATGAAACAGAATAAAAATCCCAGAAATAAACCCATGCATCTCTAGCTAACTGATTTTCAGCCAAGGAGCCACATGCACACAATGGGGAAAGGACAGCCTCTTCAATAAGTGGTGCTGGGGAATTGGATATTCATATGCAGAAGAATGAACCTAGACCCTATCCCTCACCATGCACAAAAAATTAACTCAAAATGTATTAAATAAAGACTTAAATGTAAGAACTGAAACTATGAAACTACTAGAAGAAAATATAGGGGGAAAATCCATGACATTGGTCTAGGCAAAGAGTTTTTGGATAAAATCTCAACAGCATAAGCAACAAAACCAAATATAAACAAACGGGATTTCATCAAACTAAAAAGCTTTTATACAGCAAAGAAAAAAAAGGCCAGCAGAGCAAAGAGACAACCTACAAATGGGAGGAGAATATATTTGTAAATATATACATATATATTTGTAAATATATACATCTGATAAGAAGATAATATCCAAAATATATAAGAAAATTATGTTTCTGTATAGTTTTATCTGACTGGGATACAGAGGCCACATCCACAGTCCCATCCTCAAAGGCCACTTGTTCCCAAAATGTCAAGCACATCCCTCAATGATCCATCATCAACACCTATGTCTGTAGGATGAAGGGTGAATCATGAAGCACTAAAAAGGAAGAAGGAAGCCAATCCCAAAACAAAATGATGCAGGGTCTGGAAAGTCCAAAGCATTTTTTTTTTTTTTTTTACTGCATCTTCCTCCTTTCTTCTCCACATTCCCAATCCTCACTATTGATTAACAAAACAAAAAAAACTGGGACCCACCATCTTCCCTACTGTCAGGAGATCTAGCGAGATTGTTTGAGTCTTAGACCAAACTTTGCCATAAGCCAAATTTCTGGCTGACTTTACAATGATATGAGCTAGCACAGTCTCTTTTTCTGCCAGTCAACTTGTGCTCGGTTTTATTTGCAACCAAATAGAGGTGGTAACCAAATATAGGTGACCCTAAAATTAGTCATCAGGATGAAATCCTAAAATGTGCAACAAACTGGGTTGAATTCAGGATTAGTAGCAACATCTCTGTTGTGGGCTTGAAAAGGGGGCACCCTTTTATGCAGTAGCAAAATTGCTAAATTGTTGTTTGCTGAGTCTTTGGACTCTCATCCCGGATTTTCTATGACCATTCAAACAGGGCTGCAATGAACATCTATGGTTGTTTAGCTTGGCACACTTCTACATTTCTATATAGTAATATCTAGAAGTGCATTTGCTCAATCACAAGATATGCACATTTTATAATTGACTGCTATCGAACTACCTTAAATAGCCTTAATTTGTTCTCAACATTGTTTAACAGGGTCTGTTTAATGTCCTATGTCCAGCAAGGACAGTATCACTTTTCTTAATATTTTTCAAATTATTGGACCTTAACAAATACTTAATGTGCAATTAATTGATTCCTTTGTATTCCCATGCCTTCTTTTATATGTTTCCTTATAGTACACAAAACCACATTATTGTTTCTTTACTTGTGTCATTCCACCCTGGACCATTCCTATCTAAACCATAACATTATGAGAGAGAGAGAGAGAGAAAACAATATGAAAATATAAATTGATTAATCAAAAAAATTTAAATAGGACAAATCAGGAAGACACAAGAGAGATTTTAAAATTATTCAGAGAATACCACAATAGCTGTACCAATATATTTTAAAACTTAGATGAAACGGACAACTATCTCGATAAATGTAAATTACCAAAACTGACTCATGAAAAAATGGATATTATGAATAGAGCAATAATCAGTAAAGCAATTAAAAAGACAGTTGATAATTTTTATTTACTGACAACAATAACAAAATTTCAGGTCCTGATATTTTTATGGTGAATTTTAACAAATTTTCAAGCTCCTCCTCAACCAATTCTCAGAAGGTTTAAAACTTTAACAAGAAAACACTTTCTAACACATTTTCAGAAGCTGTTATAGCATGATACCAAAACCACACAAGAAAATTATAGACCAATCTCACTTACAAATATACATGCAAAATCAAACAAAATCTTAGTGAACCAAATTCAGAATTAATAATAGCAAACAAGCAAAATATGTTATCATACGTATGGCTTATATCAGGAATGCAAGTATGTTTCAACATCAGAAAATACTTCTCCACATTAACAGACTAAAGGAGAAAAACGCTTGTTTAATTATCTCAATAGGTTTTTAGAGAATTTTGAAAATTTTATAAAGTTATGCGTATTCTGTAAAATTGATGAAATCCAACCTTGATTTATTTTTAAAAATTGCCTTTCCTATAGAATTATAGGTAAAGGAAACACATGCATCCTCACAGAGCTACTTCAAGGCTAAGTTACTTCCCATAAGTAACGTATTCTGTAATGTGTGCTTGGCACATATTCAATACTAAACAAATATTTGCAAATCCTCAAACCACTTCTCGCTCAAATAACCCACCTTTGTCTTTTGCCTTTATGTTAGGGTTGATTTTCTCAATTGTATCTTGGAGATCCTTTGGTGGGTCTTTCAGCAATTACCCTGAATTTGCTTTTCTGTTTACAATTTTAATTCCTGGGAACTCTTTCTTGTTCTCTGACTGCACCCTTTTCATGAGAGTTCAGCCATCAATCCTCCAGAACCCCACCCCCCCCGCCCCCCCAAAAAGCAATAAAGATGTCTAAAAGCTTCTTTCTGGGCTTTCGAATGATGTTTACCCCAGGCATTTGTTCTATTCGTTCATCACCCATTTTCCCTACAACTTGCCTACACTTGATATCAGATTTTTATTTATTAGTCACCTATCTTCTTCATTGGCCCATTTTCCTATTTTGCCACTGGTTGTTCTCAAATGTGTTATGATTCCTGGTTGTACAGTCAAGTGGTTGATAATCTTGGATATACGATAAAGATTTGCTCTGTAGCTGTGTGTAAGCCTATATAAAAGCTTTTGTATTTTTCTTCTTAAAAAAGACAAAAGATGGTTGGGAAGATCCCTCCAGTTCACCAGTTCGAGGCTGCAGTGAGCTATGATAGCGCCGCTGCTCTAGCCTGTCTGTGAAAAACAAGGGGGGCGGGGGGCGGGGGGGAAGACTGGAGATGTAAATCTCCCGCAGGGCCCTACCCGTATCCGCAACAGGTCTCTAACAGGAACAGCCTCAGGCCTGTGTTGGAACAAGGTAGGTTACAGAAATCTGGAAGCCAGATCTGTAACTTCAGGGTAAGGACTGGCTCTCAGGGCTGATCCCCCGGGCTGGGTGTCCCAGAGGCACCCGCCCCCGCCCCTTCCCCAAGGCAGGCCAGGACACCTTCACTCCTCTCCTTAGGCTCCCCACCCCCTTCTCCTCCCCACTGTGCCTCCTGGAGTAGCGGTGGCGGTGCCACAGGGGAGCGGGGCGGGGCGGGCTCTGAGGGCAAGGGGGATGGGCCCCGCCGGGGTCACTGGCGGCCACCCTGGAAACTCGACGCAGGCCGGCCCTTCTAGTGAATCGTCCCAGCCACAGCTGGCCTCCCAGCCGCGCTTGGGGCGCCTCGGGGCGCGAATGGTGCAGGTTGGGGAGACTCACCACGCACCGTCGGGGGTCGGTCCGGTTATTCCTCACCGCTCGGCTCCAGTGGGCGCGCGGGCCTCTCCTCCTCAGTTCCTGCGCTGCAGTCCCTCCCTCACCCTTCGCAGCTTGGGAATCCGACTGTGTCATTCCGACGGAGCGCCGTGAGGACCTCCGAGGGTGTTAGCGCCAAGTGATCTCTGTCCAGCGCTCTGAATATCCAAGTAAAGGAGTTCAATGAAGGGCGGGTCAACGGAGGAGAAACCGTGACTCTCTCAAGGGAGCCCAAGGCCTCCTTGTCTAATTAGTGACGCGCCAATGGATGGAGGCTCTTCCCACCATCTCTTCCCAGCATCCAGTGACACCACCGCCAAGGGACGGGCTCGGCGGAACCTGCAGGAAAGAAGCATCGGCTGAGCCTGACTGCAGCGCTGTGAAGAGACAGGGGAGGGGATCAGTAGTTGGTCCCGCGCCCACCCCCTGTTTCCGCGAGGGGCGGAGTTGACTGGCCATGCAGGCAGAGGGCGAAATGTGAAATTCCACTACTCCTACCGTTTTTCCCTGACCCGATGGGGCGGAGTGTCGTCAGGCTAAGTTCCCTGGCGGTAAGGTGGGGAGATTGAGGCGCACACCTGCCGAACGGTAACGCAGGATTAGCTAAGGCGAGCTCAGGACAGAAGCCTCCCGAGGAGCAGGAGGGCAAAATAATAAATAAATAAATAAATAAATAAATAAATAAATAATAAATAACTCACTCCTTGGTCTTTATTTGCGGCAGGAATTCAGAAGGTGAAAGCGGGGCCTTAGGATCTTTCTGACCTTTTGGGTTTTAAGCAGGAGGTGTCAGAAATGTTACCACAGGGCTAGCTGGCTTGTGGCCAGCAAGCGTTCACAATGCCCTCGATTTTTCATCCCTGTCTGTGGGTTCTTTTTTTCATTGTAAGGCAGAATTTCTACGATTGCTCACCCACTCAGAGAACCTGAGCTGGTTTAGACCAGGTGAGACAGGCTAGGTTTACCCTGGTGATGATGTGTTGTTGCCATGGCGATCCTGCCCAGTACCAGAGGCCCTGCAGATTCAGATACTTGGTGCCTGTGCTTGGCTGAGGGGCCAATGGGTGAAGCTGCCATCTGCGGGATGATGACTGAAGCCTCTAAGTCAGAATCCGCCCAGGCTGAGCCTTAGGGCAGCTCCATGGAGCCTCGGCTGGCCTGGGATAGAGAGTCCACCACTGTGCCAGCCCCCAGCCACTGCCTAGGTCCTGTGCTGAGAGCCCCTTGTCCAGGGAAATGGCGTCCAGTGGAAAAGGGACCACCCCCTTGCCCTTCACTCAAGGCAGGTTGGTGACAACCCTGAAGCTAATCCGTTCCTAGAGGAGCTGCTTCTGGGTCCGAGTTTTCTCTGCAGCAGAGCAGCTCCCTGGATGGGATCTGTTCAAAGTCCGCCTTTCACGCGGAATTTTCCGTCCTTGCAATTTTCCACCTCCACCACTAGGGGATCCTCTCTGACCGCCTCATGCCGGCTCTGGCCTCTGAGCAGGGGTCTCTCTTCTGCATGTGCGACCTTGCGCATGCCTAGTGGCCTTTTGGGACCTAGAGCTGCTCCACACCCCGATGGGGTTACAGAGTGCCTCGCCTCCACTCCACCCCACCAGGGTTCCTTCCCTGGCTGGGATGGGATTTCAGAAGCGCCGAGGAACAGCCCAGACAGGTGTGGGAGAGTAGCCAAGGCCCCTGTCCCGGGGTGGCCAGGACAGCGGTGGCCTCGCATAGGACCTGGCTGGGCTGCTGCAATCAGTGTCCTGCCCCTTGGAGAGCAACAGTGAAAACAACAAGACTATCTTCACCCACCTTAAGAAAGAACAGAACCAGTATCCCCAACTCTGCTGTGTATCCCAACCCAATTCCATTCCCCACCCCACTCTCAGTAGCCAATATGCAAAATATTAGAATACTCTTACTGTTATTATTTTCAACCACACTCTGCATCCTGAAAAACCATATATTTCGTTATGTGCTTTTAAACTTCTTGAAAATGAAATACTGAGGCTGGGCGCAGTGGCTGACACCTGTAATCCCAGCACTTCGGGAGGCGGAGGCAGGCGGATCACGAGGTCAGGAGATCGAGACCATCCTGGCTAACACAGTGAAACCCCATCTCTACTAAAAATACAAAAAATTAGCCGGGCGTGGTGGCGGGCGCCTGTAGTCCCAGCTACTTGGGAGGCTGAGGCAGGAGAACGGCGTGAACCCGGGAGGTGGAGCTTGCACTGCGCCGAGATCGCGCCACTGCACTCCAGCCTGGGCGACAGCGCCAGACTCTGTCTCCAAAAAAAAAAAGAAAAAAGAAATACTGAATTTTCAAATACTTGCTTTTTTTTTCGGTCAAAATTATGTTCTCAAATTTCACTCCTGTAGATGTGCGTGGCTGGCTGTAGTTTTTGCATTTTTATTATTAGGTATTCTCCTGTTGCATTAATATGCCACATTTTATTTCTCTCATGTTTTTGGTGACCACTTGGGGTGTTTTTTGGTTTTGTATTTTTGCTGTATACATGCTGCCATGGTGGACATACCTCTTTATACATATTTCCTGTTGTATGCAGACACAATTTTAGGATGTGACATCTTCAGCTTTTCTATTGTGTCGTGTGTCTTTTCCTTCGTGCTTTGTGTTATTTACATATTCTGGACACAGATTCTTTGTCAACTGTATGTGCTGCACATCTCTTTCCCAGTTTGTGTCTTCTTCTTCTTTTTTTTTTCTTAAAAAAAACTTTCTTTATAGTGTTTTTTCTTTCTTTCTTTCTTTGTTTTGTTTTGTTTTTTTGAGATGGAGTCTTGCTCTGTCACCTAGGCTGAAGTGCACTGGCCGATCTCGGCTCACTGCAACCTCCGTCTCCTGGGTTCAAGTGATTCTCCTGCCTCAGCTTCCCAAGTAGCTGGGATTACAGGTGCCTGTCACCACACCCAGCT
Organism: Homo sapiens; assembly: GCF_000001405.40. Lineage (NCBI taxonomy): Eukaryota > Metazoa > Chordata > Mammalia > Primates > Hominidae > Homo > Homo sapiens. Next base: position 41,562,098 of record NC_000019.10, on the reverse strand, counting down.
AATTTTTGTATTTTTAGTACAGATGGGGTTTCACCATGTTTGTCAGGCTGGTCTCGAACTCCTGACCTCAGGTGATCCACCCTCTTTGGCCTCCCAAAGTGTTGGGATTACAGGCGTGAGCCACAGCACCTGGCCTGTGTTCTTTCTTAAGTAGATGTTACTTTTAATATAATAGAATGTATCATATTTTGCTTTTATATTAGTACTTTTTCTATCTAATTCAAACACATCCCCAAGGGTCTTTGTGTGTAGACTGACCAATTTCTCAAGAATCATGAATGAATACTGCTTCTCTTTCCCCAATTTATCTGTAATGCTACCTTTATTATAAAGTTTCTATGCATGTGTAGAAATAGTTCCTGATTTTTCACTCTGTGCCACCAGCATACCAATAGCACGCTGTCTTAAATATTAAATAGCAGAGCTTTATGAGACAACTTGATGTGCAGTAGGCAATTGCCCCCTTGTTACTCTTCTTCAGGGTTCTTTGTTGTACCACATGAATTTTAGAATTGGCTTGTCCAGCTAAAAGACAACTGCAAGGATTTTATTTGGAAGTTCATAATTCTATACATAATTTGGGGAAAGTATTTTCATAATACCAAGTCTTCCTATTAATGAACACAGACTCTCTCTCTCTCTCCCCCACCCCCACCTGTTTAGTTATTTATATCTTTATGGTCTGTTAGTTATTGTTTATTGTCTTTCAACCAGGTTTCATGTTTTTCTACATAGAGGCCTTGCATGTGAAAGTCTTTCTTCCTAGCTTGCTATTACAAATTTTTTTTAATTGCACTTTTTGGGTACAGTGGCTTGTACTGTAATCCCCGATACCTGGGAGGCTGAGGCAGATGGATTGCTTGAGTCCAGAAGTTCAAGACCAGCCTGGGCAACATAATGAGGTCCCTGTCTCAAAAAGTTTGTTTTAAAAATTGCATTTGCTGTTATTCAACAAATGTCATTGTGTCTCATATATGGATTTTTATATCTGATAACCTTGTTCAACAATCTTTTGATTCTAACAATATATCAGATTCTTTTGAGTTTTCCATATAGACAATAATGTCATCTGTAAATTATAATTGTTTCTTCTTTGTTATTTCTTGGACCTTTTATTTTATATTTTTGTCTTGCTGCAAGGCAATATCCCTCTATATATTGTGGGGTCTTTTTTCTCATAAAGTGGGGATGGTGAACACCCTTGTCTTGCTCTCTGATTGTATAAAGCATGCTTTCTGTAGCATTTTGTAGACGCTCTTTTTTAGATTGAGGTAATTCACTTTTATTTCTGGTTTACTGAGTTTTTAGCATAAATTCAGGCTGAATTTGAGCTAAAGCTTTTTCTGGAGACATCATTTGAAAAATTCATATGATTTACTTTCTTTAAGTCACCAAAGTTATGAATTACATTGAACTGAGTTTCTACTGTTTAACTGTATTCTTGGGAGAAAACCCACTTGTCACTGAACAATATCTGTTTTATTTACTGCTGTCTTGTGTCTAAATTTTCTTTTAGGATTTTTTGTATATGCTCAGATTAGCCTGTTATTCTCCTTTCTGTATTTTTTTCTGGTTTGGGGGTCAAAGTTATAATAGCCTCACAATAAGAGCTAAGAAACCAGCCCTAATGGAGGCCGGGGCAGGAGGTTTGGAGTTCAAGACCAGTCTGGGCAAAATAGTGAGACCCCCATCTCTATGAAAAATAGAAATTAGCCAGGCATGGCAGTGAGTACCTGTAGTCCTAGGTACTTGGGAGGGTGAGGCAGGAGGATTGCTTGAGCCTAGGAATTTGAGGCTGCAGCGAACTATGATTGTGCCACTGTACTCCAGCCTGGATGACAGAGCGAGACCCTGTCTCAAAAGAAAAAAAAAGAAGAAATAAAAAGGAAAAGATAAAAGAGCTAAGCATCTGCTTCCTTTTTTCCATTTTCTGGGAGAGTATGTGTAAGACTGTAATTAACTGTTTCTTGAATAATGGGAGAACTCTGTAAAATAATCTGGCTTTGGTGTTACCTGTATTGGAAGGATGAAAAATACCAATTCAGTTTCATTATTGGTTGATAGGGCTACTCATGCTTTTTGTTTTGTTTTGTTTTGTTTTGTTTTTGAGAGGAAGTCTCTCTGTATTGCCCTGTTGTCCAGGCTGAGATGCAACGTTGTTCACAGGCCTGATCCTGGCTCACTACAGCCTCTAACTTCCGATCTCAATAGATCCTCCCGCCTCAGCCTTCCCAGTAGCTAGGACTACAAGCATGCAGCATCACATCCAGCCTCTTTTCCTGCCTGACCCAGTTCTGGTTTCCTTTAGTTTTCTAGGTGTTCATCCATTTTATCTAATGTTTAATGCATTTGGCATAAGGGTGCTCAGTGTCCTTTCATTGTCTGTTGTCTGTAACTGTTGCCATTTTCATTCCTATTTATGAGTACTGGCGTCTTCTCTCACTTTTTCTTAATAATCCTGCTGGAACTTTGCTTTTTAAAGAACATCTTTTGACTTGTTGATTCTTTTTTCATACATATTAACTATTTTCTTATTTTTTGCCTTTATATTTATTTCTTTTCCTGTTTGAAACATTGCTCTTTTCTTACTATAAAAATGGGTAAGTAGCTCATGAATTACCACCTCTTTTAAAAATCTTTTCTACTGTAAGCATTTTAGCAGTTTACATTTGCCCACAAGTACCACTTCAGCTACACCCTATGTGCTTTTACATAAAGTCTTCATTTTTGGTAAGACATATTCTCAAATTTTAATTATCACTTGTTTTTAAATCCATGATGTTTTATTTGAAATGTTGTTTCTAAAGATACATTTTCTGGTTATACTTTTATTCTTCTAATTTAGCACAGTGGCCACAAAACATGGTCTGTGCAGTGCATACAATCGATGAGTAATTTCTGAGCTGTAGTATTTGGCATAATATATGGCAAAATTTCCTAAGTTTTCCATGTGTGCTTTAAAAAACTTCCAGTAAAATACATAAATCTGTTAGATCAAGCTTCTCACATTGTTCAAATAGTCTATATGTTTACTGATTCATTTGACTGCTTGATTTATCAATTACAGGTAGGAATGTATTCAAATCTCCTATTAAAGTGTGACACTCAAGTGGCTTTTTAAAGACAGAGATGCCAAACCAATGAATACATGATTTTCCCCAAAGCCTGCACAAATTCTCTAATGAAATTTTACCATGAAAGTTTGTTTAATTAAGGCTTACTAAAGCAGTATGTTGTCTTTTACTTTTTAAACAGAGAATATATATTTTAATACATCGTTTAAGTTTATGATTAATTATCTATTACTGAGGATAAGAATCTTTGCCTGTGCTCATTCAGCATTTGCACTTCATTTATGATCTGCCTTCTCATAGCTTCTGTTAATTTTTATACTAGAGACATTTATTTGTTTGTATAAATGTTGAAGGTTTTTTTTTGTTGTTGTTGTTTTTGAGTCAGAGCCTCGCTCTGTCACCCAGGCTGGAGTGCAGTGGCATGATCTCGGCTCACTGCAGCCTCCATCTCCTGGGTTAAAGTGATTCTCCTGCCTCAGCCTCCAGAGTAGCTGGGACTACAGGCATGTGCCACCAAGCAAGGCTAATATTTTGTATTTTTAGTAGAGATGGGGTTTCGTCCTGTTAGCCAGGGTGGTCTCGATCTCCTGACCTCATGATCTACCTGCCTCGGCCTCCCAAAGTGCTAGGATTACAGGTGTGAGCCACCGTGCCCAGCTGGGTTTTTTATATTATAAGGAGATGTAATAGATAGATAGATGTTTCAAAGATAGTCAAATGTTTTTAAAATTTAAAACACTTTTTTACAGGTTGACTTTCACCATTTAATTTCATCTATGTGTTTTGCCTTAGAGAAATTTTAAATGCTATGTAGATCTCATGACTTATAATTATGAAGCATTTTGTTTTCTGTTTTCCACGAAACTTAGCTTAACTTTGAGCATATAATAGTTGTAAAGGTAGGAGAGTAACACTGAAAAAAGGAATTGCATTAAAATGGCACATTTTCTGTAGAGTTGTTTATCGCCTGAAAATAGGCCCCATTTCATGGAAGTAAGATGATCAGGCTCAGGTCCCCAGACGAAACTCTTGGCATGGTTTTTGGAGATAGTCCAGGGCTCAGTACTGGCTCTATCATTTGCTACTTCTCCCAAAGTAACCAATATCTCATCCACCCTGAGCCCATTTCCATATCTCTAACATGAGGATAATAGCATCTACCTTACACACCAAGTAGAGGGATCAAATGTAGGAACTAAATCAAAGTACCAGCACTGAATAACCTACATCCTCCCACTTCCCAAAAGGAAGAGAGATGTATCCCCTGTTGACAAACGAGACCATTTTGCAGGAGAGAAAGGAAATGCCAGTTCACTTGCAATGTAAACATGCTCTCTCTTTTTAGGGATGTCCAGGGACCTGAGAGAGAACCCATGCTTACCAAAGAGTTTCTAGTTCCAGACACACAGGACTAGAAGGGTGACAAGTATGGTTTTCAGGGTCCCTGAATCCACCCAGTCCTCACAGAAACTCCTAAAAGCTGTCGATTGACAGCGTTGAGTTCACAGCTCTGGTCCTCACATGCTGATACTGCTTGTGATATCGAACCCGACAGGACCCCACATCACAATTGATTTACCAACTACAATATAATACCTCCTGAATCTCCAAATTGGCTCACCCAGGAACAAAGGCTTGGGGTAAAACTGGATTAGGAGATATAAGCTCTGAATTTTCTGAGGGTGAGACACACAAGGATTCTAAGTGACACGCCACAGAGTAACGGGTCTGTGACTGGAGGACCCACAGATTTGTCTTACTGGAGACACCACATGCACACAAACTCCATCCTTAGCTGTGGAAACAAGGGTCTTTTGCTATCTTAGCCGAATTCTGGGAGTAATTTTTGGAGGGGAGGAGATCTTTGGGATTGCCTCTTTCAGGCCCTTTACAAAAATACCTACTTCTTAAATGGTAAAGCTTACACTAAACTGAAAAAATTACATCCTTGGCTTTTTATGAAGTAGGTGTTGGATTGAATCACTACTGGAAGAAGTATGGCATCGCAAATTCTAAGCAGTGGTCAAAGGATGGATCTGTTAAATTAGAAAAATCTCTAAATTTATAAAAAGATTTTAGATTCCTTTATTCTAAACAATTGACCTATTTGTACTCATGGGACAATCAAATTTCAAAGGAGATATGTAACGATTTCATGGCTTGCATTAAAAATCCTTCTGATAAAATTAAAGATAAAAAATCTGACCCCCTGCCAAAAAAATCTTTTGAAGTTCATACTGCCTGCTTTCAATATTCTGTGGGATTCACAATGAAAGGTGCCTTATATTGTGGCCTAGCTTCAAGTTTATGCCTTCGCCACCATGGCCTGGGTTCAATTCCCAGTCAGGGCCCCAGCGCCTTTGGTTTAATGTTTGCGTGGCATTTGACTTTTTTACCTATTTAGTATTGGTGAGATTACCTTTGGTAAAAAAAAGTTTAAAGAGTGGAAATCGCAATTCTTTGTGTTGGCTAAAATCTGATTATAAGAGATCTGGAAGGTTTTATTTTTCTTTTTCAAAGAGCTCTATGGTCAGAAGTCGGCTTCATGAAAAGCTAATATTTAATTATATGTACATACAGTCTTTCTGGATTTTCTCTTTTGCCTCCTGTTTTGAAAAATATTTGGATTTGAGTGAAACTCCGTTTTAGAAATTAATTGCTTGGTACAATATACCCATGTAACTACCCTGCACATGTACCCCCTGAATCTATAATAAGAGTTGAAATTTTGACAAAATAAAATTAGATTTTGAATTAAAACAAATAGGTGCTTGGTTCCTCTGCTCACTTCTTTTTAAAAGGAATTCCTCTCCCATGTACTTCTTCTTTTCCCTTCTTTACCTTCCTTTTGGCATCTTTGGTATCACATGAAGGGATCTAGAGGGAATTTTAAGTGACTCTGAAATTCCTTGAGAAATACACAAAAAGATCCCACTCACCCCTTTTGGGGGTCTCCTGTTCTCCTTGTGGAGTCCAGAGTCAGGGACAGGCTCCTCCAGGTCTGCAGCTCTGCTCTCTTTTATTTCATCTTGGCTGATTGCTTTGGTTTTGTGAGTACCAGGCATTACTTTGTACTGTGAGAGACACGTCCTTTGTGAGTGCAACGGCTGCTGGGTCACTGGTGAGGGCTGCAGTTTGGAGATGGCTGAGAGCCGTTGCAATAAATGGTTGTGATTGCAGGGGGCTCCTTGTTTCTTTGCAAGTTTAGATGAGAAAGGTGCAGTTTGGACACAGTTTAAAGGCTGTGAAAACACCACCAATGAATATGATTTCCTTTGGGGATGGTCTGATTAAAAGTGGGCTGATTGTTGCTGTGCTACTAGCCTTGAAGACATGTTTCTACAGCATTGTGCAGTGTGGAAAAATTGTGTGGCTTGGTCTTGTGGCATGTCCCTTCTTTTAGAGACCTCAGATTCAATGTGAAATTCGGGATTTTTGATTTTCAAAGATCTAGATGCCCTGCCTTCCAGATGTGCCTACTCTTCACATATTTTAAAATTAGATCCTATAAACTGCAAATACTTTGTTGGCTTCTGTGAGATCAGAGGTCCAGTTAGAAAAGGAAGACAGTTTGTTAAAATTAAAAACTATTTATCTAATCTAACTAGATTGGCCTCCAAATATGACTTTCTGACATTCAGCTGGTTACTCTGAAAAGATTTCTAAATCTCTTGAGGCTCATCTATATGTTTCCTTGCAAAGAAAAAAAAAAAAAAAAAAAAGCAAGCCCAAGCACTAGTAAGAAAAAGATTTGCAATGTTTCATGAAAGGAGTAGATGAGTGAAGCATTTATTTGTAGATACTGGGTTGGATACCTGTGCAAAGAAGAAGAGGTCAATAATAAAAATTGCCAGGGGATTTCTTGGAACTTAACAAGCTGAATTAAATATAGAAATGTCAGGAAATCAAGGCAGGAAATACTCACTTGTGGTTAGGCAGACAGGGCAGGGTTCTGAGCTTGAGATGGAGCAAACAGTTGTGGTGGGTGAAGTTCACATGCTTTAGAGCTCAGCTGTCCTAGTAAAGAAGCCTAAGAGTCTCTAAAGCTCTTATGAGAAGATGGATTTTTTTTGCCTAGATTAAAAGGTTAAAGAATTGCTTTAAGTTGGATAAAATAAAGCTAAATGTTTAAGCAAGTTGTGAAAGGTTTATGAAAAAATTAATTAAAATATTTTTGTGTGTAAACATATTGACTAAAGTTGAAGGGGTATAATTCAGCATTTCTGTAAATTGAGCATTGAAATAAAAACACAATGGGTTTCTCTTAGAGCACTAACCTGCTCTTTAACAAAAATTGTAAAGGGTTATAGAAAGTCTATAAAAATGTTACCTTATGGTCAAACATTAAAATTGGGTAAATATGTCTATCAGGTTTTATTAAGAATTAGGTTTAACATTAATAGTACACTAATGTAAAGGTGAAATTTGGCTTATTTGGTACAAAAATCATACAGGAAGCATTGTGAAATATAAAATGATTTTTAGCTTTCTTTGGGCTATATTTCTATAAATATGTTATTGATGAGGGTTCCAAAGTTATGGGAGACTCCTATAATTCTGCTATATCTCAGTGTACATTATCAGTCATAATTATAATTGTCATGTTAAATTATTGTGGGCCACAGAGGTAACAGATTTCCTTGTCAATTGTGTCTTTGACTATGACTACCCTAAAACGTTCAGTCACCCATATACACATGTTACCTTGTTTTGGCCCTCTTTAGAAGGTAATTTTATAATCAGCTATAAAGCCCTAACAGGTGCTCTTAAATGCAAATTTTGATAACTTTGGAGATTGTGACATCAGAAGAGAGGAAAAATGTTCGGGACACTTGGAGAGCTAAAATGTTCATTGATATCAAGCAGGACAGGAATTAACTGCATGAAGTGAACTAATAGGAGGCTGAAGTGATCTTTTTGACTTTTTGCTTAAAACGTTGCTGATCCTTTGTTTTGCTTTTCAGAGTCAAGGCAAATTTTCTTTTGAGCTATTGACAGCTTTTAACGATTAATCAAAATATACTCCTATGAACACCATTTGGAGCATTATTTGTTTCTCTCTACCCGATTTCCCCAGAATTTGGAAACTATTTGTGGGTATTCTTAATTTATGGCAATATAGTTATTTGCATAAGTGCAATAAGAATGTGTTTTCTTTGGTAACAGGACACAATTTGAAAAACTGGTTATTTTACCAAGGTTTTGACCAGAATGCTGTGCTTTCCTTTAAGGAATCAAACTTGACTTGTGGAGCTAATAAAGCCTTTGGAAAACTGACCTTATATCCTGTGAACACAGTCCCTGTACAGGGTTACTGATCTGTGGGAAGAAAAGAATGTCACATTCTGACAGGTCAGGAATCCCAAGTTATCTTGAAACTTCAAGAGGACAGGAATTCACCCAACCATATGTATTTGATGGTAGAAATCCATGGCAGGGGCTCAGCTTTAAAAAGTCTTATCTCAGATTCCTTCTATAAAACAAAGTCCCATTAAAACCAATTTTAAAAGCCTATGTGAAAAATAATTATTCTTGCTGCACCTCGTACAAATAAAGTGGCAAAGCATAATAAAGCAAATTGGTCCTGTCGTAATTTGTCTTTAGTAAAAACGGGAAACTGGGGTCGGGTGCAGTGGCTCACTCCTGTAATCCCAGCACTTTGGGAGGCTGAGGTGGGCAGATCATCTGAGGTCAGGAGTTCAAGACCAGCCTGGCCAACACGGTGAAACCCCATCTCTACAAAAATACAAAAATGAGCCGGGCATGATGGCGGGTGCCTGTAATCCCAGCTACTCAAGGGGCTGAGGCAGGGAAGCGGAGGTTACAGTGAGTCAAGATCGTGCCACTTCACGACAGCCTGGGTGACAGAGCAAGACTCCATCTCAACAACAACAACAAAAAAGGGTAACTGGAGAGAGGGAAGTTATGTTTCAAAAACTTTTGGAAACTATAGTACACCTGTTTTTAAATTCTAGTCTGGCATTCAGTTTTTATTATTTTCTACAGTTTGGGTTAAATTCGTATTTCTCTGGCTACAAGTCTCCTAAATAATCTTTTCATTTGTTTCCTTTTTCTTTCCCTTTTTCCCCATTTTTCTTAATTGGAAATCACTGAAACCTAAGCTGTGCTTTCTTAAAGCCCTGTGAACTGAAGACTAGACAACCGAAACTTCTGAAGGAAGTAGCAGCAACCTATTTATATGTGTTGCTGTTGCCTACTATTATGTTTTAGCAGGTGCTGCCTCTACACCCCCGAAACAGAGAGTGCTACTGGGAACAAATCGACTTTTTCCACTCCAGTGCTGCATTCGGTGCCCCATAACGATGACCCCCTCTCAGCAGGAAGTAGCCAGAAAGATTACAATGCTCCATCTCCCTATGATTCTTGTGATAAATAAATATACAAGCATGATAGAAATCATGCGCAAATTGACAGTGGGGATTGTGGCAGGCCAGATTTCACTAATGGAGGTCCCCATCACAACTACTTCAGTACTGACTGAGTGGTTAAGTTCAGTATCAAAAGCTGAAAGTGCCAGCGCCTTTCTACAAAGGCTAGAATGTAACAAAAGCCCACCAAGGGTTTTACCTAGGCCTTTCCTGGGCCTTACAGCATGACAAAACAAAGAAGGAATTCTTAACCAGACCTGTTTAGGATTAAACAAATTTAATTGGGGGTCTGAAGAAACTCGCCAGGCCTCCACAAACAAGTTCATTGGGGGTCTAAAGGAACCCCCCCCAAACCTCTGTGATTGAGCAGGAGACAAGGTCAGGGTAATAGCCCCAGCACCTGGACTCATTTAGATTTAAGTAAATGTACTGAGGCTCCAGAGAAAGGTCTCCAAGACTTAGACTAGAGTTACAGATTAAAAGAAGTTAATCACTTATATCTTTAGATAAATGCACACTGACACGTAGACATACATCTTAGAAAATATATAAGCTCTGGAAAACCTTGTAATTTACAGTTGGTCTGGAGATATTTTCTGGGCCTTCTCTCTGTAACCGGTTCCAGAAATAAAAAACTCTCTTCCTCCCCAGTTTATCTGCATCTCGTTATTGGGCCGTGAGAAATAGCAGCCAGACCCTGAGTTTGGTCTGGGAACACACTGGCTGGGCTTCCTGCCTGGCGGTAGAGCTTCACTGTCCTCCTTCCCAGCCAAAATGTGGCCCTTGAAGGCTTCCTCCCCAACTGACCGGTTTTGGGTTCTAGGTACTCAGGGAACACCGTCTTCAAGGAGGCCATTTTCATACTGTTCCTGGTTTGATTTTTCTGAAATTAGGAAATGCCCCTTGAGGCATCCAGGATTGTCTTTATTTCCCCTGAAGCTTCCCCTCCTGAAGAAAAAAGTTCTCAAACACCCTCAGGACTCAAACCCCAAGTTCACCCTGTGAAACATTCCCATTTCCTAAACCCAGGCAGGCTCATGGCCCTCAGCCTCTCAGACCCCATGGAAACCTCCTCCCCCACTTCACGGGTTCTCTCCATATTGAGAGCCTCCCCTGCTCGGCACACAACCCAGAGACTCACCCCAACATGTGTAGCAAATCACCCTGGAAACAATCATGGCTGAACGTGGTAGCCCATGCCTGTAATCCCAGCACTTTGGGAGGCCCAGGAGGTGGATCACCTGAGGTCGGGAGTTCGAGACCAGCGAGGCCAACATGGTGAAACCTCGACTCTACTAAAAATACAAAGTTCACTGGGCATTGTGGTGTGTACCTGTAATCTCAACTACTCAGGAGGCTGAGGCAGGAGAATCACTTAAACCTGGGAGACAGAGATTGCAGCGAGCCAAGATCGCACCATTACACTCCAGCCTGGGCAAGAAGAGTGAAACTACATCTAAAAAAAAAAAAAAAAAGGAAAAGGAAAAGAAAAAAAAAATCATGAGGCAACATTGCATTTAACAATATTTTATTTATCAAAAGACACTTGTCTTTCTCAGGTAAGTGAAGGTCTAGAGATGAAACGAGTCCCGATGTAAATTGCCCCATGGGCATTGCTGAGATCACAAGATCATCACTGCAGCATGCAGCACAATAGTAAATTTCTCAGGATGGAAGTTCAACAATCCAAAAGGTAGTATTTTTTTTCATGATGCTCAGTCCATCATACGAAATAAAAATAAATTCCTTTTCATGATCATCCATTCAGTAGAAAAAATGATAGTAAATTTGTTCTCATGAAGATTTTTACCGTAACATATAGGATTTATCGTTATTATTATTATTCTTTGTTTTTTGTTTTTTTGAAGCGGAGTCTCACTCTGTTACCCAGTCTGGAGTGCAGTCGTGCGATCTGGGCACACTATTAACCTCCACCTCCAGGGTTCAAGCATTTCTCCTGCCTCAGCTTCCCGAGTAGCTGGGATTACAGGCATGCGCCACCACACCCGGCTAATTTTCGTATTTTTACTAGAGATGGGGTTTCACCGCATTGGTCGAGCTGGATTTGAGCTCCGGACCTCGGGTCATCCGCCCATCTCAGCCTCCCAAAGTGCTGGGATTACAGGCGTGAGCCACCGCGCCCGGCCTCAATTTATCATTATTCACGCATCCACAAACTGGGTTCTTATATTTTGTACGTGATTTTTTCCATTGAGGAGAGATATCTGTGCATATTCATGCTGCTCATATTTCATCCACAAACTCGGTTCATATTTCATCCACAAACATAATTTTTTCCGTTGAGAAGAGATACTTGTACATATTTATGCTGTTCAAATTCACATTTCATCATTCTTTTACAAGAAATAGATAATGTATTTTAAGGTTTTCCAGTGGTATTACAGATATTTTACTGGGTGTATAGATAGAAATTAAACCAAACTTCTTTGTTCTGGCCGCCAGTCATGCATCCTGTTTTCAACATAGTTCACATACAACTGGTTGTGTAAAAATGAAATTATTTTGTTTAGTACAATCATCAACAGTTGGTTGATTAGATTTTTAATTATCAAGTTAATCATTGTCATTATGCTTCTCATCGCACTCGTCATTAATTGCTGTGGGAGGAAATTTGTTATGTTCCCTATGAGAGGGTGTATCACAAATTCAAATAAGAATTCAACGACAATGGACTGTATAAAGGAAATAAGCAAGTCCATGGAAAACATATTTTTTTCCGGAAAGGATTAAAATATTTTTAAAAAGGAATTAAAAAAAAATTGGGCACGGTGGCAAATGCCTAGAGTCCCAGCTGCTCAGGAGATGGAGACAGAAGGATTGCTTGAGCCCAGGAATAAGTTGGAGGCTGTAGTGAACAGTGATTCCACCACTGTACTCCAGCCAGGGCAATAGAGGGAAACCCTCTTTCTAAAAAGACAAAAAGAAACAAAACAAAACAAAAAAACACCACATCAAAAAACCCAACAACAAAATGAAAAACCAAATAACAGCAATACAATTGGAGCTATTCGATCCAAAGAAGTAAATGAAACATAAAGCAAATAAAAGAGAAAAGCTAATACCTGTGTCCTGCAGGACTCAGTCCAAGTTCTGCTCTGACTCCCTCCTGGTGAGCCACCCCTTAAAAAGTCACTTGGGGCGGGGTTACTTTGACAGACAGTCTTCTGTCAAAGAGGGAGGCGGTAAATAGCACTTTTTTTTTTTTAATTTAACGCCTTTCCAACAAATTAGCGGCTATGTTGTCTAAGAGTGCAAATGTCAGAGGTGGGTACAGGCAGCAAGACCCTCCCCACAGGGGCAGCAGAAGGAGGAATGACTAAGGGAACAAGACTTTAGTGTGCTCAACTACACAGGACAGGAAACAGATGCTTTTTACAAAAGCTGGTGGACTTGAAGGCAGAATATTTTCAAGTTCCTGTAACTGCGAACTATGACCTGTAGCCTGTGAGAGTGACTTTCTGTGGCAAAGGAGCTTTTGTGAATGTGAGGAAGTTAATTATCTTAACAGTGGGAGGTTCTCCCGGCTTATCTAGCTAGACCCTCGTGAAATCCCAAGTGTCCTTAGGAAGGGGAAGCAGAGAGAGATTTGAGTCCAGAAGAGGAAGAAGGTGATGTGAGGCCCAGTAGGGGAACAAAGGGCGATGGCATGTAAACACTTAGCCCCCAGAAGTGGGAGAGGGCTGGGGTTCATCACACCAGAATCCCTAACAATCAGCCTTATTTTAATTACCCTTGAAATGGAAGGAGGCCTTAGAGAGCCAGAGGCTTGGAGGGGCACCCTCTGCTGCATACACAGATCCCAACTGCTGTGGGCTCCAAATAATTGCACCAGGGAAATCACAAATTATCAAAAATAAAGGATGTAAAGCTTTTAAAAAATATTAAAAGCCCAACAAATAAAAAAAGTTCTAAATCTATAAAATTGACCTCAGTCTGTATATTTAGATGAGTCATGTGTATATAGCGTTTCACTTCAAAATATATGATAAATCTCTCATTCATTGGCTTAAAAATAAACACTTCAATCAAGTCTTTATCAGAAAAATTGAAACGTTAACTCAATTGCCTTTTAGTTCATGTGACTTTACAAAACTTAAAACAATAAAGTCAGTTTTAAAAATTATTAGTAAAGTAAAAGAAAAATATCTTCACAATGTAGACATTTTGTCCACATGAGACATGTGAAATATTGCCATTACTAAATATTTGCAGGTCAAAAACTGTTTCCAAAACATTTTAAATAATCATCTGGCCTGTCTGTTTTAGAGCATTCAATTCTAGCTGAGGTCTGGGGACATGTGAAAGGAGCCACGGCCCGACTCCGTGCTGGGAAGAGTCAGACATTTTCCACAGCTCTGTCCTTTGCTGTGGGCTCTGCAACTCCTACCAATTAAAATTGCTTACGTTTTTGTTTTATTTTTACTAAAGAGGGGTTCCTAAAAGCTAACATTATACTGAGTATATGTAACTAAAACTACTAAGAAAACAATTTCACAATTATACAAATGTGCCAAGTAAATGAAAAAATAAACTGTATTTTAATAAAGGTTATAAAAAGAAAAACATATAGTGGTGTGAGGACTGTCTCAGGTCTTCACTGAGCAAGGGATCATGACATTCTATGGCGGACAGCTGACCTTGGCTTTCTGCTCCTCTTGATTATGTCTACTAAGTGACATACTTACTCTTTTTCCACCTGTCTTGCCTCTAAGGGTAACAGGTTTTATGAGATCCCTCCTAGTGCTTTGCAGGTCAGCCTCCCTTTGCTGCATTCCAATTTTACTGCCTATACCCTCCAGCTGGCTTTTGATGACAAAAGTCCTGGTCCCAGCCATTCTCAGATTCTGTCATCCCCGTGGGCACTATGGAGCTCAGCACTATGGGAGGTTCCCCAAAAATCTCGTTTTCTATGAGGAATGGCCACCACCTGCATCTCAGTGATGCTAGTGACCCCTTTCCTACTCCTGTGCTCACTGGTCCTCATGAAGATCCTGGTTGGTCTGTAGCCCCCTATTTTTCCTATTAAAGAGAAATTACAGTAAGACCAATTTGTGTGCAAAATCAATTTTAGGCTTATTACACTTGGCCTGATAATTTGCATAAAATGCAGCAAGAATTCATCGGCCATATAGGCTACTTTTGAGTTAATTTTCCTGGGTTTTTACCTAAAAATATACTATTTTGGTTAGAGTCTTGTGAAAATAACCAATGTGTTCAATTGTTTTATTTTAAAAGGCTCTTACTGAACACTATAAATATGTATAAGTTGAATATACAAACTATATTGTCATAAAATCACAACCCAAAATGTGGAGAACGCAGAGGGAAAGGTAAATTTGCTCGCAAAAACATACTTCACCCAAATAACTGGAAAAAAAAAAAGACTTTCATGACCCTTCTTTAACCAGAGCAGCAGCTTTCAAACAAGATGTTTGCCTTGGAAATGCCATTCACAAGCCAAACGGCCCTTGAGAGCTGTCTGTCAGGCACTGTAGAATCTAGCAGCTCCTCACAGAGTTAGAAATAGTTTCAGGAAAGAGATTCCCTGCTTTTAGTAACTGCACTTTATATTCCCAGATAGCGAGATTGTATGTAAACCATTTTTATCTTATTCTGGAACTCTTTTGGGTACTTTTTTTTTTTTTTTAAATGATGGAGTCTGGCTCTGTTGCTCAGGCTGGGGTGTAGTGGTGCGATTTCAGGGTATGAGAAAATGCAGCTGGACCTGGCTCTTTCCAGGAAGACCCTCACAGCCAAGGAGTCCAAAGCCTGGGGTTTTCATCTAATTCCAGTGTGACTGGGGTAGGAGCAGCTTTGGTGCTGGGTGTGTGTGTGTGTGTGTGTGTGTGTGTGTCTATGCCTGTGTCTGTTTAGGGTGTTAGGCTCGTGGTTGTCTAGATACAAATGTCCCAGGGCTCAGGAGCCCCAGGGTTATGTCAGGGGCACCAGATGAAGGTGTCAACAGAAGTTAGGGCACAAGGGACAAAGGTGAGAGCAAGGTTAGATTCATTTAGGTGCAAGAAATCATAGAGGGAGGAGGGAGAGGAAGGCCTCCTGCTACCACCGAGGAAGAAGCGCAGCTTAAGGCAGAAAGCCTGTCCGGAGAGGAAGTGAGTTTGAGGGCAGGGCTCTCTGGGTAAAGTACGGTCTGGGACACCAGCCTGGGGGAAGGGTACAGAATGCAGAGTGGCCTGGCGTGGGGACTAAGAACAGAGGAGAGCAGCTTTCACTGGGAGGGTCAGTGTTTTCAGTGTCCAGCACTGAGCAAGGTGAGATTTGGGCAGCTTGCTGTGAAATAAGGTCAGGCTCTGGCATTGTCCCCATTGCGTGTGTGTGTGAGGGGCACTTTGGGAGAGTGAACTCTCCACCTCCATCCTCTCATACGTCCTTCAACCGAGCTTGCCAGTTACCCTGATTCCAAGGAGATCTATTTATTGTTGACAATACTGGATCCTAGCAGAGGCTGGGTAGGAGCCTGGGCACAAGCAAGTGGAGGAGGGGGCCTGGGCCTGAAAGACCTGGGAGGTTTGAGAGAGGACACAGCCCACAGAATGGAGCAGATGGGGTAGAGTCGGCAAGCATTCAGGGCTCCTAGTAAGTTGGACAATGGAGACCCTGAAAGATCCAGTAAAACGGGGAGAACAAACAGGTCCCCAACTCACATCCTTGCAGTGCCTGGAGCTTCAGACTCCAGACAGGTGGGGAAGGAAAATTGAGGGATGTGAACATGTTGGAGAATGTCGTGCCCTGAAGAATGAAGAAAAGGGGGGTGAGGAATGAGAGCAGGAACGGCTTCCAGTGCCTGGTGCCCAGGAGAACTCAGAAAATGGGTGTGGTGGAGAGGAATCGAGGAACCGGAAGTGGTGGAAGTGTGCAGGGCCCCTCCGAGATCACTGTGACTGCCAGGCGTCCTCCCTGGCTGGAGAGCTTCACTGTCCTCCTTCCCAGCCAAAATGTGTCCCTTGAAAGCTTCCTCCCCAATGGACTGGTTCTGGGTCCTATATATTTGAAGGGGTGGCCTGCCTCTCCACACCTGTGGGTATTTCTAGTTGGGTGGGAGGAGAGACAGAGAAAAGAAATAAGACACAGAGACAAAGTATAAAGAAACAACAGTGGGTCCAGGGGACCAGCACTCAGCACACCAAGGGCCTGCACCGGCACCGGCCTCTGAGTTTCCTCAGTTTTTATTGATTATTATTTTCATTATTTCAGCAAAAAGGAATGTAGTAGGAGAGCAGGGTGATAATAAGGAGAAGGTCAATGAAAAACATGTGAGCAAAAGAATCTATATCATAATTAAGTTCAAGGGAAAGTACTATGCCTGGACGTGCACTCAGGCCAGATTTATGTTTCTCTCCACCCAAACATCTCAGTGGAGTAAAGAATAACAAGGCAGTATTACTGCAAACATGTCTCACCTCCCGCCACAGGGCAGCTTTTCTCCTATCTCAGAGTTGAACAAATGTACAATTGGGTTTTACACCGAGACATTCAGTTCTGAGGGGCAAGCAGGAGACAGTGGCCTTCCTCCATCTCGACTGCAAGAGGCTTTCCTCTTTTACTAATCCACCTCAGCACAGACCCTTTATGGGTGTTGGGCTGGGGGACAGTCAGGTCCTTCTCATCCCATGAGGCCATATTTCAGACTATCACATGGGGAGAAACCTTGGACAATACCCCGCTTTCAAGGGCAGAGGTCCCTGCGGCTTTCCACAGTGTATTGTGCCCCTGGTTTATTGAGACTAGAGAATGGCAATGACCTTTACCAAGTATACTGCTTGTAAATATTTTGTTAACAAGGCACATCCTGCACAGCCCTAGGTCCCTTAAACCTTGATTTCATACAACACATGTTTTTGTGAGCTCCAAGTTGGGTCAAAGTGGCTGGGTCAAAGTGGCTGGGGCAAAGCTACAAATTAACAACATCTCAGCAAAGCCATTGTTCAAAGTACAGGTCTTTTTCAAAATGGAGTCTCTTATGTCTTTCCTTTCTACATGGACACAGTGACAGTCTGATCTCTCTTTCCTTTCCCTACATATATTCATGGACCACAGTCTTCAAGGAGTCCATTTCCTCACTGTTTTTGGTTTGATTTCTCTGAAATTAGGAAATGCCCCATTGAGGCACCCAGGATTGTCTTTACTTCCCCCAGAGCTTCCACTCCTGAGGCAGGAGCTTCTCAAACACCCCCCAAGACTCAACACCTAATTTCACCCTCTGAAACCTTCCCATTTCTTAAATCCAGGCAGGGTCATGGTCCTTAGCCCCTCAGATGCTGTGGAGACCTTCTTTCCCTTTCATACATTCTCTCAAGATTAAAAGCCACCCCTCCTCAGCACACACCCCAGAGACTCACCCCAACATGCATTGCAAATCACCCTGGAAACAGTCATAAGACCACACTCATTTAATAATATTTTATTTATCAAAAGACACTCTTTCTCAGGTAAGTGAAGTTCTGGAGAGGAAAAGAGGAGTCCTGATGTAAATTGCCCTGCAGGCCTTGCTGAGATCACAAGGAGATTGTTACTGCAGCTTGTAGCACAATAGTAAATTTCTTCTCTGGATGGAAGTTCAACAATCCAGATCGTAGTATATTCCTTTTCATTATGCTCAGTCCAGCAAATGTGATGATAACAAATTCCTTTTCATGATCATCCATTCAGCAGAGAAAATGTTTGTAAATGTGTTTTCATGAAGATGTTTACCATAACATACAGGATTTACCATTATCAATGCATCCACAAACTCTGCTGTTGTTTTTTATACATAATTTTTTCCATCGAGAAGTGATAGTTGTACATATTCATGCTGTTCATATTTCAACCACAAACTCTGCTGGTTTTTTTATACGTAATTTTTTCCATTGAGAAGTGATACTTGTACATATTTGTGCTGTTCATATTTCATGTTTCATCATCCTTTTACAATAAATAGGTTATATTGTATTTTAAGTTTTTCTAACTGTAGTGCAGAAATTGTACTGGGTGTATACATAGATATCAAACCAAATTTACTTGTTCTGGCTGATAATGCATCATTTATTTCATAGATTATGTATTTCTTTGACACATTTCACGTACAACTAATTGCATAAAAATGAATTTTCTTTTAGTATAGACATCAGCATGTGCTTAATTCGGAATTTAATTGTCGAGTTAAACATCGTCATTGCCTTTTCCGTTGTTATTAATTGCTCTGGTGGGAATTTTGTTATCTCATACATAAGACAGTGTGCCACAATATCTCTTAAAATTTCAATGGCAATAAACTTTATATTTAAAAACAGGGAATCTATGGAAAACACATTTTTTTCTAAAGGATTAAAATATTTTTTTAAAATAATTTTCTAAAAAGTTAGGCACGGTAGCAAACGTCTAGAGTCCCAGCTACTCAGGAGGCTGAGACAGGAGGATTGCTTAAGCCTACGAGTTGGGGGCTGCAGTGAACTGTGATTGCACCACTACATTCCAGCCAGGGCAATAGAAGTTAACCCTTTTTCTAAAAAAAAAAAAAAAAGAAAGAAAGAAAGAAAAAAAGCAACAACACCAAAACCTCACCAACAAAATGGTAAAGAAAAAAAAAACAGCAATACAATGTAAGCTATTTGATCCAAAGAAGTCAATGAAATTTAAAACAAATGAAAGGGAAAAAGTAATACTTGAGTCCTGCAGGACTCAGTCCAAGTTCTGCTGTGCCTCCCTCACGGTGAGCCACCCCTTTAGAAGTCACTTGGGTCATAAGTTAACCCGATAGGAAGTGTCCTGGCCAATGAACTAGGGAGGTGGTAAATGGCACCATTTTAAATTTAAATTCACGGCCTTTTCAACGGATCAGTAGCCATGTTGGGTAAGAGTGCAAATGTCAGAGGTGAAAAGAGGCAGCAGGACCCTCCCCTAGTGCTTGGGCAACAGAAGGTGGAATCACTAAGGGGACAAGACTTTAGCATGCTCAAGTACACAGGACAGAAAACATGCTTTTTACAAAAGCTGGTAAATATGAAGAGGGAACATTTTCAAGTTCCTGTAACCAAGAACTACCGCCTGTAACCGGTGAAAGTGACTTTCTATGGCAAAAGCGTTTTTGAAAAGGTGAGGAAGTTAAATATCTTAATGTTGGGAGGTTCTTCTGGTTTATCTGGCTAGACCCTAATGGAATCCCAAGTGTCCTTATGGAGCGGGGAGCAGAGAGAGAGATTTGAGTCCAGACGAGGAAGAAGGTGATGTGAGTCTGGGTGCGGGACAGGGGGAGAATGATGCTATGTGGGGATCTGGGCTGGGGAATGACTTAGCTGCATGAGCGGAGTGACTTAGACTCCTGAACTAGAAGAAATCTAGGGCTCATCACCTCAGCAGCCCTAACCATCAACCTTATTTTTATTACAGGTCTTCCATCGACGGACTCCCTAAAAAGCCAGCGGCGTGGAGGGGCGCCCTCTATTGGACAAATAGATCTTGACTACTTTCGGCCCTCAAATAGCCTGACTAGGCAAATAACAAATAATAATAATTTTTTTTTAAATCATGGAAAATATTTTAAAAAACAATTAAAAAGTTATAAATCTATAAAATCTGCTTCTGTCTGTGTGTCTGTATATTTAGATGTCTCATGTGTACATAATGTTTCACTACCAAAATATATGATGAAACCCTCATTAATCGGCTTAGAAAACTAAACACCTAAATATTTTCTCAGAAAATACAAAAACTTTAACTCAAATCCCTTTTAATTCACCTGACTTTAAAAATCTTTAAAAAATAAAGCATGCTTTAAAATTATTAGTAAAGTAAAATTAGAACATCTTCAGAATTTAGACATTTGGTTTAAATTATACAGGTCAAATACTGCCCTTAGTAAATATTTTCAGGTCATAAACAACTCCTGTAATCTTTTAAATAATTGAATTACATGTCTGTTTTAGAGCTTTAAGTTCTAGCTAAAGCCTGGGGACAAATGAAGGGCACCATGCCCCCTCTCTGTGCTGGAAAGAGACATTTTCTACAGCTCTGACCCTTGCAGTAGGCTTTGCAACTGCTACCTATCAAAATTGCATACATCCTAAGTTTATTATTAAAAGGAGTTGCTTGGAGTTAACATTATAATGAATATATGTAACTAAAACTATTTCTCATACAAAGTATATGAAAAAGTAGAATGTATTTTTAATAAAAAGTTATAAAAAGACATGAACATATAGTTTTTATAAAAAACAGTAATTTTGTCTAGTTTTGCAGTTCTAAAAAGTTATGTTAAATTCAAAAATAAAAAATAACAAGACAAGACTCAAGGTTTAAATAAGTTGTAAAAGATTTGTAAAAATTAGTTCTATAAAAATTTTACAAAAAAAAGCATTGGTTAAAATTTAAGGAATTATTTTGTTTTTAAAGAAATTAAACATTCATTAAAAACACTCTGATACAAGGCCTTAATTTGGGTTCATGTATCAGAATAGCAGGGTTTTCTTAGAATATTAATCTATTCTTTAAAAGAACTATAAATGTTATGCAAACTTTATAAAAATCTTACCTTAGAGTCAAACTGATTAAAATTCCATAGATTTTACGTAAAATTTTATTAAAAATTAACTTCAACAAAAATAAAATTTGATTTTCTCCTTTAAACAAAAGTTTTGCGTAATATTAAATAATAAAGCATTTTTGTTTACCTTTTAAACTATAAACACACACACACATACACATACACCAACACTAAAGTCAGCTGACCTCATACTGTCTTTATTGGATATTCTTGTTTAAAAAACTATCTTCTTTGGAAAATAAAGTTTTTTATTTTAAACCATATTTTAAATTATCATTTTGACTAAATCCATAACATACAGTGATCTGTAATAATTCTATTTTATAATATCAAGTGTTTTGAAGAACTCCAGGAACAGCCATGAGAGAACACTGTGGTTTAGTAACACTTTATTTCCTCAGTTTGAAAATAGTTGTCTTTCTTGGGGAGGCTGGTTTCAGCAGATGAAAACGAGAGTCATGATGAAAATTACCCAGCAGTGGTTAGTGTGACCATAGGAACATTGTCATCAGGTCAGCAGAAAACATATCAGCAAATTTTTCTCATACTGGCAGTGTGTAGGGGTGGATGTTTACAGTTCCTGAAGCCCCAGTGGTCGTGTGGTCTTTTAGTTTTGCCATTTATAGGCAACTTGTGGTAACTAGCTCAATTAGACACATTCCTTATCACAAGGACAGAGGGCTTTCTGTATCCTAGGGTTCTTGCCTTGGCATTCCAGAAGAATCAGGTCACACGTGGACGTGGAGAATGAGTGCAAGGTTTTATTGAGTGGAAGTAGCTCTCAGCAGATGGGGGAGCCAGAAAGGAGATTGGTTTCTCCCTGGATTGGGGCCGTTCAGCAGCCCTGGCTCTCCTCTGACTGCCCCAGGCAAAATCCACATCGTTCTATAAGTCGGTGCCCTGCTGGTGTGCTGGTGCCTGTTGTCATGTTCCTCTTCATGTCCAGCCGCCTGTGTGTTCCTCCGCTGATGTGCTCCTCTCGACGTCAAGCCTCCTGTGTGTCTGACTGCTAGGGTCTTGGGGTTTTTATAAGCACAGGATGGGTCTTAGCAGGCCAGGATGATCTTGGGAAAGACAACATTCGGTCAGGAAAACAAAAATGCCTGTTGTCATCTAGGTCCGTGGGGACAAGCCCAGGTGTGGAGCTTTTAGCCAGGGACCACAGCCTCCTGTATCCAACACTTCCCTTCACCTTTTCTATATCATTCAAAGGGATCATGCCCTTCCCATCCCAGCACTTCACTTTCATGTCATTTGCCCCCTCTGAAGAGGTACATCTAACTGCCATTAGAATATGGATGATGACCAGTCTTAGCTGCTTCCTGCTGAAAGGGGGCATTGTTTTGGGGGAAAACGGCAGTCAGATTCCTCCCAGGGGTCTCTATAATAAAAGATCGAGGTGGCTACTTTCAGGAGGTCCTCTAATGTACTATCTGGTCCCAAGTCCCATTTCTGCAACCTCCTCCTGATGTCAGGAGCTGCCTGAGTAATAATTTTATCCTTTAGGATTATCTGTCCCTCGATTGAATTAGGAGATAGAGAGGTGTGATTTACCAAGGCCTCTCTTAGCCTCTCCAGGAAGGCAGTGGGATTTTCATCAAATCCCTGGTTAATTATGGACAACTTAGTATAATTGAGAGGCTTGGTCTTAGACCTACGTAAGCCCTCTATTATGCACACCTGAAAGTGTCTCCTCTTCCAGTCTTCCATCTCATTATTGGGATCCCATTTAGGGTCCTTCACTGGTGCTACTTCTCTTCCAGTTGGATAATATTCGCTCCCTTCCCTGATGCTATAGGTGATGCAAAGCTCATCCCCAAATCTCTCTGCTGCTGGCAGAGCAGCCTGCTTCTCAGTGTCTATCAGGTTCTGACTCAAAAGTAACATAACGTCTCTCCAGGAGAGTTCAAATGTTAGGGTGAAATTCTGGAAAGCTTCTATATATCTATCAGGGTCATCTGAACACTTGCCCAGATCTCCCTTAATTTGCTTTAAGTCTTGTAGGGAAAAGAGGACTTGGACCTTACTGGGCCCAAATTCACTGGGCATCTGTAGGAGGGGCAAGAGTGAGACTGGGCTTGTTTGGGATGAAGATTTCTAGGAGGGGCCAGGTGAGAGGCTGAAGCTGGATACGGAGGTTGGGGTGGACCCAGAGGAGCAGGGCTTGAGGGAGCTGGCACGTCAGCTGGGGGTGCGTCTGGGACTCGTGTCTTTAATTCCCTGGGCTTGACCCTGGCAGCCTTCCCCGAGACAGCAAACAGGAGGGCTGGAACAATCCTACATGTCAGCAAAGGTCTGGATTGCTTTGCAAGGTATAGAAAGCCTGCACATTTGGGGCCTCAGACCATGTGTCCTCACATCCAGAGAAAAGTTCTAATTGCAGGATGGTATTGAAATGAATGGTCCCTTCCTGAAGCCAAGCCAGTCCTTCCTGTAAACCATAATTTGGCCAAACCTATGTGCGGAGGGCTATGAGATGCTTTTCCTCTGGATTCTGAGGGTCAAAACAGTCCCAATGGTTCAGGATACACTCAAGGGGAGTACAAGCTGGGGGTGGTGAGGAGAACTGGCTGCCCATTCTGAAAGACAGGGAATAGAGGTGTTCCTCATTTCCCTTCCTTCTTTTGGCAAAAAGCTCAGGGTGTGATGGGGAGGGAAAGCAAGCATCTTCACTTCACTTTCCACCTCTTACCCCTGCGCCCTGGCAACCTTGGCAGGTGCCGGCCACAGGTACAAATGCGGTATGTACCCATGAAGCAGGGAGAACCTGGAGATTAGGAATTAACTGCCCTCACCTATGTTTCCTTTTCTCCCTGCTGTTGAAAAACTTTGAGTTCCCTGGGCCTTTTTATCCCATGAGGCATGGCCTCCTTCTGTGGGATGGGGTTCAGTCAGCAGGAATTGGTCCTGTCCATTTACATTGTGCCTGTTGCCTGGCTTTGAATTCCTCAGACCTGCTTTCTCTTTCTAGGGCCTCAGCCTGAAGCTTGGAATTGAGTTTGGGACTGAAAAAGCATTTCAGAGGCTGTTTATATCCATTTAGTGCCTCAAATAAGCCCTGCTGAATTTGCAATTATCAGCCAGCAGGGGTCACTCCTCTGTTAACTTCCCTATTAGAAACAGAGCGGTGGGGATTCTCACTTAGAAAAGAAAAAAAGAGAAAAACAGTTAAAGAGGCAAAAAGTGGGGAATGCTGGGGGAAGAACCCCTTGCTTAGTGCAAGTGGGCCCCTCTAATCCTTATAACTTTCCCATCCTTCCCCCAGTTCAGACCAGGTTGAATTCCTTGGCCATGGAAGGAAAGGTTCCATTGATGCAGTGGGTGAGAAGCACTCTGTAGGGTCCTGGCTACCATCGGTTTTCTCACACCCCCCTCATCCCAGGCAGTGGAGGGAGACACTTCTGCGACATTGCTCCCCCTGCCCCTTCATGGCTATTGGGTGTGGCCTTTGCCTGCTGCAGGCATGCCTAGGTGCTGGAGCTGGGAGGGAAAAGGGTAAGGAGAGGTGCCCTGGAAGCCGCTCATGCCTGGGGCTGTCAAGGTGGAGGCATACATGGCACCTCTAGGAAAAATTGGTCTGATTTGCACCTTTGGCGGCTGAGCCAAATGCTCATTTTACTTAGTAACATTGCCTCAGCCTGTAGCAAAACTCTTAACATTATAAAGGAAGAGATAAGATCCATTTCAAATAATGTGTGAGAGAGAAAAGAGATGAAAGGAAAACAGAGTCTTTTACCTGCAGGAAAGGGAGAGAAGTGGCAGAGTTTTGGAAGAAAGGCAGGCCCAACAGTTTCCCATTCACTCACACTCACCTTCCGAGATCCCAGACGAGCCACCAGTTGAAATGGGAAAAGTTTCCTTGTCCCCCTCACAGGAGGTGGAGTGGGGGTGTGGCTTGCTTCTTTAGTACTCCGCTGCTCAAACCTCTAGGGAAGCATACAGACTGGCAAGTTGTGGGGCTACAACCCCATGGCAGCATCTAGGGGTAGATGTTTACAGCTGCTGAAGCCCCAGTGGACATGTGGTACCATGTGCTCTTTTAGTTTTGCCATCTATAGGTGGCTTTGTGGTAACCAGCTCAATTAGACCCATTCCTTAACCCAAAGACAGAGGGCTTTCTGTATCCCGCGGTTGTTACCTAGGTGTACCAGAAAAATCAAATCACACGTGGTCTTGGAGAATGAGTGCAAGGTTTTATTGAGTGGAAGTAGCTCTCAGCAGATGGGGGAGCCAAAAGGGAGAATAGTTTTCCCCTGAAGTCGGGTTATTCAGCGGCCCAGGCTCTCCTCTGGCTGCCCCAGCCAAACTCTATGTCAATCCATTGGTCGGTGGCCTGCCAGAGTGCTGGTGCCTGTTGGTGGATTCCTCTCAGCGTCGAGAGTTTTTCCCTCTCAGGAAAGGGAGAGAAGTGGCAGCCACCCATGTGTTCTTGCACTGATGTGCTCCTCTCGACGTCCAACCTCCTGTGTGTCTGCCTGCTAGGGTCCCAGGGTTTTTTTAGGCACAGGATAGGGCATGGTGGGCCAGGGTGATCTTGGGAAATGCAACATTTGGTCAGGAAAACAAAAATGCCTGTCCTCATCTAGGTCCAGGGGCACAAGCCCAGGTTTGGAGCCCTAGCCAGGGACCCCGGCCTCCTCTACCCATCACTTTCCTTCACCTTTTCTGTATCATTCAAAGGGACCATGCCCTTCCCTTCCCAGCACTTCTCTTCTGTATCAATAGGTGATGTTTTTAAAATTTCCCAACTCTAGTGCAGGCATGGTACTAGACATATACATAGAAATAAAACCACACTTATTCTTCTGGCTGGCAAGACATAGTATTTTTGCCAAATTATGTGTTGTTTTGAAGCATTTTATGTACCCCTGGTCATATAAAAATAAAGCTATTTTGTTCAGTACAAACAGCAGCATTTTCTGGATTAGAAAGTTAATCATCTTAAAAGATCATCACGGATTTTTCCATTGCACTCATCACTAATTGCTTTGGCAAAAAATTTCTTATCTCACGCATGACAAAATCAGCCGCAGTATCTCCTAGTAATTTAATGGTGATGATCTTTATAAAGGAAATAAGCACATCAAGGGAAAACATAATTTTTTTAAAAAAAAGAGTAATAAAACTTTTTAAAAGTCTTTTTTAAAAGACTGCTTTTCTAAAATAGTAAAATAAAACTCCACCAATAAAACCACCAACAAAACAGAAAAGAAAAAATAATGATATGATCGGAGCTATTTGATGAAAGATGGTAAATTAAATTTAAAATGATTAGAAGAGAAAAAGCAATACCTGTCTCCCGTAGGTCTCAGTCCAGGTTCTGCTATGCCTTTCTCCTGGTGAGCCACCTATTTAAGAGTCGCTTAAAGCATATGTTAATCCAACAACAGCAGATTAAAAACCAATGCAATCTGAACTATTTGATCTAAAAACATAAATAAAATTTAAAACAAATAAAAGAGAAAAAGCAGTACCTGTGTCCTGTAGGTCTCAGTCCAAGATCTGCTCTGACTCCCTTGTGGTGAGTTAGCCCTTTAGAAGTCACTTGGGGTGGGGCATATGTTAATTCCACTAACATTGGTTCTGGCCAATGAGTCAGGAAGGTGGTAAATGGCACCTTTTCTTCTTGCTGATTTCTTTCAGTTCCTTTGGAGTCTGGACATTAGTCCTTTGTCAGATGCCTAGTTTGTGACTACTGTTTCCTATACTGTGGGTTGTGTGTTTACCCTGCTGATATTTCTTCTGCCTTGCAGAAGATTTTCGGTTTCATTAGGTCCTATTGATCTTATTCTATTTTTATATTTTTGCGTTTGCTTTTGGGGCATTAGTCATGACTACTTGGCCTAAGCCAATGTCTAGAAAAGCTTTTTGGATGCTATCTTGTAGCATTTTTAGACTTTCAGGTCTTAGATGGAAGTTTTTATATGCTTTGTTAAAGATCAGGTGACTGAAAGTACCGGGCTTTGTTTCTCGGTTCTCTATTCTGTTCCATTGCTCTATGTGCCTATTTTTATACTTCCTGCACCATTTATTGAATAAAGTGTCCTTTCCCCAATTAGTGTTTTTGCATACTTTGTTGAAGATTAGTTGTCTGTAAGCATTTGGCTTTATTTCTGGGTTCTCTATTCTGTTCCATTGCTCTATGTGCCTATTTTTATACTTCCTGCACCATTTATTGAATAAAGTATCCTTTCCCCAATTAATGTTTTTGTGTACTTTGTTGAAGATTAGTTGTCTGTAAGCATTTGGCTTTATTTCTGGGTTCTCTATTCTGTTCTATTGCTCTATGTGCATATTTTATACCAGTATCATGCTATTTTGGTGATTGTAGCCTTGTAGTATAATTTAAAGCCTGCCTTCAGATTTGTTCTTTTTGCAAAGTATTGCTTTGGATATGCGGTCACGTTTTTGGTTTTGTATAAATTTTAGGATTCTTTTTTCTAGTTCTGGGAAGGAGAATGATGATATTTTGATGAGAATTCTACTGCTCTGTAGATGGCTTTGGAGAGTATGGTCACTTTCACAATATTGATTCTACCTATTCATAAGCTTATAATGTGTTCCCATTTGTTTGTGTCAACTGTGATTTCTTTCAGCACTATTTTGTAGTTTTCCTTGTAGGAAACTTACATTAACCTACTTGGTTAAGTATATTTCTAAGTATTTTACTTATTAAAAATTCTCAGGGAAATGCAAAGTAAAACTGAGGTGGGAAATTAAAGAAAAATAAAATTAAAAAGAAAGGGAAATAAGCTTTCTTGTATTAAGCTAACTTGTCCCAGAGGCAGCAACAGGCACAGCCCAGACCCAGGAAAAGTCTTGATAATATTATTTATTGTATTCTGGAGACTCTTCCAGCACTCCTTCAATGTAGGGAGAAGAAAAACAAATTTTCCTTTGTTTTATGGTATGAGTTTATAGATTCTTGTTCTCTTTAACTAGTAACTTCAAGTATTCTGTTTTATCTAAGAAGTATGGCAAAGGTCATGAGAAGCCTGAGCAGGCCTGAACTACAGCTCTCTAGGCACCATAGTGAAGATAAACCAATGCAAGCCTCTTTAGAGCAAAACCTAGATAATAGACATCTGGGTTGCATAGCAACAGTTATGTGCAATCCTGAGTTATGAACCTGTTACAATTTGATTAACTGTCTTTTTCCTGCCTCTGTATCCCTGCTTTCACACCACTGTAAGCTTGCTTCAAGCTGGCCCACCCCCTTTTGTGAAGTGTGTATAAAAGTCAAGTGCTGTCTTTGTTCCAGGCCCTGTCTTTGGACGTGAGTCTGCTGGGCCTGAGAGCACTCAATAAAAGATTCTCCTGTTTTAACCCAAAGCCTCTCTCTCATCCTCCTAAATCCCACAACAAAACCACAATGAGATGCTATCTTAATCTTGCTAGAAGCCCATAATTTAAAAGTCAGAAAACAATAGATGTTGGCATAGATGTGGTCAAAAGGGAGCACTTTGACACTGCTAGTGGGAATTTAAACTAGTCCGACCACTATGGTAAACAGTATGGGGATTCCTTAAAGAACTAAAAGTAGACCATTCATTCCAGCAATCCCATTACTGGCTATCTACCCAAAGGAAAAGAAGTTATTCCATAAAAAAGACACAAGAATATGGATGTTTATAGCAGCCGATTCGCAATTGCAGTGATATGGGACCAACTTAAGTGCCCATCAACGAACGAGTGGATAAAGCAAATGTGGTACACCATGGAATAATACTTGATAATAAAAAGGAACAAAATAATGTCCTTTGCAACAAGTTGGATGGAACTGGAAGCCATTATTCTAAGTGAAGTAACTGAGGAATGGCAAATCAAATATTGAATGTTTTCACTTTTAAATGAGAGTTAAGCTATGAGAATGCAAAGGCATAAGAATGATATAATGGACTTGGGGACTCGGGGAAAGGTTGGGAGGGGGATGAGGAATAAATGATGACATATTGGGTATATTATACACTGCTCAGGAGACAGATGCCTCAAAATCTCAGAAATTACCACTAAGGAACTTTTATCCACATAACCAAAAACCACATATATTCCACACACTATTGAAAGAAACATAAACATTATTTTAAAAAATAAAGCCACTTTTAAAATTAGCAAAATAAAATAAATATGTCTTCAGAGTTTAGATATTGGATCCAAATTAGACAGATCAAATACTGCCTTTACTAAATATTTTCATGTCATTAACAACTTCTAAAACCTTTCAAACAGTTTTTTGACATGTCTTGGAACCATCCATTTCTAGCTAAGGCCTGGGCACCTGTGAAATAGGGCCATGCCCCCCCTTATACTGGGAAGAGTAAGATATTTCAAGACTAAGATGTTTTCTACAGCTCCATCTTTTTCTTTAAGCTCTACATCAAGGACATAATTAAAATTGGTTGTCTCCTAAGTGGTTTACTAAAAATGCATACTTAAGAGTTACCATTATAATTAATATTTGTATCTAAAGCTACTTAAAAATTTTCACACACAAATCTGACTGAACAAGTAAAATATATTTTAAGTCAAAGTTTATAAAAGGACATGAGAACATAGCTTTTATGAAAAAATTAGTTTTGTCAAGTTTAGAGGTTTTCAAATATTTTAAATTCAGGAAATAAAATAACAAAAAGACAAAAGAAAATGGTTGAACAACTTAGAAAAGGTTTGTTAAAATTCATCTTATAAAACAATCTACATGTAAAAAGTGGGCTAAAATTTGAAAGAGATTATTTAGGTTTTCCATAAATTAATCCAGAAGGGGTAGGAAGTCTTAAGAATGAGGAAGGACAGGAGGAAGGGGAGGTCATCCTGACACTGCAGAGGCAGAAGTGCAGCTGAAGGTATGAAGGCTAAGAGGGGAGGGGAGTTTGAGTGCTGCTGCCTGGCTGTCAGAGCAGAGGAGGGTCCTGGGCACCAGACTTGAGGAAGGGATGAAAATGCTGGGCAGACCTGTAGTGGGCCCTTGAGATGGCAGATAGTGGTTTCCAGAGAGAGGGCCATTGTTTTCCAGTGCCCAGCACTGAGCAGAGAGAGTTTTGGGCAGTGTAAAAAAAAAAAGAGAACTTACCTCTTTCTCGTTTTAGAAAAAGAACAGTCTAAGAATATCAGCAGGGAAACTCTCAGTGCTTCAAGGGGTTAAACGCCCTTTTGGCTTTCTTGTGTTGGTTTCATCATAGAGGAGGAGAAACTTCTTGGAAGTGTTCCTAAAAACACAACACGTCTGCTTCTCCTTTCAAAAAAGGAAGTGCTAAAACACGAACACTCTAGATCCAAATATTAATACGGATGTCTAAATGCTTCCGTTTTCCAAGGGGCAGAAAGCTAAAGGTTGTAACCTATTCATTTCAGTCAAAGTTGGTGAAAGGGAAGCAAAGGAACTGGGTGGGGCTTGGAAGGATGACGAAGCTCAAGCTCATTGGCCAGCAACCTCTCTCCTGGGGGCGGGAGGGGTGAGCATACGTCACTGCTTTGGCTTCTATAAAATGAGGAGGACTCACCGAGTGTGAAGAGTCCTTCTGGTGATTGCAGCTGAGAGCACACTCACGACGTTCTGCAAGGATTCTCTGATTATGATTCTGAAGGGAAAAGCGATGGAATGGACAGCAGAGATTGTAATTTTCTTTATCTTGAATTACGGAAGAAAGTATCTAGGACAGAAATCCACGACAAGTCCTTGGAACCAGCAGATCTCTTCGTTCACGGAGACGTTGACGTATTCTCTATTGAAGAAGATTCTTACCTTCTTACTGGACAAGGTTTTGTCAGTTCTGCGTGACTGGATTGTCCGGGAGACTCTGAGGAAACTGATGTCACATGTTTTTCCAAAGAAGATGTTTCTGGAACCAACAACTGTGATTGTGGTTTGAGGACTTCTGAGAGTTCCAGTACAGGAAATAAGCAGAACATCAGCTGGAGGCTAAACGGATCCAGACTTCACTCTTCACTTCCCTTCCTATTCAGTCTATTGTGCCTGCTGACTGAGAAGCTTGGCTGGTATGTGAGCAAATAAACGGAACTATTCAGAAGGAGATGTTGACATATTCTGTATTGAAGAAGATCCTTATCTTCTCACCTGACAAGGTTTTGTCAGTTCTGTGTGACTGGATTGTCCGGAAGACTCTGAGGAAACTGATGTCACATGTTTTTCCAAAGAAGATGTTTCTGGAACCAACAACTGTGATTGTGGTTTGAGGACGCCTGGGAGTTCCGGTATGCGAAATAAGCAGAACATCAGCTGGCGGCTGAAGGGATGCAGCCTCCACTCTTCACTTCCCTTGCCATTCCATCTATTGTGTCTGCCTGACTGAGAAGCTTGGCTGGTATGTGAGGAAATAAACGGAATTATAAACAAGGAGATTGTTTCTCATCTACTTCATTCTGTTGTGGCTTTTCTATTTTGGGGTTCAGGGTGTGTGACAAGGACCAAGGAGATGAAAGGTTTCATGATGGAGAAAGCCCAGGCAATCAGATTGAAGAGCTATCCACAGGGAATCTTGGCTGCTGAGGGGCTGCACCCTGCAACGGACTGACCATATGACAGAAAAGGGTTTTAAAGGCTCAACTTCTGGACTGAGAACCCAGAGTAATTTGGGAACCTCCTCTGTGAGGAGATATGAAAGCTGGGAATCATGACATCCCTAGGAATGGAAGGCACATTTCCTGATGGAAGGGGTGCTTTGGAAAACAGGAGCAGAGTAGACACAGCAGCCTTGTGGATACGGGTGGGCAGCATGCATGGGTGATGTGAACGTGGAGTGTTTGTGATCGAAACTCAAAATGTCTGACAAAGTGAAAACCTAGAAACCACAATGAGGAGGAAGAGTTTGTGAGGGCAATCACTCTCCCCATGTGTGAAAATCGGGGGCTCTTAAAATCTCATCTGGAGAGGTGCAGTCTACCAAACTCTGGGACTTTAGCCTCCCCTTTTAAAAAACCGTGCATCAATACCAACGTCCGAAACCACAGAAATAACACCTGGCTTGCATGGAGACAAGGACAAAAAGCCGTCATGATGAGTTGTTCTGCTCACTTGCTGCCTCTGTTCAGTGCACAGGATATTGTCCACCCACTAGCAGGCTACTGCAAGAGAAGTGTGCAATATGTTCCCTATGTGCCATATATGTGCCATATGGCCCATATGACAACTGAGTCAGAAAATATCTGATGCCCTCAGAGTTACACTCCACCTGGAGCTTGCCCCCAGCCATCCAGGACCTAGGCTCCCTACCCTGTCCAATTTTCTGGTGTTTTGGGGGCTTCATTCTCTAAGGTGTGCCCACTCTTTACTCAAACCAAAACACCCACATATTCCTGCCCATGAACAACCAATCAACCACTTCTCAGTTCCACATCCTGCTGTTGGGTCTCTAGTGGTGACACTGTAACTCCCAGGTCATAGTGGTGACACTATAACACCTAGCTAAATTGATGCCTTGTCTCTAGGAGGCCATGGGCTCCTGCAGGTCTCATCTGACTCTCTGTAGCCTTCCCTGACAATGCTCACAATACCCAAGCCAGAGCCACATTGACAGCAAGCTGCTCTCATCTTACCTTTGCCAGACCTGGCCACTGGAAAAGGCTGACCCTCATCCTGCAATGCCTATACCTCCAACCTTTGTCTCAAGCTGGTGTCCTGGAGGGACTTCTAAGCAGAAAACAGATTCAGACTCCCATCCTCTCCTGAATGGCCTCATATCCAATTCTCAGACCCTCAGCCCTCATTGTAAGGACACTTCATCCATGCCCTTGAGTATTCTGTCTGCACTGTGTATTCTGCAATAGATTCTCCTCCCTCTGCGACCCTCAACTCCTTCCGCAGACTTTTTGTTTTCTTGATCATCTACCATAGTCTTCCACTGGGACACTGCCAAGCCCATTCTGGAGAGTGAGTTGTGCAAGTACACTGCCCCCCATCTACCTTTCGGGAGGTGTATACACCCTTCTTTCTCCCAGGTCTGGAGGCTTTCTATTTTCATCCTGAGGCATCTCCACCTGCTCTTGGATTCTTCAAATTGACAACCACCAGTTAACAAGAACTATGTGTCACCAAATAGCCAAACAATGGCAATTACAAAAATAAAATTAATAGCTGTAACCCCCATTAGCAAGGATACACAAATCAAATCAGGGATAGTGGGTGAGGAAGTCTGCCTAACATTCAAGGAAGGATTCTGAAGTGATACAAAATCATTGCCTTTGCTATCTTTAGAATGGACACTTTCAGCCAGGCACAGTTGCTCAGCCTGTAATCCCAGCACTTTGAGAGCCCCAGTTGGGTGGATCACTTGAGGCCAGCAGCTTGAGACCACCCTGGGCAATGTGCAGAAACCCCAACTCTACTAAAAATACAAAAATAGCCAGTTATTGTGGCACATGCCTGTAATCCCAACTCCTTGGGAGGCTGAGGCACAAGAATCACTTGAATCTGGGAGCCAGAGTTTGTAATGAGCGAAGATCATGCCACTGCACTCTAGCCTAGGCATTAGAGTGATAATCTGTCTGTGGAAAATAAAAACATTCCTCTTCAAAGTTTTCTTCTTTAAATCATAAATGTTGGAATTAATATATCCTCTTTGAAACTCACTTTCTTCAAGCTTCTTTATTTGATGGTAGTAAATCTTTGTTAAGCTTTATGAGGCAAGAGTAATGGAAGAAGCATATTATATATATTTATACTCTAACCTCAGTGCTTGTTCTAGCAAGCTCAGGCATGCGTGAATGTGCCCAGGCATGTTCCAGCCCATACCTTATATCCTTTCCTTATTGGGAAATGCTGTTACTCCTATAAGCATTCTTGTAAGCAACTTCCTCTTTTTCTTTGTCTCCACTATCTTTACCTATTGAGGACAGTTTTAGGTTCTTAGCCAGTTGGATGTAGCATAGACTGTGAGGTCCAACCCCAGCCAATGGAGATAGCACACAGCAGTAGCGACCTCATGCTTAACAGATAAATATTCCTGTCTCCCTTTGTTTGGGGTGCTCTCAGCTGATGAGCAACACCCTTTCTAAAGAAATTAAAGTTGTCTTGCTGAGAAAACTTTTGGTCTAAATGCTGATTCTTCCTTGCAGCACTGAAGAAGAAGCAATTATTTCCAACACTTTCTCATACACAAAAAAAGAAGAAGGTGGAAGAAAACTTTCTTGTGCACCCTATCCCTCACTCAGAAAGACAACAGAAGGCTCCTAGTGGCAAGCCCTAGAGGATTCATTTCTTTTGGGAACCCTCTTGGCTGGGATACTAGGACTCAGGTCAAACTCAGCATTTTCAGTGTGTGGGAAGTGTGCTTGGGTTTCACTGTTACTTCCAATAATGTGATTTGGTCCTTGGGGTTCACCAAATTTTGGTATGGAGTGGTGAACCCTGTTAAGTTTAAGTGTCTATAAAATTAACAAAGCAAAATAACCATTCTGCCCCATGGTTCAGAGACCAAATATTGTGTAGGAAATGCTTTAGCGAGAGAAACAGAGAAGAATAAAAAATGTCCTCAAGCGCTGCATTATTTCTTGTTATCGTCCAGATCTTAGAGGAAAGGCTTTCATTTTTCCTCATTCAGTATGATATTAGCTGTGCATCTGTCATTTATGGCTTTTATTATGTTGGGGTATGTTCCCTGTGTATGTAGTTTTTTCAGGGTTTTTGTTATGAAGTGATGTTGAACTTTATCAAACGTTTTTCAGTTTCAGTTGAAACGATCATATGCTTTTTGTCCTTCATTCTCTTGATATGATGTATCATGTTGATGATTTCCATATGGTGCACTGTCCTTGCATCCTGGGCATGAATTCCACTTGATCATGACAAATGAATTTTTAATGCATTCTTGAATTCCGTTTGCTGGTATTTTGTTGAGGATTTTTGCATCAATATTCATCAGAGATATTGGCCTGCAGTTTCTTTTTTTTTCTTTTTTCTTTGTTTTGTTGTTTGTTTGTTTGTTTGTTTTGATGTGTCTATGTCTGGTTTTGGTATCTGGGTAGTAGTGTTCCATCCCCTTTTATTTTTTAGAATAATTTGAATAAGACTGGTGTTGGTTCTTTAAATATTTGGTAGAATTCCGAAGTGAAGTCATTGGGCCCCGGGCTTTTCTTTAGTGGAAGGCTGTTTATTATGGCTTCAATCTCGTTACTTGTTATTGGTCTATTCATGTTTTGAATTTGTTCCTTATTTAATCTTGGTAGGCTGTGTGTATCTAGGAATTTGTCCATTTCTTTTAGATTTTCAAATTTATTGGCACATAATTGCCCATTGTAGCCTCTAATCGTCATTTGAGTTCCTGCAGTACCAATTATAATGTCTCCTTCTTCATTTTTGATTGTATTTATTTGGATCCTGCCCCTTTTTTTCTTACTTAGGCTGCCTAATAATTTCTTAATTTTGTTGAACTTTTTCTTTTGTTTGTCTCGCTCTGCCACCAGGCTGGAGTGTAGTGGTGTGATCTTGGCTCACTGGAACCTCCGTCTCCCAGGTTCAAGCAATTCTCCTGCCTCACCCTCCCAAATAGCTGGGACTACAGGCAAGTGCCACCACTCCCAGCTAATTTTTGTATTTTTAGTAGACACGGGTTTTCACCATGTTGGCCAGGATGGTCTCGATCTCTTGACTTCATAATCCACCTGCCTCAGCCTCCCAAAGTGCTGGGATTACAGGCATGAGCCACTGCGCCCAGCCTAATTTTGTTTAAATTTTCAAGAAATCAACTTCTTCTTTCATTGATTTCTGTATTTTTTATTTCCATTTTATTTATTTAAACTCTAAGCTTTATTCTATCTTCTTCTCATTTTAGCTTTGGTATGCTTATTGCCTCTCTAGCTCTTTAATGTGCATTGTTAGATTGTTTATTTGAAGTTCTTCCTCTCTACACCATAAGACGTAAGCATGTCCTCATTATGTCATAAGATGTAACCACTTACAGCTATAAACTTCCTTCTTAGTTCTGCTTTTGCTGTATCTCATAGGCTTTGTTATGTTGTGTTTCCATTATCAATTGTGTCAGAAATTTTTCAATATTTTTCTTAATTTCTTCATTGAGCAACTGATCATTTGGGAGCATATTTTTAAACTTCCATGTACTTACATAGTTTCCAAAATACCTCTTGTGATCAATTTCTAGTTTTATTCCACTATGGTTCAAGAAGATGCTTGATATTATTTCAATTTTTTTTCACATTTTAAGATGTGTTTTGTGACCTAACATATGGTCTACTTTTTTTTTTTATTAAACTTTAAGTTGTGGGGTACATGTGTAGACCGTGCAGTTTTGTTACATAGGTATACACGTGCCATGGTGGTTTGCTGCTCCCATTAACCTGTCATCTACATTAGGTACTTCTCATAATGCTATCCCTCCCCTAACCTCCACCCTCTGACAGGACCTGGTGTGTGATGTTCCCCTCCCTGTGTCCATGTGATCTATTTTTGAGAATGATCCATGTGGATTAGAATGCTGTGGAAAAGACTTTGGATTCCTAATATCCAGGGAGGGAGACGATGATATTACTTTCAATATCACACGGGTGTACACACTCTCTGTGACATTGTTCCTAATATCCAGTGGAAGAGAGGATGATATAACACCCAGGGAGGGAGAGGATGATATTACTCTTAATATTGCAGGGTGTGTACCCATGCCTATGATATTGTTCCTAATATCAGGAGGGGGAGAGGATGATATTACTCAGAATATGGCAGGGGGTGTACACACACTCTGTGACATGGTTCTTAATATACAGGGGAGAATGGGACAATATTACTCTCAATATCGCAGGGGGCGTACAACCCTGTGATTTGTTCCTAATATACAAAAGGGGACAGTATGATATTGTTCCTAAAATCGCAGAAGGAGTACAACGCCCTGTGATATTGTTCCTAATATCCAGGGCGGGAGAGGATGATATTACCCCCAATATCACAGGGGGTGTGCACTTTCCCTGTTACATTGTTCCTATGATCCGAGTGGGGGGAAATGACATTAGTCCCAATATCGCAGGATGTGTACACTACTCCCCCATGATATTGTTCCTAATATCAAGGGGGAGAGAGGAGGATATTACTCCCAATATCGCAAGGGAGGTACATCCTCCATGCAATATTGTTCGTAATATTCAGGAGGAGAGAGGAAGATATTACTCTCAATATCGCAGAAAGTGGACACCCACCCTGTGATGTTCTTCATAATATCCAGGGAAGCAGACGATTATATGACTTTCAATATCGCTGGGAGTGTACATCCCTTTTGGGATATTGTTTCTAATATCCAGGAAGGGAGAGGATTATATTACTTCCAGTATTGCAGCCAGTGTACACATTTCTTGTGATATTGTTCCTAATATCCAGAAAGGGAAAGGATGATATTACTCCCAATATTGCAGGTGGTGTACACCCCCCTCTGATATTGTTCCTTACATCAAGGAAAAGAAAGAAGAATATTACTCCCAATATCGAAGAGAGTGTACACCCCTCCTGTGATATTGTATTTAATATCCATGGGGAAAGAGGATGTTGTTACTCCCAATATCGCAGGGGGTTTACACCCACACTGTGATATTGTTCCTAAAATCCAGTGAAGGAGAAAATAATATTGCTCCCAATATTGCAGGGTGTATACAGGCCCTCCCCCGTTATATTGCTCCTAATATCCAGCGGTGGAGAGGATATTACTTTCAATTTTTGCAGGGAGTGTGTACCCCCTCTCTGATATTTTTCTAATATCAAGGATGGGAAAGGATGCCATTACTCCCAATATCGCAGGAGGTGTACATGCCCTGTGATATTGTTCCTAATATCCAGGGAGGTAGAGGATGATATTACTTTCAATATTGCAGGGGCTGTACACCCTCTATGATGTTGTTATTAATATTTAGGTTGGGAGAAAATGATATTTTTCCTAATATCCTGGGAAGGAAAGGATGATATTACTGTAAATATTCCAGGGAGTGTACACCTTCCTAATATTCTAATATTGTTCCTAATATCCAGGGGTGGGAGAGGATTATATTACTCCCAATATCGCAGTGGGTGTACACCCCTCCTGTGATGTTGTTTCTAATATCCAAGCGAGGAGAAAATGATATCACTCTCAATACCGCAGGGGGTGTACACCTTCCCCATCATATCGTTCCTAATATTCAGAGGGAAAGAAGATGATGTTACTTTCAATATCGCAGGGGTTGTACACAACCCCTGTGATATTTCTCCTAATATCCAGGAAGAAAGAGGATGATATTGCTCCCATTATAGCAGACGGTATACGCCTCCCTGTAACATTGTTTCTAATATCAAGACTGGGAGAGGATGATATCACTTCCAGTATCGCAAGGGGTGTACACCTCCCCCGTGATATTGTTACTAATATCCAGGGGGAAGAGGATAATATTACTTTCAATATTGCAGGGGCTGTACACCCCCGTGATATTGTTGTTAATATTTAGGTTGGGAGAAAATGATATTAGTCCAAATATCGCAGAGAGTGTACACACTTCCGATAATATTGTTCTTAATATCCATGGGGGAGACGATGATATTACACCCAATATCGCAGGGGGTGTAGTCTCCCCTTGTGATATTGTCCCTAATATTCAGGGAAGTAAACGATGATGTTAGTGTGAATATTCCAGGGAGTGTACACCCCCTTTGTGATATTGTCCTAATATCCGCAGGAGAGAAGATAATATTACTCCCAATATCGCAGGGGGTGAACACACCCCCTGTGATATTGTTTCTAATATCCAAGCGAGGAGAAAATAATATTACTCCCAATGTCTCAGGGGATATACACCTTCCCTATGATATTGTTTCTAATATTCAGGTGGAAAACGGGTGATATTACTCCTAATATCCAGGAAGAAAGGGGATTATGTTACTCCCCTTATAGCAGGGGGTATACACCTCCCCTGTAATATTGTTCCTAATATCAAGGCTGGGATATACGTGGGGGGAAGGATGATATTACTCCCAATATCACAGGGGTTATAAAACCTTCTGTGATATTGCTCCTAATAACCATGGCGGAAGAAGATGATATTACTCCTAATATTGCAGGAGGTGTACACTCCCCCATTATGTTGTTCCTAGTATGCAGAAAAGGAGAGGATGACATTATTGCCAATATCGCAGGGTGTGTACACCACCCATGATATTGTTCCTAATATTTAGAGGGACAGAGGATGATATTACTCCCAATATCGCAGGGGGTGTACACGCATCCCCTGTGATATTGTTCTTGAAATCGAGGGGAAAGAGAATTATATTTCTCTAAATATTGCAGAGGGTGTACACCGCCCCCTGTGATATTGTTCCTAATAGCCGGGGGCGGGGGGAGATAATTAAATTACTTTCAATATCTCAGAGAGTGTACATCCCCCTTGTGACATTGTTCCTAATATCCAGAGCAAAAGAGAATGATATTCCTCCCAGTATCGCAGGAAGTGTACATTTAACCTGTAATATTGTTTCTAATATCCAGGGGGAAGAGAATAGTAATACTCCCAATATCGTAGGGGTTGTACACCTTTTCTGTGATATTGTTGCAAATATTTAGAAGAGAGAGAGAATATTACTCGCAATATCACAGGGAATGTATACTTCCCCTGTGATATTGTTCTAATATCTAGAAAAAGAGAGGATAATATTACTCCTAATATTGCAGGGGGTGTACACCCCCACTTGTGATATTGTTCCTAATATAAAGGAAGGTCGAAAAACAAACGGGGAGCCCAGGGGGAAGGAAGGCAGGCGAGGAAGAGGCAGCGCCGGGGCGCCGGAGGGAGCAGCCGGGCCGCGGAAGCGCGAGCACGAGACCGGTCGCGGTCGCAGTCGCATTTTTGCCGTTGTCGCGGCCGCCGCCGCCGAGGCTTACCCGGGGATGTCTGAGCCCGCGCCTCGCGGCCCCCAAGCTCCACGCTGCGCCCGCTGTCCCGGCCTCTAAGGGCCGCCACGTCCCTGCGGCGCGCGCAGGCAGAAAGCGGCTTCGTGCCGGCGGAGGGGGCCCGGGCGGGCCGGGAAAGGCTGCCCCAGGCCCCGCGCCTACCCCATCACCGCGGCCGGCGCCGGGCCGGGAGGATGAGCGGTGTGGGGCTCTGAAGCATGGAGGGGGTTTTGTACAAGTGGACCAACTATCTCACAGGTTGGCAGCCTCGTTGGTTTGTTTTAGATAATGGAATCTTATCCTATTATGATTCACAAGATGATGTTTGCAAAGGGAGCAAAGGAAGCATAAAGATGGCAGTTTGTGAAATTAAAGGTGACAGCTTTGGAGGGGACCACCCTTGATTGGATACATAAATTCTGTTCATTCAGCAGACAACACAAGAATGGAATTAATCATTCCTGGAGAGCAGCATTTCTACATGAAGGCAGTGAACGCAGCTGAAAGACAGAGGTGGCTGGTCGCTCTGGGGAGCTCCAAAGCATGTTTGACTGATACAAGGACTAAAAACGAAAAAGAAAGAAGTGAAACCAGTGAATCGCTGAAAACCAAAATGTCTGAACTTCGCCTCTACTGTGACCTCTTAATGCAGCAAGTTCATACGATACAGGAATTTGTTCACCACGATGAGAATCATTCATCTCCTAGTGCAGAGAACATCAATGAAGCCTCTTCTCTGCTTAGTGCCACGTGTAACACGTTCATCACAACGCTTGAGGAATGTGTGAAGATAGCCAATGCCAGGTTTAAACCTGAGATGTTTCAACGGCACCATCCGGATCCCTTAGTTTCTCCTGTGTCACCTTCTCCTGTTCAAATGAGGAAGCGTTCTGTCAGCCACCCTGGTTCTTGCACCAGGGAGGAGTAGCCACTGTATAAAAGAACCAGTATCTGCACTTCACCGACTCTCCCAGCGACGCCGAAGAACCTACTCAGATACAGATTCTTGTAGTGATATTCCTCTTGAAGACCCAGATAGACCTGTTCACTGTTCATAAAATACACTTAACGGAGATTTGGCATCAGCAACCATTCCTGAAGAAAGCAGACTTATGGCCAAAAAACAATCTGAATCAGAAGATACTCTTCCATCCTTCTCTTCCTGAAGAAACTGTAGTGTCCAACTTTCTCTAAGTATTGCTATGCAAAAGCTGCTGTAATTGAACTATTGTTATAGGGAGTAGTTTTTTCCCTTAGGACTCTGCACTTTATAGAATATTGTAAAACAGACAAACAAGAAAACAAACCACATACTTTTGAAGCGTGTTTTATCTTTATATAGTTTGTTTGCAAGAGTATTTTCCTAATAACTTCACAGTATGAATGTGCATCTTTTTTTTTTTTTTTTAACAAATGATGGTGTAACATTTTGACATCCATAAGGACAAATGTAGATATTTTTCTAAAAAACCGTGAGGGGACTGACAGCTTGGTCAGGGTGTATTGTAGCTTATAAACATGAAATCTTACAAGGTTTCAGTTTGACAGAAGTGTGATATATGTAACTTGTGCCATGGACCAAATGGTCACTTTACCACAGCTAAAAATGAGTTATGATAGCAGCTTGATGGTGATTGCATTGTATTCCTTTAATCAAAAAGGAAACGCAATATTCTAAGTATCTTTAGCCCAAATACCATGACATATTGAGCATCTTTAAATAACCAGACTGTATTGTCCTTCATATGTGAAGTTGACACTACTGATTTGTCAATACCAAATTTTGGGTTAAAGTGTTTAATTTTTATTTATTTATTTTCTTGTTGCCTCAAAAGATGATTGCATTCTAACTTTTGTGACCTACCAAATTTAAGATGTGTATACATTGTTCTTTACGTTGTTCTAGAAAAGAGATTTTAATGCTGTAGTGACTTAGCTCACTTACATCAGAGAAATAAACAACTTTCAATGGAAAAAAATATATATAAAGGAAGGAAGAGGATGATATTACTTCTCATATAGAAGGGGTTGTACACCCCCCTTGTGATATTGTTCCTAATATTCAGGGAGGGAGAGGATTATATTACTCCCAATATAGCAGGGAGTGTACACCCCCCCCCCCCGTGATAATGTTCCTAATATTCAGGGAAGCAGAGGATGATATTACTTTCAATATCACAGGGGTTGTGCTGTCCCCCTGTTATATTGTTCTTAATATTCAGGGGGGAGAGGATATTATTATGCCCGATATCACAGGAGAAGTACACCCCACAAGTGATATTGTTCCTAATATCCAGGGGTAAAGAGGATGATATCGCAGGTGGTGTACACCCCTCCCCGTGATATTGTTTCTAATATAAAGAAGGAGAGAGCATGATATTACTCCCAATATCGCTGGAGGTCTACACCCCCCTTGTGATACTGTTCCTAATATCCAGGAAGGGAAACAATGATATTGCTGTGAATATTCCAGGGGGTGTACACCCCTTTGTAATATTGTTCCTCATATCCAGGGGGTAGAGAGGATGATATTACTCCCAATATCGCAGGGGGTGCACGGCCCCACTGTGATATTGTTTTTCATATCCAGGAGGGGAGAGGATGACATTACTCTCAATATGGCAGGGGGCGAACACCCCCTGTGATATTGTGCTAGTTAGGTTGGGAGAAAATGATATTACTCCCAATATCGCAGGGGGTGTACACCGCTCCTGTGATATTGTTCCTAATATCCATGACGGGAGAGGATATTACTCCCAATATCGCAGGGGGTGTACCTCTCCCCTGTGGGATTGTTCACAGTATCCAAAAGGGAAGAGGATGATGTTACTCCCAATATCACAGGGGGTGTACACCACCATTGTGATATTGTTCCTAATAGCCAGGGAAGAAAACGATGATATTATTGTGAATATTACAGGGGGTGTACACACCCCCTGTGATATGGTTTTTAATATACAGGTTGGAAAAGGATGATATTACTCCCAATATCACAAAAGGTGTACACACCCCCCCATGATATTGTTCTTAATACTTCGGTGGGGAGAAAATGATATTAGTCTCCATATCACAGGGGTGTGAACTCCTCCGGTGATATTGTTTTTAATATCAAGAGGGGAGGAGATGATATTGCTTTCAATATCGCTGGGGGTGTACACCCCTCCTGTGATATTGTTCCTTATATCCAGGCGAGGGGAAAATAATATTACTCCCAATATGGCAGGGGGTGTACACACCCCATGTGGTATTGTTCCTAATACTCAGGGGGAAAGAAGATAATATTACTTTCAATATCACAGGGTTTGTACACCTTTCCTGTGGTATAGTTTTCAATATCCAGGGGGAAGGTACATGATATTACTCCCATTGCAGCAAGGGGTGTACACACCTCCTGTGATATT
Organism: Homo sapiens; assembly: GCF_000001405.40. Classification (NCBI taxonomy): domain Eukaryota; kingdom Metazoa; phylum Chordata; class Mammalia; order Primates; family Hominidae; genus Homo; species Homo sapiens. Next base: position 41,518,808 of record NC_000019.10, on the reverse strand, counting down.
GTTCCTAATATCCAGAAGTGGTGAGGATGATATTACTCCCAGGGGGTGTACACCCCACCTATGATATTGTTTCTAATATCCAGGGGAAAAGAGTGTGATATTATGCCCAATATCGCAGAGGGTGTACACTTATCCTGGGATATTGTTTCTAGTATTTGGGGAGGGAGGAGAGGATGCTATTATTCTCAATATCGCAGAAATTGTACACCCCCGCTGTGATATTCTTCATAATAATCAGGGAAAAAGAGGATGATATTACTACCAATATTGCAGGGGGTTACACTTCCCCTTTGGTAGTGTTCCTAATATCCAGGAAGAAAGAGGATGATATTAATCCCATTTTCCAGGAAGTGTACACCCACCGTGTCATGTTGTTCCTAATATCCAGCAGGGAAGAGGATGATATTACTCCCAATATCGGAGAGGGTGTACACTTCCCCTGTTATATTGTTTCTAATACCCAGGGGGAAGAAGGATGACATTACTGCCAATATCACAGGGTGTGTACCCCACCCTGCTATTGTTCCTAATATTCAAAAGGAAAGATGAAAATATTACTCCCAATATCTCAGGGTGTGTACACCTCTCCTGTGATATCGTTCCTAATATCCACAGGAAGAGAGAATATTACTCTCAATATTGCAGGGGGGTGTACACCCCCCTGTGATATTGTTCCAAATATTCGGGCGGGGAGAGGATGATATTAGTCCCAATATCGCAGGGGGTGTGCACCAACCTGTGATATTGTTCCTAATATCCATGCGGGGGAGGACGATATCACTCTCAATGTCGCAGGAAGTGTACACCTCTCTTGTTATATTTTTCTTAATATCCAGGAGGGAAAAGATGATATTACTGCCAATATCGCAGGGTGTGTCCACCCCCCTTTTATATTGTTCCTAATATCCAATGGAAAAGAGGATGACATTGCTCTCCATATCCCAGAAGGTGTACAACGCCCCTGTAATATTGTTCCTAATATTTTGGGGGAAGAGAGGATGATATAACTTATAATATCACAGGAGGTGTACACCACCCCTATGTATTGTTCCTAATATCCTTTAAGGGAGAGGATGATATTACTCCCAATATCTCAGGTGGTGCCTATTCCCCCTGTGATATTGTTTTTAATATCCAGGGGAAGAGAGTATGATATTACGCCCAATATCGCAGGGGGCATACACCCTCTCTGAGATATTGTTCATAATATATAGAGGGAGAGAGGATGATATTACTTCCAATATCAGAGGTGGGGTACACCCCCCGGTTATATTATTCTTGATATCCAGGAGGGGAGAGGTTGATATTACTGGATATATAGCAGGGAGTGTTCACATCTTCTGTGATACTGTTCCTAATATCCAGAAAAGTAGAGGATGATATTACTCCCAATATCGCAGAACGTGTACACCTCCCTGTGATATTGATCCTAACATTCAAAGGGGAGAGGATGATATTACTCAAAACATCACAGGGCATGTACACTCCCCTGTGATATTGTTCCTAGTATCCAGAAGGGAGCAAGATAATATTACTTTCAATATCGCAGGGGGTGTACACCCCTCTTTGGTATGTTTCCTAATATCCAGAAGGAAAGAGGGTGCTATTACTTTCCATATTGCAAGGGGTGTACACCCCCCTGTGGTATGGTTCATAATATCCAGGGAGGGAAAGGGTGCTATTATTCCCCATATCGCGAGGCATGTACACCCTGCTGCGGTACGGTTCCTAATATCCAGGGGGAAAGAGGATGCTATTACTTCCCATATCGCGGGGTGTGTACACCCCCGTGTGGTATGTTTTGTAATCTCCGGGAACGAAGAGGGTGTTATTACCCCTCATATCGCTGGAAATGTACACTCCCCTGTGGTACGGTTCACAATATCCAGGGGATTGAGGGTGCTATTACTCCCCATATCGCGGGGGGAGTGCACCTCCCTGTGGTATGGTTCGAAATATCCAGGGTAAGAGAGGGTGCTATTATTCCCCATTTTGCAGGAGGCGTACACCCCTCTATGGTATGTTTTGTAATATCCCAGGTAAGGGGTGCTATTGAGAGAAGAGAGCAAAAGACCCCCCCCATATTGTTCTGTATTATTTTATACTCAGTACCTGTTTTAAGAAGAAACAAGGAAGCGAAACCAAAGGCAGGCAGCCCGGCGCCAGGCACCAGATCCAAAACCAGACCCGAAACCAGGCCTGGGCCTTCCTGACCTTAGCCTGAAAGTTAAAATTCAACCCATGACCTAGCAACTGATGTTATCCATAGATTCCAGACATTGTATGGAAGGACATTGTGAAATTTCTTGTTCTGTTCTGTTTCACTCTGAGTACTGGTGCATGCAGCCCTTGTCACATACCCACTAGATTGCTCAATCAATCATGGCCCTTTCATGTAAAAACCTTAGTGTTGTGAGCCCTTAAAAAGGACAGAAATTGTGCACTCAACAAGCTTGGATTTTGATACTCTAGTCTGCTGATGCTTCCAGCTGATTAAAAGCCACTTCCTTCACTACCTCGGTGTCTGTGGGATTTTGTCCGCGGCTCCTCCTGCTACACTGTGACTCCCCTTATAGAGAGGGGTGTACACCCCCCTTTGGTTCCTAATATCCAGCGGGGGAGTAGGTGCTATTACTCCCCATATTGCGGGGAGTGTACACCCCCTTGTAGTACGGATCGTAAAATCAAGGAGGGAGAGAAGGTGTAATTATCCCCATATCACAGGGAGTGTACACCTCTTTGTGGTATAGTTTGTAATATCCACGACGGGAGAGAATGCTATTACTCCCCATATCGTGGAGGGTGTACACCGCCCTGTAGTATGGTTCGTAATATCCGGAAGGGGAGAGGTTGCTATTACTCCCCATATGGTGGGAAGTGTACACCCCCATATGATATGGTTCATAATATCCAGGGGGGTAGAGGATGATATTACTCACAATATCGTAGAAGGTGCACACCCTTTTGTGATATTGTCCATAAAATCCAGAAGGGGAGAGGATGATATTACTTCCAATATCACAGGGGGTGTGTAGCCCCATATGATATTGTTTGTAATATCAAGGTAGGGAGAGGATGCTATTCCTTACAATAGCTCAAGGGGTGTAACCTTCTTGTGATATTGTTTGTAATATCCAGAAGGGGAGAAGATAATTTTTTTATTTTAAAAGTAAACTTTAATGTCAAAAATGCAAACTTGAGAAGGGCAGAAAGATCAAACAGAAGGCTGCCACTTCACAATTGGAGGGTTGCACAGTGGCCGGGCAGAGGCGCTCCTCACTCCCCAGACGGTGAGGCAGCCGGGCAGAGGTGCTCCTCACTTCCGAGATGTTGCAGGAGCCGGGCAGAGGTGCTCCTCACTTCCCAGAACAGGGGGCTGCCGGGCAGAGGTGCTCCTCACTGCCCAGACGGTTTGCAGGCCTGGCAGAGGCACTCCTCACTTCCCAAACGGAGCAGCGGCAAGCCAGAGGCGCTCCACACTTCCCAGATGGTGGGGCAGCCGGGCAGAGGCGATCCTCACTTCTCAGAGGGTAGGGCGGCCCAGCAGAGGCGCTCCTCACTTCCCACATGGTGGGGCGGCAGGCTAGAGGCGATCCTCACTTCCCAGACGGTGGTGTGGCCATGCAGAGGTGCTCCTCACTTCCCAGATGGTGTGGCCGCCGAGCTGAGGCACTCCTCACTTCCCTGACAGTGGGGCGGCTGGGCAGAGGCGCTCCTCACTTCCCAGACACTTGGACTCCGGGCAGAGACTCTCCTCATTTCCCAGATGGTGGGGCTGCCGGGCAGAGGCGCTCCTCACTTCCCAGACGGTTCAGAGGCCGGGCAGAGGCGCTCTGGGGAGAGGATAATGTTACTCCCAATATCGCAGGGGGTGCACACTCCCTGTGATATTGTTCCGAATATCCAGAGGGGGAAAGGATGATATAGCTCCCAAAATCGTGGGGAGTGTACACCCCCCTGTGATCTTGTTTGTAATACCAAGAAGAAAAGAGAATGCTATTATTTCCAATATAGCAGGGGGAGTACAACCCCCTGTGATATTGTTCGTAATATCTAGGGGGAGAGAAAATTATATTAGTCTTAATATCTCAGGGGACGTTCATCCCCCTGTAATATTGTTGGTAATATTCAGAATGGAGAAGATGATATTGTTCTTAAAATACAGGAAAAAAATATGATAATATTACTTCCAATATCGAAGGGGGTGTACACTCTCCTGTGATATTGTTCCCAATATCCGGAATGAAAGAGGATGCTATTACTCCCAATATCCCAGGGAGTGTACACCCCTTTGCCATATTGTTCATAATATCCAGGGGAAGACAGGATAACATTACTCCCAATATCACCGGGGGTGTCCACCCACTAGTGATATTTATTGTTCATCATATCCAGAAAAGGAGAGGATGATATTACTCCCAATATTGCAGGTGGTGTACGGTCCCTGTGATATTCTTTGAAATATCTAGAAAAGGAGAGGATGATATCACTCCGAGTATCACAGGGGGTGTACACCCCCCTGTGATATTGTTCGTAATATCCAGGGGAGAAAAGGATGATATAATTGCCAATATTTCAGGGGATGTGCACCTCCCTGTGATATTGTTTGTAATATCCAGGGGTGGAGAGGATGATATTACTCAAAATAACGTAAACATCCTGTGTGTACATCCCCTGTGATATTGTTTATAATATCCAGGGGGGTAGAAGATGACATTACCCCCAATATCACAGAGTGTACACACCCCTGGGATACTGTTCATAATATCCAGGCGGGAAAGAATGAACTACTTCCAATATCGCAGGATATGTACACCCCCCTGTGATATATTTCCTAATATTTATGTGGGTAAGGATATTACCCCCAATATCACAGAAGGTGTACATCCTCTTTGTGATATTATTCCTAACATCCAGGAAAGGAGAGAATGATATTACTCCCAGTATCGCAGGGGGTGTACACCACCCCTGTGATATTGTTGCTAATATCCAGGGGGAGAGGATAATATTACTCCCAAAATCACAGGGGACGTACACTCCTCCTGAGATATTGTTCCTAATATTCATGGAGAAAAGAATGCTACTACTCCAAATACAGCAGAGGGTGTACACCATCCCCGTGATATTGTTTTTTATATCCAAAGGGTGAAAGGCTGATATTACTCCCAATATCGCAGGGGGTGTACAGGCCCCCCATGATATCATTCTTAATATCCAGGGAGGCAAAGAATGATGTTACTCCCAATATTGCAGGCTGTATACACCCCCCGTGATATTGTTCCTAATATCCAGAGTAAGAGAGGATGACATTGCTCCCAATATTGCAGGGGTTGCACGCACGCCCTGTGATAATATTACTCCCAATATCAACAGTGGGTGTACACTCCTCCTGTGATATTGTTTGTTATATCTAAGAAAGAAGAGGATGATATTACTGTCAATATCACAGAAGGTGTACAGCCCCTTGTGATGTTGTTTCTAATATCCAGCGGTGAGAGGATGGTATTACTCGCAATATTGTAGGGGGTGTCCAACGGCCCTGTGATATTGTTTCTCATATTCAAAAAGGAAAAGAATAATATAACTCCAAATATCGCAGGGTGTGTACACTTCCCTGTGATATTGATCCTAATATCCAGGAAGAGAGAGGATGATATTAATCCCAATATCACAGGGGGTGTACATCGCTTCTGTGATATTCTTCCTAATATCCAGGGGGGGAGGGGATGCTATTACTCTTAAAATCGCAGGGAACTTACACTCCCACTATGATATTTTTCCTAATATCCAGGAAGGGAGAAAATGATATTACTCCTAATATCACATATCACAATGGGTGTACATCTCCCCGTGATATTGTTTCTAATATCAAGGATGGGAGAAAATTATATTACTCTCAATATCGCAGGGGGTGTGCACACCTCCTGTGATATTGTTCCTAGTATCCAGCGGAGGAGATGATATTACTTTAAATATTGTAGAAGGTGTACAACCTCCCTTTGATATTGTTCCTAATATCCAGGGGGAAAGGAGATGATATTACTCCTAATATCGCAGGGGCTGTACAACCCTATGTGATATTGTTTCTTCTAATATCCAGGGGTGGAGAAGATAATATTACTCCTAAAATCGAAGGGGACATACACTCCCCCTGTGATATTTTTCCTAATATCCAGAAGGAAAGAGGATGATATTACTCCTAATATTACAAGAAATGTATACCTGTCCTGTGATATTGTTCCTAATATCCAGAGGGGTAAATGATTATATTACTCCCAATATCGCAGGGGTGTACACCTTCCCTGAGATATTGTTTCTAATATGCAGTGGAGGAGAGGATGGTATTACTCCCAACATCACAGGAGATGTAAACTCCCCTTGTGATATTCTTCCTAATGTTCAGGACGAAGGAGGGTAATATTACTCACTGTATTGCAGCAGGGGGTGTAGAGCCCCCTGTGATATTGTTTTTAATATTCAAGGTTGGAGAAAATAATATTCCTTCCAATATCGCATGGGGTGTACACCCTTCTTTTTATATAGTTTCTAATATCTGGGGGGAGAGGATGATATTACTCCCAATATCGCAGGGGGATTACACCCCCACTGTGATATTGTTTTTAATATCCAGGGTGGGAGAGGATAATATTACTCCAAATATCCCAGGGCTATACACCCTCCGTGTGATATTGTTTCTAATATCCAGAGGAAGAGAAGATGATATTACTCCCAATGTCACAGGGTGTGTACAGGCCTTCTTTGATATTGTTCTTAATATCCATGAGGGAGAGGATGATATTACTCCCAATATCGCAAAGACTGTACACCCTTTCTGTGATATTGCTTCCAATATCCAGGGAGGGAGAGGATATTACACTCAGGATCACAGGGGGTGTACACCCCAACCTGTGATATTGTTTCTAATATCTAGGGAAAATGAGGGTGATATTACTATCAATATCACAGGAGGTGTACACTCCCTTATGATATTGTTCCTAATATCCAGGAGAATGACAGGATAATATTACTCCCAATATCGCGGGTGGTGTCTCCCCCCACTCCGTGATATTGTTCCTAATACCCAGAGGGGGAGAGAATCATATTACTCCCAATATCGCAGGGGATGTACACCTACATCCGGCGGAGTAGAAGATAATATTACTCACAATATCGCAAGAAGTGTTCACCTTCCCTGTTATATTGTTGCTAATATCCAGGGAGTGAGAAGATGATATTACTTTCAATACTGAGCGTGTACACTACCCCTGTGATATTGTTTCTCATATCCAGTAGAGGAGAAAATCATGTTACTCCCAATATTGCAGGGGTGAACACCTCCTTTGTGATATTTTTCCTAATATCAGGAAAGGGAGAGTATGATATTACCCTTAATATTGACAGGGGTGTACACCCCCCTTTGATATTGTTCCAATATCCAGGGGGGCAGAGGATAATATTATTCCCAATATCGCAGAGGGTGTACACCCCCCGTGATATTGTTCCTAATATCCAGAGAAATAAAAAATAGTATTATTTCCAATATCACAGGGCGTACATTTTCCCTGTAATTTTGTTCCTAATATCTGGGGGGTGGGGTGGCAGGATAATATTACTCTCAATATTGGAGAGGGTGTACACCCCCCTGTGATATTGTTCCTAATATTCAGGGTGGGAGAGAATGATGTTACTCCCAATATCTCAGGAGTCGTATACACCCCCTTGTGATATTTTTTCTAATATCCAGGAGGCAGAGGATGATATTGCTCCCAATATCGCAGGGGGTATACACCCGAGCTGTGATATTGTTTCTAATATGCAATATGGGGGAAGGATGATTTTACTTTCAATATCGCAGGGAATGTACACTTTCCTTGTGATTTTGTTCCTAATATCCAGGGGTGGAGAAGATGCTATTACTATATTACTCCTCATATCGCAGGCGGTGTACAACTCCCTGTGATATGGTTCAGAATATCCAGAGTGAAAAAGGAGGGTGACATTACTCCCAATATCGGGGGGGTGTACACCCCTTTGTGATGTGGTTGGTAATATCCAGGGGGGCAGATGAGGGTGATATCACTCCCCATATCGTGGAAGGCGTCCACTTTTTTGTGATGTGGTTCTTTATATCCCGAGGGGAGAAGGTGATATTACTCCCCATATCGCGAAGGGCATACACCCCCCTGTGATATAGCTCATAATATTCCGGAGAGTGGAGGAAGATACTATGCCCTATATCGCGGGTGGCCTACAACCCCCTATGGTTTGGCTTATAATATCCAGGGGGGAGAGGGTAATATTACTCCCCATATTGTGGAGACGTACAGCCCCCTGTGATATGGTTTGTAATATCTTTGGGGGGCGAGGGTGATATTACTCCCCATATCGCGGGGAGCATACACCCCCGTGATCTGGTTCATAGTATCTCAAAGGAAGAAGTTGATGTGTACAACTTAAGGGAAAAAGTTGAAGTGAAGTGTACACACGCCCTGTGACGTGGTTCATAATATCCAGGCGGGGGAGAGGAGAGTGATATTTACTCCCCATATCGCGGGTGTTGTAAACTCCCCTGTGATATAGTTCATAATATCCAGGGGAGAGAGGAGGGTGATATTGCTCCTCATATCGCGAAGGGTGTACAACCCCCTGTGATATGGTTCATAATATCCAGAAGGGTAGAGGACGATGATATTACTCCACATATCTTGGGAGGTGTGATAATCAGGGGGCGTGCACTCTTCTGTGGTATAATTAGTAATATCCAGGGGGCAGAGGAGGAGTCGTTTCCATATCATGAAGGGAGTACACTTCCCTGTGATATGGTTCCTAATATCCAGGGGGGAGAGGGTGATATTATTCCCCATATTGCGGGGGGACATACAACCCCTGTGATATGGTTCATAATAACCAGAAAAGAAGAGGGTGATATTAATCCCCGTATTGCAGAGGGCATACACCCCCCCTGTGATATGGTTTGTAATATCTAGGGGAGGAAAAGGTGATATTACTTTCCATATTGCTGGGTGCAGACACCCCTTTATGATATGGTTCATAATATCCAAGTTGGAGAGGGTGATATTACTTCCCATATCATGGGAGGTATACCCTTCCCTGTGATATGGTTCGTAATATCCAGAAGGGGAGAGATTGATATTACTCCCCATATTGTGGGGGGCGTACACCTTCCTGTGATATGGTTTGTAATATCTAGGGGATATAGTGGGTGATATTACTCACCATATCACGGGGGTTGTAACATGGTTTGTAATATCCAGGGGAGGAGAGGGTAATGTTACTCCCCATATCTCGGGGCATGTACACCCTCCTGTGACATGGTTCGTAATATCCAGGTCGGGAGAGGGTGATATTACTCCTCATATTGCCGGGGGTGTGTTATGGTTCATAATATCCTGGGGAAGGAGGCTGCTATCACTCTCCACATCTTGGGGGATGTACACTCTCCTGTGATATGGTTCATAATATCCAGGGTGGGTGAGGGTAATATTACTCCCCATATCGCGGGAAGTGTACATACCCCTGTAATATTGTTTGTAATAGAAGAGAGGGTGATATTACTCCCCACATCGCGGGTGGTGCCCACCCCCCTGTGATATGGTTTGGAATATCCAGGGGGATGAGGAGGGTGATATTACTCCCCATATCTCGGTGGGAGTACATCCCTCTTTGATCAAGTTCATAATATCCAAAAGGAAACAGGAGAGTGATATTACTCCCCATATCGCCGGGGGTGTACACGGGAGGGGGAGTACACCCCCGGCGATATGGTCTGTAATATCCAGGGAAGGAGAGGAGGGTGATATTACTCACCATATCGCAGGTGGTCTACATTTACCTGTGAAACAGTTTGTAATATCCAGGGGGGGAAATGAGAATGATTTTTTTTTTTTGAGTCTCACTGTGTCACCCAGGTTGGAGTGCAGTGGCACGATCTTGGCTCACTGCAACCCCCGCCTCCTGGACTCAAGCAATTCTCCTCTCCCAGCCTCCTGAATAGCTGGGACTACAGGCGCACCCCACAACGTCTGGCTAATTTTTGTATTTTTATTAGAGACGGGGTTTCACCATATTGGCCAGGCTGATCTCGAACTCCTGACCCTGTGATCCATCCGCCTCGGCCTCCAAAAGTGCTGAGATTACAGATGTGAGCCACCACGCATGGCCCAAGGAGAACGATATTACTCCCCATATCCCAGGGGGTGTATATCCCCCTGTGATATGGTTCAGAATATCCGGAAGGAAAGACAGGGATATTACTTCCCATATCGCAAGGGGTGTGACATGGTTCGTAATATCCCATGGGGGAGAGGGTAATATTACTCTTCGTATTGTGAAGGGCATACACTCCCCTGTGATACAGTTCATAATATTCCGGGGAGTAGAGGAAGATATTATGCTCCATATCGCGGGTGGCATAAGCCCCCTGTGGTTTGGTTCATAATATCCAGGGAGGAGAGGGTAATATTACTCCCCATATTGTGGGGACGTACACCCTCCTGTGATATGGTTTGTAATATCCCAGAGGGGAGAGAGTGATATTACTCCCCATATTGCAGGGACATACACCCCCCTGTGATATGGTTCAAAATGTCTTTTTTTTTTGAAGGACTGGTTCTTTATTTCAAAAAGACACTTGTCAATATTCATTAACAAAACAGTTGCACTATTGATTTCTCTTTCTCCCAATCGGCCCCAAGTAGACCACATCAAAGGAGAGTACATATTAAGCCAATAAGCTGTAGGATGTACACCTAACAGACCTCCTAGAAACCTTACCAGAAAATGGGGACAGGGTAGGGAAAGAAACTTTAAAAGATCAACAAACTGCCAGCCCACGGACTGCAGGGGCTGTCACAGCCAGATGGGGTGGCCAGGGTGCCACAAACCCAAAGAAGCAAAGTTTCAAAATAATATAAAATTTAAAAAGTTTTGTACATAAGCTATTCAAGATTTCTCCAGCACTGACTGATACAAAGCACAATGAGATGGCACTTGTAGAGACAGCAGCTTCAAACTCAGAAAAGGGTAATGAGATGAGTTTCACATGGCTAAATCAGTGGCAAAAACACAATCTTCTTTCTTTCTTTCTTTCTTTCAAGGAGGCAAGAAAAGCAATTAAGTGCTCACCTCAACATAAGGGGAACATGATCCATTCTGTAAGCAGTTGGGAGGGGGTAGAGATGGAACAAAATTTTGGTCTCAGAGGTCTTGCCATCTTAATTTGGTCACTTCTAATGAAAAAAATAAAAAATAGAAATAACATTATCCAAAGGTATCTTAAAGCTGAAAACTTGAACAGCACATTTTTTGTTGTTGTTGTTTGGCTAACTCCTCCTGGAACCACCTTTCTGGCTTAGCTAGTACTTTGTACAGAGCAATGAGGCTTCCCATAGTGGAGTCTCCCTGGGCTCTGTTTGGCTCTCAGCAAGGCAGGCCTATACCTTTTCCTCTCCTCCATGGAGAGAGGAATATGCATTAAGGTGAAAAGTCACCTTCCAAAAGTGAGAAAGGGATTCGATCGCTGCTTCAGGGCTGTGGTATTATATGGAATGTTTTACAAAAGGTTGCTACAAAACAACAAAAGAGGTAATTACAAAATGTGTACATCACAACATACTTTTTAAAGACATTATGCATTGTGCTCACATTCCCTTAAATGTTGTTTCCAAAGGTGCTCAGCCTCTAGCCCAGCTGGAATCTCCGGGAAGAGGCGGACAGTTTGGTGAAAAAGACACAGGGAAGGAGCGGGCGGCGGAAGGAGGGGGCGGCGAAAGGAGAAAGCAGCCTTCCAGTTAAAGATCAGCCCTCAATTAAAGGTCAGCTTCGGGCAGGCTGGCCTCAGGCGGAGTCTGGTTCAGAGGGAGGAGCAGCAGCAGGGTGAGACTGAGGCGTTCTACATCTCATTCAGGTCAAGCAGAGTCTGGTCCAGCATCCTTTGTGTACAGAGGTGCTCCCCTTTGGTGCATTTCAGTTTATCTTCCAAGTCATCAATTGTCTTTTCCAGCTTGGCTACCGATCTCTCAGCAAACTCAGCATGGGTCTCCGCCTCCTTTATTTTATCAGTAAGAATCTTGATCTCTTCCTCATATTTGTCTTCTTTTTGAGAGTACTTTTCTTCAGCAGCACTCAGACACTTCAGGTTCTGGTCCATCAGTCTAATCTGCTCATCCATCTCTCGGCAAAGGGATTCTGCCAGCTCAGCTCGTTCCTCTGTGCGTTCCAAGTCTCCTTCAATGATCACCAACTTACGAGCCACCTCTTCATACTTCCTATCTGCCTCTTCTGCAATGTGCTTAGCTTCTCTGAGTTGGATTTCCTGGAGTTCCATCTTTTCTTCATCTTTTAAGGCCCGGTTTTCAATAACCTTCTTACCTCTCTCACTCTCATCAGCAGCTTTTTCCGCTTCTTCCAGCTTTTGCAGGGCAGTAGCCAGGTGCTCCTGAGCACGGTCCAGCTCCTCTTCAACCAGCTGGATCCCACGTTCAAGGAGGCCACCTCAGCCTCAGCCTGTTCCCGGGCCCACCTTTCTCCCTCAACTTCTCGCTGGAGGCGCTCAGCTCGCTCCTCTGCATCATCTGCCTGCTGCTGCAGAACCTGGATCTTGCGCTTCACCGCCTCGATGGTGGTGATCCCAGCCATGGTGCCCACCCAGCTACTGCTAGAGCTCCGGTTCCTGCCTCCTCCGATCGGCGTTGCAGCCTCCTCTCACCCTTACTTCCGCCTCGGTTCAAAATATCTTAAGGGAAGGAGTTGATATTACTCCCCACATCACGGGAAGTTTACATCCCCTGGTGATATGGTTTGTAATATCCCAGGGTGGATAGGGTGATATTACTCTCCATATCGCGAAGGAGTACTCCCCCCTGTGATATGGTTCATAATATCCTTGGGGGGAGAGTGTGATATTACTCCCCATATCGCGAGGGCCATATACTCCTTTGTGACATGGTTCGAAATATCCCGGTGGGGGAGGGGGTAGAGGGTAATATTACTCCCCATACAGCGAAGAGCATACGCCCTTCTGTGGCAAGGTTAGTAATACTTCAGGGAAAAGAGTGCAATATTACTTTTCATATTGCAGGGAACATACACTCCCCTGTGACATGGTTCGTAATATCCCGGGGGCTGAGAGGGTGATATTTCTCCCCATATCACCGGGGGCCTACACCTGGGTGTGATATGGCTCATAATATACAGGGAGGGAGAGGGTGATATTACTCCACATACCGAGTGAGGGGTTACACACCCTCGTGACATGTTCGAAATACCCCAAGGAGGAGACAATGATATTACTTTCCCTGTCGCGGGGGCTACACCCTCCCAGTGATATGGTTCACAATATCCCGGGGTGGAGAGGGTGATATTACTCCCTATATCACCGGGGGGTGTACACTTCCCTGGGAAATGGTTTACAGTATCCCCGGGGGGAGAGGGTACTATTACTCCCCATATCACGTTACATATCAGGGTACACCCCCACGTGATATGGTTTGTAACATCCCAGGAGGAAGAAAATGATATTACTCCCCATATCGCGGTGGCATACACCCCTCCCCGTTAAATGGTTCATAATATCTTGGGGTGGAGAGGGTGATATTACTCCCCATATCACGTGGGGCATACACCCCACTATGATATGGTTCATAATATCCCGGAGGGGAGAGGGAGATATTACTCTCCATGTCGCGGGGGGCATATACACCCCTGTGATATGGTTTGTGATATCCCGGGGGCGGAGAGGGAGATATTACTCTCCATATCGTGGGGTCGTACACTTTTCTGTGATATGATTCGTAATATCCAGACGGGGAGAGGGTGATATTACTTCCCATATTGCGGGGGCGTACACCCCTCTGTGATATGGTTCATAATATCCCGAAGAAAAGAGGGTGATATTACTCCTCATATCGCGGGGAACACACACCACCCTGTGATATGGTTTGTAATATTCAGCGGGGGAGAGAGTAATATTACTCCCTGTATCTCGGATGGCGTACACTCCCCTGTGATATGGTTCATAATATCCAGAAGAAAAGAGGGTGATATTACTCCCCATATTCCAGGGAATGTACACCACCCTTTGAATATGGTTCGTAATATCCAGGAGGGGAGAGGGTAATATTGCTCCCAATATCGAAGGAGGTGTTATACGGTTAGTAATATCCAGAGAAGGAGAGGGTGACATTACTCCCCACATCGTGGTGGGTGTGCACCCACCTGTGATATGGTTCATAATATTCAGGTTAAGAGAGGTGATATTGCTTTCCATATCGCCAAGGGTGTACACTCCCGTGAAATACAGTTCGTAATATCCAAAAGGGGAGAGGGTGATATTACTCCCATATCGTGGGGGGTGTACACCCCTCTGTGATATGGTTCATAATATCCAGGGTGGAATAAGGTGGTATTACTCCCTGTATCTCGGGGCATGTACATCGCCTGTGATATGATTCATAATATCCAGAAGAAGAGAGGGTGATATTAATCTCCATATTGCTGGGGGTGTACAACCCCCTGTTGTATGGTTTGTTACACTGAGTTGGGGAGAGGGTTACATTACTCTCAATATCGAGTGGGGCATACACACTTATGTGATATGGTTCATAATATCCCAGGGAGGAGAGGGTGATATTACTCCCCATATCGCGGGAGGCATACACCCCAATGTGATATGGTTTGTAATATCTACATTTTTTTTTTTGAGACGAAGTCTCGCTCTTGTCCCCCAGGCTGGAGTATGATGGCCGGATCTCGGCTCACTGCAACCTCAGCCTCCCGGGTTCAAGCGATTCTCCTGCCTTGGTCCCCCAAGAAGTTGGGATTACAGGCGCACACCACCACGCCCGGCTACTTTTTGTATTTTTAGTAGAGAAGGGGTTTCACCATGTTGGCCAGGCTGGTCTAGAACTCCTGACCTCAGATGATCCACCTGCCTCGGCCTCCCAAAGTGCTGGGATTACAGGCGTGAGCCACTGCACCTGGCCTGGTTTGTAATATCTATGAAGGGGGAAGGTGATATTACTTTCCATATCATGGGAGGCGTACACCACGATGTGATATGGTTTGTAATATCCAGGGGGTATACTGGGTGATATTACTCCCCATATCGCGGGGAGTGTATACCCTTTTGTGATATGGTTCCTAATATTAAGCTGAGGAGAAGGTAATATTACTCCCCATATCGCAGGGGTTTTTATATGGTTCATAATATTCAGGAAGAGAGAGGGTGACATTACTCTCCATATCACGGGGTGTGTACTCCCCCATGTGATATGGTTTGTAATATCCAGGGAAGGAGAGGTTAATATTACTCCCCATATCGCAGGGGGTGTACACCTCTCTGTGGTTTGTAATATCCAAAGGGAAGAGGATGATATTATCTTCAATATCTTGGGGGGATACAGTCCCCAGTGATATTGTTCATAATATCCAGAGGGGGAGGGGATGATATTACTCCCAATATTGCAGGTGGTGTACAACCCCCTGTGATATTCTTTATAATATAGAGGGGGATGATGATATTACTCCCAATATAGTAAACAACCTGTGTGTACACCCCCTGTGATATTGTTCATAATATCCAAGGGTGGAAAGGATGATATTACTCCTCATATCGCAGGGGGTGTATACCCCTCTGTGACATTGT
The DNA here is from genome assembly GCF_000001405.40 of Homo sapiens. Taxonomy (NCBI): domain Eukaryota; kingdom Metazoa; phylum Chordata; class Mammalia; order Primates; family Hominidae; genus Homo; species Homo sapiens. Next base: position 41,503,144 of record NC_000019.10, on the reverse strand, counting down.
TCCTAATATTCAGGGGAGGAGAAGATGATACTACTCCTCATATCACAGGGGATGTACACCCCCCTGTGATACTTTTGGTAATATCCAGGGGAGGAGAAAATTATATTATTCCCCATGTCACAGAGGGTGTACACCCCGCTGTGATAGTGTTCATAATATCCAGGTGAAAAGAGGATGATATTACTCCGAATATCTCAGGAAGTGTACACCCTTCTGTGATATTGTTCATAATATCCAAAGGTGGAGAGGAGGATACTACTCCCCATATCGCAGTGGGTGTACACCCCCCTGTGATATGGTTCATAATATCCAATGTAGGAGAGGATGATATTACTTTCCATATCGCGGAGAGTGTACATCCCCCTGTTATATTGTTTGTAATATTCAGGGAGAAAGAGGATACTACTACTCCCCATATCACACGGGGTGTATATTCCCCTGTGATATGGTTCCTGATATCCAAGAGATATTATAATCCTCTCTTGGATTATGCTACCTCTCATATCGCATGGGGTGTACACACACTTTGTGATATCGTTTGTCATATCCAAGGAGGGAGAGGATTATATTAATCCCAAGATCATGGGGGGTGTACACCCTCCTGTGATATTGTTTGTAATATTAAGGGGGGAGAGGATAATATTACTCCCAATATAATTAACACCCTGTGTGTACTCCTCCTTGTAATATTGTTCATAATATCCAATGGGGGAGACGATGATATTACTTTCAATATCGCAGAGGATGTACATCCCTTTGTAACAATGTTTGTAATATAAAAGGCAAGAGAGGATGATACTACTTCCAAAATTGCAGGACATGTACACCCCCCGGTGATATTGTTCCTAATATCCAGTGGGGAAGAGGATGATAGTAGTCCCAATATCGCAAAGGGTGTACACACCCCCTGGGATATTGTTCCTAATATAAAAGGAGGAGAGGATGCTATTATTCCCAATATCACAGAAGGTGTAAAATCCCCTGTGATATTGTTCGTAATATTCAGGAGGGGAGAGGATTATATTACTCCCAATATCACAGGGTGTGTACACAGGGAGGGGCAAGGGCCAGAAGCGGGCGGGAATCCCCATGTTTGGGCGGACCCAGTTTCTAATGGCCAGCATTTGCCAATCAAAGCTTACCAGAGAACTCTAAAAGCCAGGGCTTTCCTGCTAGACAAGACTCTTTTCTGGAACTGCTTTAAAAAGAAACAAAACTTCCCAAGGACCCCTTTTCCTCTCTGTCTGCCTAAAATAATGTTTTAAAAACTCCTAAAGCAGCTGAATTCAGCCCCCTTCCTGGGGGAATGTATAGACGGAACTCCCACCTTTCCCGGCATCCCAAGGCCAGAGTATGTGAAACTCCTGGGTCTCTATGTGTGTCTGAGCGGCTGCTCTGCCAACACTCCACACAGCCCTGTGTCCTGGACCCAAGGCCCTTATGACCTGAGCTCAAGAGGGGATCTCCTGATCCATGGGTTGCAAAGATCCATGGGAGAAGCATGGTTTCTGGGGCGGGGTCACACGCTCAGTCACTGTTTCCCTCGGATGCCGGAGATGGTTCCTTTGGCTCTCTGCCAATACAGGGTGAATCATCATCCATCCCTCTTTTCTTTGTTCTCCCGGGTCAAGTTGTTTGCCTAGTCAGTCCCAATGTGAGAACCTGAATATTTCAGTTGACGCGCTGACTTCAAAATCCCCGGGCTTCGGGAGGCGGAGCTTGCAGTGAGCCGAGATCCCGCCACTGCACTCCAGCCTGGGCGACAGAGCGAGACTCCGTCTCAAAAAAAAAAAAAAAAAAAAAAAAATCCCCGGGCTTTTCTTTTCACTCAGTGGAAGGCAGCTGCTTCTAATTGGCCATCTTGGCCCGCCCCCACCACGTGACCTTCTGTAAAATGCCTCCACTCTCCAGGAACGCTCTCATTATATAACTTTGCCTGAAACCAACAGCACGCTCATTGCACATATCATGGGCTCATTTATTTCACTTATAAAGAACCTGGCCAAGGAAGAGATAGTGCCTAAAGTGGCCAGTATTCTGACCGATATGTTAGAAAAATGGTGTGCCGACCAATTCATGACATGTGTCCCAAAACTAGCAACGGAAATTGTATTCGCCGTGTTGAGGTCTCTAATCCAGATGATGCTCATCTATGTACTGGAAAAGGCAGAGTCCTTTCCTGACAAGCTGCTGAAACTCTTCAGAAACATCTCATATTTCCTGAAGAAGATGATGTCTGGACAAGCAGCACAGGTCGTTCAGATTTAACTTTCTATTCATATATCCAGCACGATATTCGCACAATTGTCACGAAACCTTACCAGTTGATGAGTCCTGCACATTTCCTTTAATTTCAGGAGGAAGAGGGTAATCCGGATGAGTTTTCTGACCTACTCGGCGGCTGTGATTAAACAACCACCAGGAAATTTTGACGACACTGTTCTCCTGAGCTCCTCCCTTTCCTCCGGGAACAAAACAATTGAATTTACAAAAATAAAGTGTTATTTGACTGGAGTGAGGTCTCATGTCTGCTTATGCGGTGGCTCGCTGCTCAGAACAGGGTGAGTCTCTGGGTTGTGTGCTGAGGAGGGGAGGCTCTCAATCTGGAGAAAACCCACTGCAGGGGACACCTCCATGGGGTCTGAGGGACTGAGGATGAGGAGCCGGACTGGGTCTAGGGAAGGAGGAGGTTTCAGAGGGTGAAATTCTGGCACTAAAGCCTGGGGGTGTTTGGGAACTTCCTCCTTCCGAAGAAGTTTCAGGGAGGGATAAAGACAAACCCTGGGCTCCTTGAGGGGCCCTTACTAATTTGAGAGGACTCTATCGGGAAGGAGAGTGACAATGGCCTCCTTGAGGACTGAGGCCCCTGAATAAATGAGGCCCAGATACAGTCCATGGGGGATGAGACCTTCAAGGGTCACATTTTGGTTGGGACAGAGGAAAAGTGCAGCTCTGCAGCCGCAGAGGAAAACCCGGCAGTGTGAAAGCGACCTTGGAGGGGCCCTGTGCGCTCTGAATGCGTCTGAGCCCCCATCCCCTGTCCCCGCCTCTCTTTCTGGATTCTTCCAGCTCGGCTGTCTCCGCCATCTTCTGAGCGCTCCACCCTGACTTATTCAAGTTTCCCTTCTGCCTTCCAAGTACTCCAAAATCTTTCAGATCTGTGTCCCTACCCCTGTTTTTAGCATGTGTTGGGGCTCCAGGTCCCTGAAGGTTTCTGGCCTGAAATCCACCTCCCCAGCGGAGTGGACTGCGTTCTAGAGACTCCACACTCCGCGAGGTTCCCAGGCCCCTGAGGGACAACCGAGTGGCCTGCGCACTTCAGGGCTCCACACTCGGCAAGGTCTTTCAAGCCCTTGGGGTCCCCTTCTTAGTTTTTTCCACCTTTCTGGGCTGCAGTCACTCCATAAATGCTGGGATCTGATCCCCACCCCCACTCTCGTTTCCTCAATTCTGCGGGCTACACGCTCTGGCAAGGTCCTCCGGGCCCTGGATCCCCTCCCTCTCCCTATGCCCACGCTCCTAGTCAGCCCTTCTGGGGTCCACTATTTTCAGGAACTAACCATTCTCATGGAGCCTTGCTAACCGGAAAGCTGTGTGGAAGAAAGGCTTTGAGGATAGAGGTGGAGATTTGGCTCTTCCATAGTGCCACTCACCCACCCCACCATGCTGCCACTGCCAGACCCGGACCCCTGTTTCAGAACAAGTGACCAGATTCGCTCCTGGACAGCCCTGGACACTGGCCTTTTCTCTGAAAACTACTCACCCTTTCTCTAGTCCCCACTTCATGCCAGCCTCATACCCTCTTCCTTCCCCCACGCTGGCTTCCGGGATCCTCCTCTGCTCAGACAACCTCTTCTGTGTCCCACCCCCGTTTTTAGAATGCTTTGGGGCACCAGGTTGGGGGAAGGTTTCTGGCCTGATATCCATCTCTTTCCAAACTCCCTTCTTCCCTTGAAAGGCTTCTTGCCTTCAGCCCCACTTCTGGCTCCGAGGTTTCAGGACACCCTCCTCTTCATCCTCATTCTTTTGACCACCAGCTTTTTAGGAATTCGAACGTCCCTCTCATCTTCGTGAATCCTGTCCAGGCATTTGTTGACCCCTTCATCTGATACCCCTGACCTCACATTGCCAAAAGTCTACCCCTACCCAGTACACTGGAATTAGACAAAATCCCAGGAGTTTTACCTCAACTCTGAGTGTGCCCACAGGAGCTCTCCCTGAAGCCACGTCCTTTTAAGCAGGGTCTAGGGTTCCTCCCTTGTCTTAATGAACTCTTTGTCACACGGAGGACGTTATGGAGCCCTTATGATCTTTCACTGCCTTTCTGCCCAGCGTTTTGTCTTTCCATGGACATTTATAATATTTTCCATGGACATTTTGTTCTCTCAATGTCCACCCCTAATTTCCAACATCCCAAAGATTCTCATGTGTTTCCTGAAAGCCATTTACAGGAATGGCTGTGCCCAGACCCCCTTCCCCAGGATCCTCCTTCACACCTGGTAGGTGCCTCTCCTAGAGAGATTTGCACTCAGTTGTCGTGCAGTCACATGGCCCAGATGGTTGTTAATCACCCCCTTCCTGGCAACAGCTAGCAGCCAGGGAATCACTGGCACAGAAACCTCAGGGTGACCAAGATGAGGCCACCTCTGTGCTGAAGGCTGTGCTCCAGAGCCTGCTTGGGATCAGGCTTAAGCAGGTCTTCAGCCAGACCTGATGTTACCTGGTTTCCTTGAGCTGCCCTGCCTGAGCTATCGGGAGCACTCCCTCAATGCACATCTTGATTCCCTATCTCATGCTCTGCTTCTAGAAACCATGAGCTATCAATTGCTACTGGCAATGGTCCTGGGAAGTCAACCCTAAGTATGGATTCTGGGGTTGGATGACTCCCCACAGGACTTCAGTGAGCAACAATCACTGCTGGCAGTTGGAGGACAGAGTCGCTAGGGCATGTGACCACTGTGAAACCACCGATGTTTCACCTGGGGTAATTTTGGATGAACTACGGTAGAAGCACTGAAGGTACATTGCTTTTGGTTTGGAAGATTGTAGGTAAATAATAGCGATATGAATGTGGAATTGGATGGCTGCAAACGAGTGCCATTGATGCATTGAAAGAGGAAAAGTCAGGCTGTCACCTGTCACTCAGCAATTTAAAGTGTGAGAGTTGGGACTAGATGTGGTGGCTCACATCTATAATCCAGAGATTCGGGGGAAGCTTGAAGAGGTAGGATCTTTTGAGTCCAGGAGTTCCAGACCAGCCTGGACACCAGAGCAAGACCTCATCTCTACAACAAAATTTTCTTAAAAATTAGATGGGCTTGGTGGCACGCACCTGTACTTGTAGATCTAGCTAATGGGGAGCATGAGATAAAAAAATCACCTGAGTCAGGGACTTAGGGGTTACAATGAGGTATGATTGTGCCACTGCACACACTCCCACCTGGCCAACAGAGTGAGATTCTGCTTCCAAAAAAATAAGAAATAAATCAGGTTTGAGAGTTGGAAAGCATCATCTTCTCCTAGAGCCAAAGGACATGTACAACTGAGACCCAGGAACAAAGCTTCATCACAAAGAGACCATCATCAGTGGAGCCGGGAGATGCATTCCCCCTCACCCTGCCTTGAGGAGGCAGTGGAGTCATCTGTCTGGGATCCTTTCTGACCCAGCCCTATTTGTTTGTCTCTTTGGCTTCTTTGGATTTGTATATTTTAGCTGTTATAACACTGTAAAACAAACAGAGTGATTTTTTTGAGTTGTGTGAATGATGCTAGCTCCATAGTCACCCTGAGAGTGATGGGAACTTTTGAATTTGTGGCAAGTTGGAGGGTAGTGTAAGTGACCTGAGATTGCCAAATTGGGGCTAGCACTGGATGTGAGGTTAGGCTAGTGGAAAAATATGCCCAGAACCAGAGGAGTGTGGGCTCACTGCAGGTGGTTAGGCTCAGATCCAAATTGTACAGATGGATAGCTTTGGGGTAAAGAATAACATAGTTGAGAAGTGCATGTGTTAGTCTGTTCATGCACTGCTATAAAGAATTACCTGAGACTGGGTAATTATTTATAAAACTCAGGTTTAATTGGGTCATGGTTCCACAGGCTGTACAAAAAGTATGATGCTGGCCATCAGCTCAACTTCTGGGGAGGCCCCAGAATAGTTAGAGTCATGGCAAAAAGTACAAGGGAAGCAGGCTCATCTTCCACGGCCAGAGCTGGAGCAAGTGGTAGGAGAGGTGATACACACTTTCAAACAAGTAGATCTTTTGAGAACTCCATCACCGGACAGCACCTATGGGATGGTGCTAAATTATTCATGAAATATCCGCCTCCATAATCCACTCAACTGTCACCAGCGCAGCCAGCCCCACCTCCAACAGTGGGGATTACAATTCCATATGAGGTGTGGGTGGGGACACAGCTCCAACCTCAATCAGTGGGCATCCTGGATTGGGTCTACTATAGAAGGAGAACCAGGAGCTGACTATGATCTTGAACCCTACCCATGATGGCCGGGCGGGGTGACTCATGCCTGTAACCCCAGCACTTTGGGAGGCTGAGGTGGGTGGATCGCCTGAAGTCAGGAGTTAGAGACCAGCCTGGCCAACATGGTGAAAACCTGTCTCTACTAAAAATACAAAAAATTAGACCGGCGTTGTGCTGGATGCCTGTAATCACACCACTACGCTCCAGCATGGGAAAAAATACCAAAACTTCGTCTCAAAAAAAAAAAAAAAAAAAAAAAAAAAGACTGCCCATGACCACTGCACCAGTGAGAGGGACACCAGCATCACTGAGATGCAAGGGCTGGACATTCTTCATAGGTCAGAGCTCAAAGCAGGGGACACTGATACAGAGATGGGCTCCATCCATAGCACCAAAGTGGTGAGAGGATGTGGGAATGGCAGAGGCCAGCACTTTGCCATCAATGCAAGGGGGTATAAGGAGGTGACACCAGTGCCAGAGTACATCACGGGGGGACTGCCCTACAATATCTAGGACTTACCTCTTAGAGCGTGTTTCATTAGCGACAACAGATATAAATGGCAGACAGGTGTGTCCCTGCATTAACAGGAAATAGAAATCATCAAGAGGAACAGAAGGCAGATGTCAGCAGCCCCTTAGAAAGTCATCATCCTTCATACAGTTAAAATCTGAGACAGTTCTCACACGAGAAGGCCTAACTCAAAAAGAGGCTGGGTTCTCATGAGGCAGGTTTATGCAAAACCAAGGAAGGTGTACAAGTTTGGAATTCTCCAGTTTCCCTTGGAAAAGACCTACAGTCATTTGCTTAGGTAACTGAGCACTGAACAAAGGTGAGTATTGTTGTCTTTTAGAAGCTCTTGGCCAAGAAGGCCTTGTTGGCATAAAACCCATGGTTTGGAAACATCACCATGACCCCTGTTAGAGTAATGGCCTAAGGGTGGGGGTCAGGAAATTGATGTATTCCTTGCCAACTTCTGCCTCTAAGTGAGTGAACTCTGTTTGTGAACCTCTCTCCTCTGTGGTTATGTTCCTAGGCTCTCATGTATAATCAGGAGTCATAGACTTAGAAACAGGAAAAATACTTACAGTGTTTTTGTGGCCTGTGAGCTATGACTTATAATTTTAGGAAAAAAACAATTGCAAATGGAAAGCCTAAGTCTATCAATGCTCATCCAAGACAACATAATCAATAAAAACCAATATCAAATCTCAAGGCAAATTATTTCCTGTATATAGATGGCAGAGATGAGCACCACCATCAAAAACTCAAGGACCAGTGCTGTGGGTCCAGTCATCTGTTTCATGGAATTCACCAGTCTGGTATCTTCAAAATCCAGAAGGATGATGGCAGATGGCAGGAAGGTAATGCAAACGTCATCAGGTGTGACCCCACTGTAGCAGCTGTGATGGATGTTTTCTCTCACCATAGCAATAAATAACACAACCTCGGTCACACTGTATGCATTGTTGGTCTGCAAAATCCATGTTTTGCAAAACTCTTCAGGAAGGTGGATCTGTAATATTGGCATTGACATGAGAACAACAGCAGTATTTATTCACAATCTCAAGCTCTCTGTCTTCCCGTCTCTCTCATTAGCCATCCAAGTAGTCCTGAGGAACCAAGCCCATCAGAACATTCTGCAACATAATACACAGCTCCATTCTCCATTCAAATTTTGTTGTTGTTGTTGTTGTTGATGAGACAACATCTTACTCCATCAGCCAGGCTGACGTACAGTGGGGCTATCTGGGCTGACTGTAGTCTTGAGCTTCCAGGCTCAAGGCATCCTCTCACCTCAGCCTCCTAAGTGGCTTGAACTACAGACACACAGCGACATGCTGGGCTAGTTTTTGTATATTTTGTAGAGACGTGCTCTCACCATGTTATTCAGGCTGGACTCAAACTCCTGAGCGTAAGTGATCCAAGCACCTTGGCCTCAAAGTGCTGAGATTACAAGCCTGAGCCACTGCACCCAGCCCAATCTCCATTCTACTGATAACAATGTCATTACCAGGTCTGATGGACAGGAAATGGTAAGGTTTCTGAAAACCTAAGGATCACACAGCGAGTTCCAAAGGCTGAAAGTGCATACCTGTCGACACTGATACCAATGACATCCAATGGTGAGAATGACATTCCTTGTAGTCCTAGCTCTGCTCATAACAAATCTATACTGAAGTGTAAGAGTTTGATGGTCATGGGGATTTTCCATGTCTCTGCCTTTCAGCGATGTGCCATATCTGTGAAGTGTTCAGAAATGCAACAGCCTGAGGCATGCTGGGCATATCCTCTAATAAAAAGGAAAATGCCATTTTATGGTCCTGTATTTCTACAAGTTGGAACACATGGGCCTGTGATCCAGATGGGGGAAATGGGAATATTCCCACTCATTCACCTTCATCCACGAAGCCCATTTGAAAGCTTTGGGCTTCCCATCCTTGTAGATTTTAGTGTTGTGGGCTGGGTGCAGTGGCTTTCACCTGTACTGCCAACACTTTGGGAGGCCTAGACAGGTGAATCCACTGAGGCCAAAAGTTCGAGACCAGCCTGGCCAAGATGGTGAAACCCCGTCCCTACTAAAAATACAAAAATTAGCAAGGTATTGGGGCCAGCACCTGTAATCCCAGCTGCTCGGGAGGCTGAGGCTGGAGAATCGCTTGAACCCAAAAGGCAGAGACTGCAGTGACCCGATCCTGCCTTTGCACTCCACCTGGGCAAGCAGAACAAAACTTCTGTCTTGAAAAAAAAAACAAAAAACGAACAAAAAAGATGTTAGAGTTCTGGGTTTAGAGGTCTATACCCCAGAAAGAGAATGGTTTCAACAAGGGACAAAGAAGTTGCTTTAAACGTTGACTTGCCATTTCTTTTCAGTGTGTTTGTTCTCTTGCGTCAAGAGACCACCAGAAAAGTGGTGCAATTACTCTCCTGTCAAGAATCATTGACTATCATCTGCAAGAGGGTCAGATCCTGGTATATAATTAGGGCAGAAATACTTAGTCTGAGAAGGGTATGACATCCAGAGGCCCTATTAATGATGTCCTTTTCTCCATGCCTGACTCTGACTCCATGTGCTGGACTGCCCCTGTGTGGATGGCCTCATGGCCTGCTCGGACTCTGAGGTCCCACCCCAAGTGGCACCTCCATGGAGGGCTCTACTCTTGTATGGGCTCTGACACTCACACTGAGACACTCTCCCATGGACACCTCTTCACCCACTTGGGGTCTGAAACTGGGCTACTCCATCCCTCCCTAACCTGGAACAGAGAGCTTTCACTGCTATTACACAAGTCATAGAGGCTAACTCCTCATTTTTCCAAGCTAATTATTGAAACATTAGTCCTGGGTTGATAAGACAAGATAAGTTAACTTTTCATAAATTTGCTTATCAAGTTTTGAATAAATTCAAATAAATTCACCTTCCCCACACACCTTAGTTGTCGACATCACACGTGCACCCATACTCACAGGGTGAGCACGAAGGCTTCACTGTCAGTGGAGAAAGTGGCAAAACCCTTCTGTGCCTCATCCTGGTCTAGACCTGGCCCTCATCCTTTCCCACTCTTCCCCTCACTCCCTTGGATTCATCCACACTGGCCTCCTGCCTGCTGCTCCACCTCCCTGCGAAGCTCACCCCTGCCTCAGGGCCTTTGCACGTGCAGTGGCTTCAAGCCATATCCTCTTCACCCAGATCTCCCAGATCTCCTGAATGATCTTCTTTTATCATTCAGGTCTCAGCTTGCATGTAATCTTCTCAGTGAGGATTACCCAAACCACATAGTTCATTCATTCATTCAAATATTCATTCAATGGCATATTGACAAAGCAGCTACTTCATGCCAGGCCTTGGGCCAGGTGTTATGGATATGGCAACAAACAAAACAAGAGTTTTCTGCTCTCAAATTTTTACCCACTTAAAGGAGATATCATACATCATCTGTAAATAAATACATCATCTGTAAATAATGATGTAAATAAATACATCATCTGTAAATCTGTAAATAATGATGTAAATAAATACATCATCTGTAAATAAATAAAGTATAATAAAAGAAAATAGTAGGTTTTTTTGGTTGGAGGTGACCGTGAAGTTTGCAAATACCATCTTACAACACATTATTTTATTTTATTTCATTTCATTTTTAATTTTATTATTATTATACTTTAAGTTTTAGGGTACATGTGCACAACGTGCAGATTTGTTACATATGTATACATGTGTGAAGTTGGTGTGCTGCACCCATTAACTCGTCATTTAGCATTAGGTATATCTCCTAATGCTATCCTTCCCCCCTCCCCCACCCCACAACAGTCCCCGGTGTGTGATGTTCCCCTTCCTGTGTCCATGTGTTCTCATTGTTCAGTTCCCCCCTATGAGTGAGAACATGCGGTATTTGGTTTTTTGTCCTTGTGATAGTTTGCTGAGAATGATGGTTTCCAGCTTCATCCATGTCCCTACAAAGGACACGAACTCATCATTTTTTATGGCTGCATAGTATTCCATGGTGTATATGTGCCACATTTTCTTCATCCAGTCTATCATTGTTGGATATTTGGGTTGGTTCCAAGTCTTTGCTATTGTGAAGAGTGCCGCAATAAACATACGTGTGCGTGTGTCTTTATAGCAGCATGATTTATAATCCTTTGGGTATATACCCAGTAATGGGATGGCTGGGTCAAATGGTATTTCTAGCTCTAGATCACTGAGGAATCGCCACACTGACTTCCACAGTGGTTGAACTAGTTTACAGTCCCACCAACAGTGTAAAAGTGTTCCTATTTCTCCACATCCTCTCCAGCACCTGTTGTTTCCTGACTTTTTAATGATCGCCATTCTAACTGGTGTGAGATGGTATCTCACTGTGGCTTTGATTTGCATTTCTCTGATGGCCAGTGATGATGAGCATTTCTTCATGTGTTTTTTGGCTGCATAAATGTCTTCTTTTGAGAAATGTCTGTTCATATCCTTCACCCACTTTTTGATGGGGTTGTTTGTTTTTTTCTTGTAAATTTGTTTGAGTTCATTGTAGATTCTGGATATTAGCCCTTTGTCAGATGAGTAGGTTGTGAAAATTTTCTCCCATTCTGCAGGTTACCTGTTCACTCTGATGGTAGTTTCTTTTGCTGTGCAGAAGCTCTTTAGTTTAATTAGATCCCATTTGTCAATTTTGGCTTTTGTTGCCATTGCTTTTGGTGTTTTAGACATGAAGTCCTTGCCCGTGCCTATGACCTGAATGGAAATGCCTGGGTTTTCTTCTAGGGTTTTTATGGTTTGAGGTCTAACATGTAAGTCTTTAATCCATCTTGAATTAATTTTTGTATAAGGTGTAAGGAAGGGATCCAGTTTCACCTTTCTACATATGGCTAGCCTGTTTTCCCAGAACCATTTATTAAATAGGGAATCCTTTCCCCACTTCTTGTTTTTGTCAGGTGTGTCAAAGATCAGATAGTTGTAGATATGTGACATTATTTCTGAGGACTCTGTTCTGTTGCATTGGTCTATATCTCTGTTTTGGTACCAGTACCATGCTGTTTTGGTTACTGTAGCCTTGTAGTATAGTTTGAAGTCAGGTAGCATGATGCCTCCAGCTTTGCTCTTTTGGCTTAGGATTGACTTTGCAATGCGGGGTCTTTTTTGGTTCCATGTGAACTTTAAAGTAGTTTTTTCCAATTCTGTGAAGAAAGTCATTGGTAGCTTGATGGGGATGGCATTGAATCTATAAATTACCTTGGGCAGTATGGCCATTTTCACGATATTGATTCTTCCTACCCATGAGCATGGAATGTTCTTCCATTTGTTTGTATCCTCTTTTATTTCATTGAGCAGTGGTTTTAGTTCTCCTTGAAGAGGTCCTTCACATCCCTTGTAAGTTGGGTTCCTAGGTATTTTATTCCCTTTGAAGCAATTGTGAATGGGAGTTCACTCATGATTTGGCTCTCTGTTTGTCTGTTATTGGTGTATAAGAATGCTTGTGATTTTTGTACATTGATTTTGTATCCTGAGACTTTGCTGAAGTTGCTTATCAGCTTAAGGAGATTTTGGGCTGAGACAATGGGTTTTCTAGATATACAATCATGTCGTCTGCAAACAGGGACAATTTGACTTCCTCTTTTCCTAATTGAATACCCTTTATTTCCTTCTCCTGCCTAATTGCCCTGGCCAGAACTTCCAACACTATGTTGAATAGGAGTGGTGAGAGAGGGCATCCCTGTCTTGTGCCAGTTTTCAAAGGGAATGCTTCCAGTTTTTGCCCATTCAGTATGATATTGGCTGTGGGTTTGTCATAGATAGCTCTTATTATTTTGAGATATGTCCCATCAATACCTAATTATTGAGAGTTTTCAGCATGAAGGGTTGTTGAATTTTGTCAAAGGCCTTTTCTGCATCTATTGAGATAATCATGTGGTTTTTGTCTTTGGGTCTGTTTATATGCTGGATTACATTTATTGATTTGCATATATTGAACCAGCCTTGCATCCCAGGGATGAAGCCCACTTGATCATGGTGGATAAGCTTTTTGATGTGCTGCTGGATTCGGTTTGCCAGTATTTTACTGAGGACTTTTGCATCAATGTTCATCAAGGATATTGGTCTAAAATTCTCTTTTTTGGTTGTGTCTCTGCCTGGCTTTGGTATCAGGATGATGCTGGCCTCATAAAATGAGTTAGGGAGGATTCCCTCTTTTTCTATTGATTGGAATAGTTTCAGGAGGAATGGTACCAGTTCCTCCTTGTACCTCTGGTAGAATTGGGCTGTGAATCCATCTGGTCCTGGACTGTTTTTGGTTGGTAAGCTATTGATTATTGCCACAATTTCAGATCCTGTTATTGCTCTATTCAGAGATTCAACTTCTTCCTGGTTTAGTCTTGGGAAGGTGTATGTGTCCAGGAATTTATCCATTTCTTCTAGATTTTCTAGTTTATTTGCGTAGAGGTGTTTGTAGTATTCTCTGATGGTAGTTTGTATTTCTGTGGGATCAGTGGTGATATCACCTTTATCATTTTTTATTGCATCTATTTGATTCTTCTCTCTTTTTTTCTTTATTAGTCTTGCTACCGGTCTATCAATTTTGTTGATCCTTTTAAAAAACCAGCTCCTGGATTCATTAATTTTTTGAAGGGTTTTTTGTGTCTCTATTTCCTTCAGTTCTGCTCTGATTTTAGTTATTTCTTGCCTTCTGCTAGCTTTTGAATGTGTTTGCTCTTGCTTTTCTAGTTCTTTTAATTGTGATGTTAGGGTGTCAATTTTGGATCTTTCCTGCTTTCTCTTGTGGGCATTTAGTGTTATAAATTTCCCTCTACACACTGCTTTGAATGTGTCCCAGAGATTGTGGTATGTTGTGTCTTTTTTCTCGTTGGTTTCAAAGAACATCTTTATTTCTGCCTTCATTTTGTTATGTACCCAGTAGTCATTCAGGAGCAGGTTGTTCAGTTTCCATGTAGTTGAGCGGTTTTGAGTGAGTTTCTTAATCCTGAGTTCTAGTTTGATTGCACTGTGGTCTGAGAGACAGTTTGTTATAATTTCTGTTCTTTTACATTTGCTGAGGAGAGCTTTACTTCCAAGTATGTGGTCAATTTTGGAATAGGTGTGGTGTGATGCTGAAAAAAATGTATATTCTGTTGATTTGGGGTGGAGAGTTCTGTAGATGTCTATTAGGTCCGCTTGGTGCAGAGCTGAGTTCAAATCCTGGGTATCCTTGTTAACTTTCTGTCTCATTGATCTGTCTAATGTTGACAGTGGGGTGTTAAAGTCTCCCATTATTATTGTGTGGGAGTCTAAGTCTCTTTGTAGGTCACTCAGGACTTGCTTTATGAATCTGGGTGCTCCTGTATTGGGTGCATATATATTTAGGATAGTTAGCTCTTCTTGTTGAATTGATCCCTTTACCATTATGTAATGGCCTTTTTTGTCTCTTACGATATTTGTTGGTTTAAAGCCTGTTTTATCAGAGACTAGGATTGCAACACCTGCCTTTTTTTGTTTTCCATTTTCTTGGTAGATCTTCCTCCATCCCTTTATTTTGAGCTTATGTGTGTCTCTGCACGTGAGATGGGTTTCCTGAATACAGCACACTGATGGGTCTTGACTCTTTATCCAATTTGCCAGTCTGTGTCTTTTAATTGGAGCATTTAGCCCATTTACATTTAAGGTTAATATTGTTATGTGTGAATTTGATCCTGTCGTTATGATGTTAGCTGGTTATTTTGCTCATTGGTTGATGCGGTTTCTTCCTAGCCTTGATGGTCTTTACAATTTGGCATGTTTTTGCAGTGGCTGGTACTGACTGTTCCTTTCCATGTTTAGCGCTTCCTTCAGGAGCTCTTTTAGGGCAGGTCTGGTGGTGACAAAATCCCTCAGCATTTGCTTGTCTGTAAAGGATTTTATTTCTCCTTCACTTATGAAGCTTAGTTTGGCTGGATATGAAATTCTGGGTTGAAAATTCTTTTCTTTAAGAATGTTGAATATTGGCCCCCACTGTCTTCTGGCTTCTAGAGTTTCTGCCAAGAGATCAGCCGTTAGTCTGATGGGCTTCCCTTTGTGGGTAACCCGACCTTTCTCTCTGGCTGCCCTTAACATTTTTTCCTTCATTTCAACTTTGGTGAATCTGACAATTATGTGTCTTGGAGTTGCTCTTCTTGAGGAGTATCTTTGTGGCATTCTCTGTATTTCCTGAATTTGAATGTTGGCCTGCCTTGCTAGGTTGCAGAAGTTCTCCTGGGTAATATCCTGAAGAGTGTTTTCCAGCTTGGTTCCATTCTCCCCATCACTTTCAGGTACACTAATCAAACGTAGATTTAATCTTTTCACATAGTTCCATATTTCTTGGAGGCTTTGTTTGTTTCTTTTTACTCTCTTTCCTCTAAACTTCTCTTCTCACTTCATTTCATTAATTTGATCTTCATTCACTTATATACTTTCTTCCACTTCATCAAATCGGCTACTGAAGGTATTGCATGCATCATGTAGTTCTCATGCCATGGTTTTCAGCTCTATCAGGTCATTTAAGGTCTTCTGTACATTGTTTTCTCTACTTAGCCATTCGTCTAATCTTTTTTCAAGGTTTTTAGCTTCCTTGTGATGGGTTTGAACATCCCCTTTAGCTCAGAGATGTTTGTTATTACTGACCTTCTGAAGCCTGCTTCTGTCAACTTGTCAAAGTCATTCTCCATCCAGCTTTGTTCCATTGCTGGTGAGGAGCTGCGATCCTTTGGAGGAGAAGAGGTGCTCTGGTTTATAGAATTTTCAGCTTTTCTGCTCTGGTTTCTCCCCATCTTTGTGGTTTTATCTACCTTTGGTCTTTGATAATGGTGACCTAGAGATGGGGTTTTGGTGTGGATGTCCTTTTTGTTGATGTTGATGCTGTTCCTTTCTGTTTGTTAGTTTTCCTTCGAACAGTCAGGTTCCTCAGCTGCAGGTCTGTTGGAGTTTGCCGGAGGTCCACTCCAGACCCTGTTTGCCTGGGTATCACCAGCGGAGGCTGCAGAATAGCAAATATTGCACAACAGCAAATATTGCTGCCTGATCCTTCCTCTGGAAGCTTCGTCTCAAAGGGGTGCCTGGCTGTATGAGGTGTCAGTTGGCCCCTACTGGGAGGTGTCTCCCAGTTAGGCTAGATGGGGGTTAGGGACCCACTTGAGAAGGCAGCCTGTCCATTCACAGAGCTCAAACACTATGCTAGGAGAGCCACTGCTCTCTTCAGTGCTGTCAGATGGGGATGTTTAAGTCTGCAGAAATTTCTGCTGCCTTTTATTCAGCTATGCCCTGCCCCTACAGATGGAGTCTACAGAGGCAGGCAGGCCTCATTGAGCTGCGGTGGGCTCCTCCCAGTTCGAGCTTCCAGACCACTTTGTTTACCTACTGAAGCCTCAGAAATGGTGAACACCCCTCCCCCACCCAGTCTGCCGCCTTGCAGTTCCATCTCAGACTGCTGTGCTAGCAGTGAGCGAGGCTCCATGGGCGTGGGACCCACTGAGCCAGGCACAGGATATAATCTCCTGGTGTGCCATTTGCTAAGACCATTGGAAAAGCACAGTATTAAGGTGGGAGTGTCCCAATTTTCCCAGTACAGTCTGTCACGGGTTCCCTCATCTAGGAAAGGTAAATCCCCTAACCCCTTGTGCTTCCCGGTGACGCAATGCCCCACCCTGCTTCAGCTAGCCCTCCATGGGCTGCATCCACTGTCCAACCAGCCCAATGAGATGAACAAGGTACCTCAGTTGGAAATGCAGAAATCACCCATCTTCTGTGTGGATCAGGCTGGGAGCTGCAGACCGGAGTTGCTCCTATTCGGCCATCTTGGAATGGCAATCTATGTTTGCTTTTTACATTTGAAAAAACTGGTGTCACGTACCTAGGTATTAATCATTGTGGTATCCTCTTGCCGATTTACCTCTTTATCATTAACTAGTGACCCTCCTTGTCTTTTGTTGTTACAGTCTGTGATTTTAGTCTATTTTATCTAATATGAGAATAGCTACTCTGGCACTTTTTTGGTTTCCAGCTTCATGAAATATCCTTTTCCATTTCCCTGTTTTCATTTCCCTTTCGGTGTCTCTATAGATGAAGTTGATTTCTTTAAGGCACCATAAGTTGGGTCTTATTTCTTTATCCATTTGACCATTTAGAGAATTTAGAACACTGTCAGTGTTATTATTCATAAGTAAAAACTTAAGAGTGGGTGTAGTGGTGTACATCTGTATTTCCTGCACTTTGAGAGACTGAGGCGAGCTGATCTCCTGGGGTCAGGAGTTTGAGACCGGCCTGGTCAACATGATGAAACCCTGTCTCTACTAAAAATACAAAAATTAGCCAAGCATGCTGGCATGTGCCTGTAATCCAATTTACTTGGGAGGCTGAGGCAGGAGAAGCTTGAACCTGGGAGACAAATGTTGCAGTGAGCTGAGATCACACAGAGAAGTCATCTCCACTCTCCTCATCAGAACCTCTTGTTCACAGCATTTGTGAGCACAAATCAATGATGGTTATTCTTTCCTACTAATTAGGGATATTTTATTACACAGCAATAGCCTCCAGCAAAGGGAACCATCGTACATGATTCCTACAAGTTGACAGGGCTGGAATTATCACTGAAAAACTAAGGTGGCTATACTTGATTCCCAATGTCCAATTTTTCATGAATAGAGAAATTTATCCTTTTTCCCCCCAGCCAGAAACCAAGTTTTGCTCTTACGCCCAGGCTGGAATCAAGTGGCACAATCTCAGCTCACTGCAACCTCTGCCCCCCAGCTTCAAGAAATTCACCTTTTGAACAAGGAGATATTAAGGATACACTATGTGTATGCTACCGGTGGTTGCAGGAGACTCAGAAAAGAGAGAAACAGTCACTGGCCTCGTGCAACTGATATTCTCGGGAGGAGAGAAAGGCAATCAAGAAAGAAACATGCTGTATTTCAGACAGCTGTAAGTCCTCCACAAGAAAAGAAAGCAGGTGAGGAACATAGGAAATGTGTCAACCATAAGGTTCCCGCTAATTCTATAAGTTGGTCAGGGATATCCTCCAAGAATAAGCAGCATCTGAGCAATCACCTGAAGGGAGGAAGGAAGGAAGACTGTGAGTGGTGGCTTACACCTGTAATCCCAGCACTTTGGGAGGCCAAGGAGGGCAGATTGCCTGAGCTCAGGAGTTCACGACCACTCAGAGCAACCTGTTGATACCCAATCTCTACTAAAAACACACAAAAAAATTACCCGGGTGTGGTGGCACGCACCTGTAGTCCCAGCTTCCATGCCCAGCTGATTTCTCTCTCTCCATATATATATATATATACACATATATTGTTTTTGCAGAGATAGGGTCTCACTGTGTCACCCAGTCATCAAGCAATTCTCTTATACTGTTTTGGAAAAGCATGGGAATTACAGGTGTGAAATACCCTGCTGGTCCTGAAAAATGTGATATTTGGGATTCTCTGCCTGGCTTGTTTTACCCAAAATAATGACCTCCAGTTCCTTCCAGGTTGCTGCAAAAGACATGATTTTCACTGTTTTATAACTGAATAGTATTCCTGTATGTATACATACCACATTTTCTTTATTTATTCTTCTGTTGATTGACATGTAGGGTGATTCCATGTCTTTGCTACTGTAAATAATGCTGCAGCAAATATTTGTGTGCATTTTGATCTATTCCTTTGAGTAGGTACCCAGTACTGCAACTGCAGGACTGAGTAGTTGTTATATTTTTTGTTCTTTCAGAAATCTCCATAGTGTTTGCCATAAAATCTGCGCTAATTTACATTCCCAACAACAATGCATAAGATTTCCCCTTTTCTCCACATTCTCACTAACATTTGTTATGTTTTTGTCTTTTTCATAATACCCATTCTGACTGGAGTAAGATATCTCATTGTGGTGGTTGTTGATATTTTTGAGACGGGGTCTCACTCTGTTGCCAGACTGGAGTGCAGTGGTGTGATCGTGGCTTGCTGCAACCTCCACCTCCCGGGTTCAAGCAATTCTCCTGCCTCAGCCTCCCGAGTAGCTGGGACTACAGGCGCGTGCCAACAGGCCTGGCTCATTTTTTGTATTTTTAGTAAAGACAGGGTTTCACCATGTTGGCCAGGATGATCACAGTCTCTTGAGCTCATCATACACCTGCCTCAGCCTCCCAAAGTGTTGGAATTACAGTCATGAGGCAGCGCACCCAACCTCAATGTGGTTTTAATGACCATTTCTCTGACGATTCATGGTGTGGAGAATTTCTTTGAAATACCTTTTGGCCATTTATATGTGCTCTTTTAAAAACTGACTCCTGTCCAGGTGCGGTTGAGCATGCCTGTAACCCCAGAACTTCGGGAGGCTGAGGCCAATGGATCACTTGAGGCAAAGAGGCAGAAATCAACCTGGCCAACAAGGCAAAACCCCATCTTTACTAAAAATACAAAAAATCAGCCACGGGCTGTGACTCGTGCCTGTGGTGCAAGTTACTCAGGAGGTTAAGGCACAGGAATTGCTTGAACCCGGTAGGCACAGGTCGCAGTGAGCCAAGATCATGGCACTGCACTACAGCATGGGTAATAGAGAAAGACCTGTCTCATAAAAACAAATGAATAAATAAATAAGATAAAAAATAAAAAAGTCTCTTTATGTCCTTTGCCGACTTTTTAATGGGATTCTTTGGAGTTTTCTGTTGTAGTTGAGATCTTTGTTTACTCTCGGTATTAGTCTTTTGTCAAAGGAAAAGTTTACAAATAATTTCTTCCGTTCTGCAGTTTGTCTGCTCACTCTGTTGAGAGGATTATTTCTTTGGCTGTGCAGCAGCTTTTTGTTTCAGTAAAGCTTTTGAATTTATATAATTAAAATTTTCAGTTTGGTTTAAATTTGCACTGGTCGATTTTTGGTTTTG